>NC_000011.10:116263333-116566364 GCF_000001405.40 Homo sapiens
AAGAGGCAATTTACAAAGGCAAACAAACCCCACCCCAACCCTGGAAGGCAGCTGTAAGCCTGCCCTTCCGTGAAGGCTGGCCCCCTTCTGAGAGAAGGCAGACCCTGTGTCTGGGTTCCACAGTGGGAAGTTCCTAGGAGAGAAGAAGGGATGGGGAAACCAACAGGAAATGTAGCAGGACTGTTCCCCTTTTCTCTTGCCCTTATGGAGAGGGCAAACTCAGGGCCATGTGAACTTAATGTGAATGTAAGTTGATATCTCCAGTCACCCATTTTGGAGGTCTGAAAAGCAAACATCCTCTGTAATTGACTACAAAGCCTGGGCCCTTTCAATGGGGATAAATAACACCAATTGGGTATACCAGGAGGTTTTCACTCCACCACCACTCAATAGTTCCATTATGGATTAAGCATTCCAATGCAGCCAGTTCCCATATAACAGCCCAGGGAATCCTGATGACTGCATGCAAAAGGACCAGGAATGGCCTCCGAATGGTGGAGAGGGGAAAGCAACAGAAGGGACGGAGGGGAGGTGCCAGGACCTCCAGCAACAGACAGGGCGGGACAGGCTGTGGAAAGAAAGACTCGCTTCTGGGTTGGGAAGGGAGGAGCTCAGAGCAGCTCCAGCCAGCAAGCAATCTTCACACATTCATTGTCATTCTCTTCTGCAAAGGAGTGAGAAGAGGGGAGGGGGAGAGGTGGCGCCAAGAGAGGGAGCAAGCGGGAGAGGTGAGAAATCCAGCATCTTCAGACCTGCCCACACTGCTGGCTTCTCTGCTGCGTGCAATACCTCATCTCACAGTCATTAGAGAGAACCCACAGGAAGGATGGAAGCCGGACACCCCGAAGAGTGGGAAAATGAAGAGAACAGATGCAGACAGACAGACGTGCGTCTAAGCCTCTTGGGAGAGATGGGCCCCAGCTTGGCGCTGTCCCAGCCTTCAAAGTTCCAGAATCCTTGGAGTGGCAAATGGACCAGGATTGTGGTCACTTCCAAAGTCGCAGGGGAACCCAGCAAGCAAAGTCCCCATGTCTGATGTGAGCTCTGTTCCTTTTTCTCTGCCTTCTTCTGGGGCAAAAAGGGACTCAACATCCCCTCCAGTCTGGCTCAGCCTCTTCAAGCTCAGGAGCAAAGGGCTGCAAACTGCAAGGAAGGCTCGGGGAGGGGGGAAACCTAGGAATAGTCTTGGGAGGAGCAGCACTTGCTGCTAAAAGTGTTGAGTCAGATCCTGACAGTCTTCTACGCAGACCCTTGCAAGGGCTTCCATCTCACTCAGGGTAAAAGCCAAAGTTGTTACGTCAAGGCCCCATAAAATCTGCACACACATACACACCCCTCCAACCCACTGCCTTTCTGAACTCACCTGGTACGCTGCCTCTCACCTGCTCTGATCTAGTTGAAGTGCCTCCTTCTGATTCGCCAAATACCCTGGGACCTCAGGGCCTTTGCACTTGCTTTTCCTCTGCCTGGAACACATTCTCCAGATGTCTTCATGCCTCACTCCCTGAGGCCTGTATTTCCACATGACTTTCTCAGGGAGGCTTCTTGGTCACTCTACATAAAACTGCAGCCACCTCCAAAGTCTCTGTCCCTCTTCCCTGTTTTGTCTTTTCATAGCTTTAATCACCACCTTTATGTACTTGTGTATCAAGTTTACCGTCTGTATCTCTCACTGGAGTCCACATTCCATGATGATATGAATGTTTGACTTTTTTGTTCACTGCTGTACCCTCAGCACCTAGAAGCATTTTGGCAGATGGTTGGTACTCAATAACTATTCAATGAATGAAAGAAACATCCTAAGCTTGCTCCTCACTCATCCCTTGAAGTACCTAGAAAAACATACCCTCTAAATGCCTCAGAAGACACCAGCCTCCCTGGAAAATTACTGGTTCCTTGGACCCAAGCTGAGACTGGACACGAGAAAGATGGCAGGGCTAACCGGATGGAGGCTTTTCTCCTGCTAGGTCCCAAGAGGGTGGAATGTGGGTAAGGGGAGACACTTCTGAGTAAGAATCACTCTGAACACCTGGATGGCACCATCACCATGTGCAAAGAGCAAATTCGTTTTGATCATAAGTCTGTCCTTCAGTGAGGGCACACACACTCTCATGCTCACACACACACATGCATGCACACACACACACACATGCTCACACACATGCATGCACAGGGGTATGCACATCCATTTCAATTTCCACCCCAACTCATTGAGGAAGAAAAGAGCTCCAGAGTGAGCAGACTCAGTTTCTGGTCCCTGAGCCATCACCCCCAGGCCCTGCAGCCTTTAGTGCCTGCTGAAACTAAAGAGTCACCTTGCTCATCTCTGGAGGCCCAGAAGTGCCTGCTCACTCTGCCTGCTCATCAAGATTGGCATGAGGGTCTGGGTTGGGATCGAGTGTGACCACCTTCAGCAACATCATCCCACTGGAAAACATTCTTAATACCTATATATCATTCTTGCTGATTTCTGCCTATCATTGGTGATGGTGGGGTTAGGGAGAGGGAGATGGAGAAGCAAGAGCAAAGGGGAGAAAAATAGCCCTCAGGATAACAAACCATGAGGCAAAGCACTAATCAGCTTGCTGGGTTGATTTCCTGTGGAAGCAAATGCGTTTTGCAAGGTTGGATGAATAATGGGCAACGCAAACTCAGACCGCTGGCTCCCTGGCATGGGTGCAATCCCAGTCCAGCCTTCCCTTCCCCTCTCTGGGCTGGTGGGACCCAGGGCAAGGGCACTCACACTCCTGGCAAGCTGGGCAGGTGCCCACGATACCCTAAAGGTGCTTGGGGCTGGGAGTCTCTGGGCCATGGCAGCCTGGCTGCAGTTGGCACTCTCGGCCCAGCTGGGCCAGTTGGGCATTATTTATAATTGAGCTTATCGTGTGCAACCCTCACTGTCGCTGTCAGAACCATTTGATGTCGTTGAGCCTTTGGAAAAAGGAGAGAGGCGGGAGGGAAGAGGCAAAGGCAGGAGAAACAAAAGAAGTTTCGTAGCAGGACTTCAAAAAAGCCAAGTGTTTGAAAAGATCTTTGCTAAGGTTCTGACCTACTTTGCATGTGGATAAGCCATCTCTTTCTCTTTAAAAGAAAAAAATCCCATACAAAGTGGTCACAGCTCTATTCAGGAGAGCCAGGGCTGCACGGCAGAAAGGGGCTTTAGTGCTGTAATCAGAGGCCATTTAGGAGCCATGATTTGGGTAATTATGTAAGATTTCAGCCTCTCTTCTTCTAGGGCCATGCATAGCCCTGGTAGATGGGCTGCCAGAGCAAGACAGCCAGGGATGAAAGAGCTGGTGCCCTGCAAACCATGCCTCAGGGAGCAACCTCTGCACTCTGGCAGGAGTCACACCTCACCCAGGTGCAGACTCTGACACCTCCCAGCTGTGGAACCTTGGGTTCCTGACCTAGACTTTCAGGGACTCACTTTTCTCTTCATATGCATACCTCAGAGGAGATATACACTAAGGGCTCAATAATGGTGACTCTTTCCTCCCAGTTTTCTAGAATGAATTGGGAGGAGTCATCCCATCCTGTTCACAGATTCCTTGGACCAATTAATGTCAACTGGGGTCCCCAGTGACCAGTGATTAGAACATAAGCAGTGGGCCAGGTGCGGCAGCCCACGCCTGTAATCCCAGCACTTTGGGAGGCCAAGGCAGGTGTATCATTTGAGGTCAGGAGTTCAAGACCAGCCTGGCCAACATGGTGAAACCCCATCTCTACTAAAAAAAAAAAAAAAAAAAAAAAATATATATATATATATATACAAAAATTAGCCAGGCAGTAGTGGCACGCGCCTGTAATCCCAGCTACCAGGGAGCCTGAGGCAGGAGAATTGCTTGAGCCTGGGAGGCGGACATTTCAGTGAGCCAAGATTGTGCCACCGCACTCCAGTCTGGGTGACGGAGTGAGACCCTGTCTCGAAAAAAAAAAAAAAAGAACATAAGTAGAGTCAAGTAAGCGGCCAGCTCAACAGCTGGAAAGCCAGCTTGAAGAGAGCCCTGGGGAATCTGGGGCAAGGGGCACCAGGAAGTGTGGGTGGGGAGCTTGGGACATTCTGCAGAGAGCAGATGGCAACACTGCTCTCACACCACTCCTGCCCCATAGCTTTATACCCCCACTGGTCTAAAGAGCTCAACCCTCTGAACTTGGCTTCTAACAGGCAGAAAAAAAATCCACTGTGGGGGACCTTCTAGGACTGTTAGCATACTCAAGAGAAATGAGGTGGGTTGGGACAGAGAAGGAATGAGAAGAACCCCTTGAGAAGTTGGGATAAGAGTTTATTGTTATTAAAATAATTAATAGTATTAATATTTTTATTTTATAATCCTCACAACAGTCCTATGAGGTTAGTACTATCAGAGATTCTTACTATTCCCATTTGACAGATGAGGCAACTGAGGTTCAGAGAGAATCCATTGTTCAGAAGCACATAGCTTGTCCCCGGGGTCTGTGTCTGAATTAAGAGTCTGGGCTCTCATTTACTGTATATTGCCTCCAAAGCCTTTGCATTCATTCACCAAAGATGGAATGAGCACCTACTGTGGGTGCCAGGCTGTTTCAGGCACTGGAGATGCCGTAATAAACACAAGCAGATGAATAAGGCTCTGTCCTCAGGGCACCTATGTGGGTAAGCATTATGGGTTTCACCCACACCACACCCCTGCCCACTCCCCCAGCATGGCATGGGACTACGTCAGGGATGTACTTGGAGATGCAAATAAACTCTTTTAATCTCAGTCAAATTCAACCATCTAAGGGTAGGTCAATCTCCTTTAAAAATCTAATCATTTCATGAATTCCAAACAGAGATGAAATTAATTGTAGATTATCTTTTGGCTTTAGGTTACACTGCCCTCCAAATGCAGTTATCAAGAGATCCTCTGGCAAAGGAGCTACCACTGGCTCCCGGGGTCCTGTTCAGCAACACTTCTGAGGATTAGAGTGCCCAGCGCCTCCTCCAGGCCCTTGAGGGGGCACCCTTGACTGCCCTGGTAGGTGGGAATGGGCACCCTTTGCCCTCAGCCCTTTGCTTTTCATCTATGGGTCATCAAATCCAAGGGCAGAACTGAAGGGCCAGAGCTTGGCTAATCTCTATCCCTCACAATTCAGGCAAGGCTAAACCTCCAAATCATTAAAAAAAAAAAAAAAAAACACTCCAACATCTAAGCTCAGGGTAAACGTGCACGGATCTTGCAAGCTAAGAAATTCACATGCTTTTTTGATCCAGAGTTTCATTCAAGGAATTACCATATAAAACCCTTACACATTCTGCACTAAGACATATGCCCAAGGATGTGTAACTCAGCATTGTTTGTATCATAAAAAGTGGAAGTTCACAAATACCTCTAGATGAGGGAATTATGAAGTCACACCATGGTACAGTCACACTGTGAAATACTAGATGCCCATTTAAAAGGGTGGCAAAGCGCAATGGACACTGACAAGAAAGGTCTCCAAGACACATTCAGTAAAAAAAATAAGCCACAAAACAATATGCTTGGTATAGTCCTATATTAAAAACAAACAACAAGGAAAACCAGTAGGTATGTGTGCATAGGGGAGGTACATGTAATTTCAAAAAAAGATAATGTATACAAAGCTTTCACATAGTGTCTGGCATATGGTAAATTCCAGGGACATTGAGCTATTATTTCTAAATAACATGTTTTAAAGATGGCACAAGGAAGGGGCTAGCCATGGTTATCCCTGAGGGCAGGAGCTGGGTGGAGTGGTTTTGGAGATAAGCACCCACAATTCACTATACTGGGTCTGTTGTTTGGGTGTTTGATATCATTTTGCAGCTTTCAAAGGGAAAAGGAGGATGTCAAGCCTCAGCTTCCCCAATACTGTCAGAGGAGAAGCTTCTCTTGATCCTAGGTCCTTTTGTTTTCTAAAGTTTTCTGGTGTGCTCCATGAGTGCCTCTGATGCCATTTCAGCCCATGCCTGGGCTTCTAGGCTCCTTCACAAAGGAAATAAGAATCCCTCACTGTGCCTCACAGCTTCAGCGATGCGGGGCTTTCCGTGGCTGGGACACTCAGTATCATCCCCAATGCTGGGCCACGCGGGGCCACGAGGGAGAGTGCTCTTCTCTTGTCCATGACCGTCCTGCCGTCCTGCCATCCATTTGGCGAAGGGGTCCTGACTTTGTCTCCTATGTTCTGTCTCTATCTTGACTCTTATTTTCTCTCTTCCTTGCCCTTCCTTTAAATTCTGGCCCTCTGTTTCTTCCTGACATATACACAGCTCTCTGCACAAGAATGATGCAGAGCTATTTGACAGCTGCCCCTCTGGCTTGGGTCTCTCTCTGCCAAGGATGGTGAAGAGGGTTGAGCTACCATGAGAGATGGGGACTAGCTGGGCTGTAGCTCTTGGCCATGAATGACGATAGCCCCAGTCCCTCCTCCCCTCTGCCTCTCCAACCCCACCTGAGAGGTGGGATGGGTGTAAGAGGACCAGAAGATGATACAGTTCCAAGAAATCAGTCCTGCCCCAGTCTCCTTCCCACTGGGAATGTTCCCTGCTGCTGGGAGAGAAGCAGGAGGCCAGGGTGTTGATATTCAACCATCTAGCAGTCACCAACAGCCCTGCCCTCAAAGGGTCCAGAAATGGATAAAACAGGGCTCCCAGTTGCACTTTGGGATGTGCCTGGAGGGCAGTGAGGAGGAGGTTCTGGGAGGCATCCTGTCACACAGGTCCCAGCAGATTTGGCCCCTGACCACCTGCAGCCTTGCTCCAGAGAAAAGCCAGAGCTCCCGGCCCGGGCACATGGCAGGATCTGCTTTTACTGCGAAGATCCCAAATGGGGAACTCAGGACTCTGGGCCATCCCCACTCTTTGCCTGCCCTATCCTTCCCATTCTACAATGTAGTCAGAGGAACAGTTGGCTCTTACTCATTATGAATAAAACACAGTGAATTTTCAACCTCTCCAAAAGACTTTCTATTGTCTTCTCTGGCTCTCACACTGAGTTAGGTCAGGTAGATGAGATGTTCCTATTCATAGGTGGGAAATAGAGGTCCATGGTCACTCACACAAGGGTCAAGGGCAGGCCCTAGAGCCACAGTGACCAACTCTCCTGGCTCCTGACTTCTTTCCACCAGGCAGGGTCTAGCCTTAGATGAGTTTTCTTTCCTGACGCCAGTAGCTAGATAGACCACACTGCCAGGATTATCCACACTATCGTCTAAAAGCACCAAAGGGGTCAAATCCAAAGACGTCCTTTAGAAAAAGAAATAAGCATTTTCCAAAGTCTTGGAATCATAGTTATTAGAGATTTTCCAATCCTCTTATTTTACATATAAGGGACATGGGATCCAGAGACGTGAAGTAACTGGTGGAAGGTCACACAGCAAGGCGGAGCTAGGATTTGCCCCTAGTGAGCCCAGGTACTGGGCTGTGAGCTTCCTCACATCAGGGCGAGCCCAGCTCCTGCCCCTCCCTCCTGGCAGAGCTGGGCAGGGCCCGGGTGGATGGTGTTTTCTTGACAGTCGTATTGAAACATATGGTGGGATTTTGGGGGGAGAGGTAACTTTGCACTATTCTCTCTCTTGTTCTCACATGCATCGTGCATTGGCAGAGACATGTGAAGGATTTTCATCAGGAACATTGTCAGTGCCTGACAGTGCTCTGTGATGAACCTCACTCCTTCCAGGCAGGTCTGCTCAGACAGTGCTGGGGAATGAGGACCCAGAGGAGGAAGAGACGCCCCCACCTCTGCCCCACGTGTGGGGCACCTCATAGGCAGGGCTGGAATTTAGAGTCCCCACTGCAGTTTCTACTTCATCCTACTCTATATTAACCTGAATCCAAAGCTCCAAGACATCCTGGGTGGAGCACTGGAATGGGGAGTCCAGGAGGCCTGGGTTCCAGCCTCAGCCCCAAACCAATTCCTAGGCAGGGTTGGGTAAGACCCCTATATGCCCTAGGTGTCTGTGCCCCTTCCACGAAGTGAGGCTGTTGGACTAGATCATCTCTCCAAGTCCCTCCAGCTCCGCCACACCACACTCTGCCATCGTGGGAAGAAGGGAATCAGAGGAGTAAAATGTGTGGATGTCAGGAAGACACTGGGTTGAATAACAGCCACAGCACATAACATTTCTTAAACACCAATTGCATTCTAGGAACCCAGCTAGGGGCATCACACATATCCTTTCTTTTGATCCTCACAACAATCTTTGAGATACTATAATTATCTTCATTTTATAAATGATGCAACTGAGTCTCCACAATGTTAAGTAATTGTCCGAGGTCTTGCAGCTTATAATCAGTCAAGTTTGAACTGTCTAGCTTCCCTCCCTCACCTTCCCAAACCACCCGCTACATGCATGCATGTGCGGATGCACACTCTCACACACACACACACACACACACACGCACACGCACACTGTAGTCTCCCTGGCGCCAGAACTTCCCAGGTGGGGGCCACAGAGATGCAATGGGAACTGCCTCCCACAGTCAGCTGCTAGGATGATCTGGCCTCCCTGCCCCCTCTCTGATACCAGTGCAGCCCTAACTTTCCAACACCTTCCCAATTTCAAAGACTCTTGTCAGACCACAAGTCCAATTTTTGCTCCAGAGGAGATGGCTCTATTCCCTAAAATCTCATTCATTCTCTTCTGTTCTTTACCCCAAATCTTGCCCTCACCTCCTCCAGGTTCCTGCTCATTTCTCAACCGCAGCCCATACTCCTCTGCTTCTTAGGCTCTCGGCTGATCAGTGTGTGGGTATGTTCACCTCCTTTCTCTGAATCTTCTCAAATATGGCCCCACATCAGGCTCGGCGCAGGGGACTTAGTGAGGGGCTGATTGAGGACATGTGGAAGCTCACACAACTGACTCCCTGTGAAATAATCAGGAAAACACGAGGGCGTGGATGGGCTCAACTACAGCGAGCTTAAAATGTTGGCAGTGTGGTGAGGAAAGGCCTAGAGGCTGAGGACCCAGCTGGGCCTGGGGGCAGATGTGCCCAGATTAAAAGGGAGACAGGCAGGGGGCACCCCAGTAACACAGAGGAGGGGGATTCTGAAGAAAAAAGCCACAAGACTTGCTGAGTGATTATCACCTGGAAGACCAGGAGAGGGAGCAGGGGAAGATGACCCAAGGCTTTGGGGAAACCTGGGGGGTGGGAAAAGTGTGGTGAGCCTCAGAGACAAAGAGCTGATGGGAGAGAAGAAGAGTGTGTGTGTGTGTTTGTGTGTATGAGTGAATGTGTGTGCATGCACACGTGCGTGTGTGCGCGAGTGTGTGTGTGGTGAGTGTGTGTGCATGTGTGTGAGTGCATGCACGTGTGTGTGTGTGTGTGTGTGTGTGTGTGTGTGTAGAGAGAGAGAGAGATGAGAGGGCAAAAAATCTTGTTTCCAACACTGGTTTTGAAATAACAGAAGAATTTTCCAGTGCTGGGTGGTTAGAAAGCTAGAGCCAGAGCAGCAGGAGCATGCAGGGTGGGGACTCTGAGGGACCTCACCACACACTGCACTTTAAGCGGCATGAGGCAAGGTCCAGATATGCTTCCTGTGCCCCCTCTCCCCAGCTGTATCAACCCAGCCAGGAGCCTAACTCAGATGCCCCCATGAAACCCTGTTGAATGAAGCAAGTGATGCATCCTAAGAGTGATGCATATAAAGATGGCACTGCACCCCCCTAGGGCAGCCAGGGGCACCGATGTGAGCACTAAGGACAAAGCAGGCGGTGGGATAGACCCTGCAGGCAGCTGCATTGAGGGGTGGACAACGGTGCCAGCCAGGGGCACAGGGAGCAAAGGGAAGGAGGAAGGAGAGGAGCCCCAGGGATGGGTGACCCAGGAGAGAGTCCTCAGCATGCAGTGGACTGGAAGAGAATGGATGGAAGGGCAATGTGGGTTTAGGGGAGAGAGAGGAAGGGAGGGTAATGAAATGTTAGCTGGAAGAGGTAGTTAGGAAGGTCATGATTGGTGATTTGTTCCATTTGACCAACACTTACTGGACACCTGTTATACGCTGGGCACTGTGCCGGGCAGTGGAACCCTGGAATGAATCAAATCCCTGCCCAAGGTAGGAAGTAGAGAGGGCTCTCCAAGCCACAGGGAAGAGGAGTAACTGACCCTGACAGTGACAGAGCCGGGAGGGCAGTGCTTTGATGGAGGCATGAGCTGTGGATGCAGGATGCATGTGCTGCTGGGGAGACGAGGAAGGGCACTGAAGATGTCAAGATGGGGCTTGGAGGCAGGGGTCAGCATGGTGTCCAGACACCTTCGGGCCACAAGAGACAGCAGCCTCTCCCTGCCAGAAGCCAGCCCTCCTTCAGTCTTCATTGAAACTTCCAGAGATGTGTCAGCTTCCTAAGACCTTTAAGCATTCTAGAGCCCTGGCAGGGCAGAGCCTGTGGCCAACCCTCTACACGGGCTTTCTTTGCCCTTCTTGGTTGAATTTCTCCTGGATCAGTGGATGCTGTCAATGTGATGTCCCCTCTCCAACACATCTGTGTGCATGAACACACTCACACACACACACACACACAGAAAGCACCACTGCAGCAAGCCAGAGAGGCAGAGCCATTTCTACCAAGGTCACACAGGGAGGAGCCATGGAAACCCCTTAGAGCCGACATCCCCAAAATGGGTGGCGAGGAGGGGGACCAGCCCTCAGGGTCACTGCCTTTGCTCAGACCCCCTAGTCTCCATGCCCTCTCCAAAAGGCACCTTCCTTTCCCCTGCCTTTCCCCAAATCAATCCCGACATCTCCTTAAATCGAAGTCAGCCACAATGAAAGGGTGGTGCGGAATTTTGTTTACCAATCCTGGCTTCTAATTAAAATTAGCTGATGGTTCTTCTACTTGGTTTTTGTTCTGACTATTTTTAAGCCAGAGCTGCTAGATCAGTGCAGCCACTAGTAAGCTGTCAAATCAAATTTTCAAAAGCAAATTGCTTTTATAATTAATTATTATTACCGCTCCCAGTTTTGTGTTGCCTTAATGAACACAATCAGGTTTCACCCTCTGCTTCTCCCCCACACGCACTCAGCACCCCCTCACTTTCCCAGACCCACCTCCCACCTCTCCAATCCAAGTTGGGCAAATGGAAAAGGAAAGAAGAAAAGCAGACACGTTCTGAGCCCCCTCCCCAACCCCCCCGTAGCCACCTCCTTGCTCACACCCTCACCTTCAGAGTGAGTAATTAAAGTTCTGCTGCCTGTTACGGAATAAATGGTACATGTTTTAATTACCCCTGAGCCTACCCAGGCATCCCCACACCCCCGCCCAAGTCTGTGAGTCTATGTGGTTTTGAGGGGGACAGTTGAGAGAGAGAAAGAGAGAGAGAGAGAGAGAGAGAAAGTGCTTCTGTGATGGTGACAGCGGTCTGTCACCCAGGGCCTGGCATTCACTGGGGAACTGTCAGTTACTAAGGAAACTAGGAGGGAGAAAGGAAGGGAGAGAGGCGGTTAGATCCAATTTTGGGTGACAAGTGTGAGGCATAAAGATTTTGGCCTCCTCTGTGCATCCCAGCCTAAGTGAAATCTCTGGGGGTGGGCAGGGGGTGGGCCAGGGAACAGGCAACACCAGGAGGCCACGCCCTTCTTAGGAACCTAAGGCAGGTCAGAGGGAGAGAGACGCTAAGGCAAGATCAGCACAGGACCAGGACGGTGACCAGAGCAGGGGTGTGTGTGTGTGTGTGTGTTCGCATGCACACAGCTGTTCACACCCATGTTTGTGTGTGCCTGCCTCTACATTCATCCTTTCTGTCTTTTGGGTATTTTCTGTTATTTTCCTTTCGTTTTCCTCCTTCCTCAGTTTGTAATGTATTTAATTTCCATCCTTCCCCCACTCTGATTTTTTTGGTTATTCTATTCTGTGTCTTCTTCCTTTCTCTTTCTGTCTCTTTTCTCTCTCTCTCTCCCTCCCTCCCTCTCTCTGTCTCCCACACACACACTCTTCTTCTCTGTCTTCCTCTCTTCCTCTGCATCCGTCTACTATCTTTTTCTCTGTCTGTTCCCAGACCACTCCCCTCCCCAGCATGGCGCTCTCTGTTTTCCCTCTTCTCTGTCTCTCCCAGTCTCTGGTCCAGACCTGTCCTGGTGGATCTGCAAGGGTGAGAGACCCTGGGGACCATCTGAGCCTTTGTACCCTAACCTGACTCCGCATCCAGGCCTGGCTTGATCCTCCTGACCCAAGAACACACAGAAGCCTGGGAGGAAGGGTCTGAGTGAGTGCTGACATGGAGCCTCAAAGTTGAGTTCTCGAAATCGGATGCCATTGGAATGGGTGGGACAGAGCGCACTGCACAAAAAAGTCATCAGTATTTCTGGAACAAGAGCAGAGAGCAGATCTCTCAACCAAGACAGAGTGGGGAGGACAGGGGGCAGGCTGGGAACCAGTGCACCAAGGAGGGCACACAGGCAGGTGAGGGAGACAGGGAGAAGGGCCCAGGGCTGACTTCTGGGGCTTTTGACTTTCACAAAGGGCACGAAGACATCACAGAAAGAAGCATGTGAGTCACCAGTTCTGACTCAGGCCCTGGCTGGCTAGTGACAGGACAGGGCATTCCAGATGTCACTCAGGAACCCCAAGAGGACTCCAGGCCTGGGGAGAGCTCCTGCTGCCTGAGACAAAGAAGCGCCCAGCAGAGGCAGGGACCTCCCACTTTCTTCCCCAGGACCTGAGGCCTTCACACTTGCTCCCAGGGAGCCCCGCGGGACGTGGCCAGCCTCACTTTCACTTGCCACCATGTCTGTCTTTCACCCCTCACTCTCATCTCTTCTCCTTGGCACTCTATTGACCAGGGCCTGGGTCTTTTCCTGTTCTGCTCCTGGGGAAGACAGGGCCCTGGGCTCGACTGTGGCCTGAGCCCTGGCTCCTGGGGCCCCTCGGGGACAGCCCAGGGTGCTGGAGGGACAGTGCCGCAGCCGTGCTCGTCAGGGGTGCGAGAGGATGACGCTCAGGCTGCCCTGCCGCCAGTGGGCCTCCCAAGCGGCCCTGCCCACAGCAGGGATAGTCTAGGTGGTGGGTGTGGAGCCGACACCACAATCAAGCGTTCACCATGCCTAAAACCAGGGCCAGCTGGGTGGGAGTCACCTTTCTGTGCAGAACCAGGGTCCTTGGGATGCCTCCAAAGATATCATCAGGCCCCTCTCGGTGTCCCCAGCCCTCCACCCAGTCCAGCCAACCGCGCACACACCAAACCCCGAGGAGGCAACTCAGCCCTCCCTCCTCCAGGGGGCGCACTCTGGCCCACACCGACAGCGGCCTGGAGGCACTTCTAGGAAATCAAGGTGCCCTTGGAGACAGAATCCCAGCAGGAGCCCCACGCCGAGTGGGAGAGACCTCCGCCCTGCTTCTGAAGCCGCAGGCGCTGGCCTCAATAATCCCCCAGCCGCGGGCCGATTTGGCATCCTCCGACCCCTGCGGCCACTGCCAGGTAAGTGCTCCTGCCAATGCATCAGTGTAGAGCAAGCCTGCCACCTGGTGGTGAGGCCACCCAACTACAGGCTGGGGCTCTTGAGGGCCATGCTGTCCCGCGCCGAGGGCCCCACACCCGGGTGCCCGCTGGCTCCCGCAGAGCAGACCCTGAAGGCGCGGAGCCCTGCCCAGGGCCCTTCTAGGCACTGCTGAGTTTGTGAGGGCAGAAAAGCAGAAGGTAGGGGTGGGTCGAGTTCAAGGGCTGAGGCAGAAGACCCCCGGGGAGGGCCTGATCCGAGGGATTTGGGAAAGAAGAGATTCGGTCTCCCAAGGGGCTCACACGCCCCTTCCCTGGGCATCTATCAGGAAGCAGCAGCTTGGGGCCATGGAGAGGCCTAAAGCCTGCATTCCACTCCTGGCCCCACCACCGGCCACAGTGGGGCTGTGCACACCGCTCCTACCGCAGGAGTAGGGCGGACTGACAGGAAGATGAGTCCCTGCGCCCGGAGCTCACCAGAGCCCGGATAAGCCGAAGTCGGCAAATGGATGGGACAGGCAAGTGTACTGGGGCAGGAAGGGCCTTTGGGATCTTCTCATTTAACAGAGGCTGCATCATGAGTTCCGTGGGACCCTTAGCACCTTCGTCTTCATGGGCCTCTTCCTCCACGCACACAAATTCATATTTAAATCCTATTTTATGGCCAAGCAAGGTGGCTCACGCCTGCAATCCCAGCACCCCAGCACTTTGGGAGGCAGAGGTGGGAGGATGGCTTGAGCCTGGGAGGCAGAGATTGCAGTGAGCCGAGATCATGCCACTGCACTCCAGCCTGGAAAACAGAGCAGAACTCTTATCTCTCTCTCTCTCTCTCTCTCTCTCTCTCTCTCTCTCTCTATATATATATATATATATATATATATATATTTATATATTTATATAATTTATACATTTATATAAATATATGTATATAATGACTGCTTTGGTATCAAGATGAATGTATTAATATTATATATTAAAAATATTTTCCTCAACCAAAAAGCGTATTCTTTCTCTTCTGACTTTAAAAGAAATTAAAACATTTTTGCATGCCTGCTGTGCTCATGGATAAGTGGGCCCTGAATCCCACCTCCTCCTGTTGCAGATGAGGAAACTGAAGCCCAGAGACAGGAAGAGACTGTTCAATGTCACACAGGGGCTGTGGCAGGGCTGGGGCCAGAACAAGTCTTCAGGCTTCCAGGCTAGGGCTCTTTCCATTACCCATTTAACCTTTTTCAAGAGGTGGAAAAATCCCTGCCACCTGCTGCTCAGGCCCAGGAAGAGCCCCCTCATCTAGCCCACCCATGCCCTGGAAACTCTGGCTGGGATCTGCTATTCCGCCCTCCCTGGTGGCAGCCTTCCCTCCCCCAGCCCTGGCCCTGCAGCCAAGTCACCACCACCACCGAAGCTCTTTGGCCTGCTGTCTTGTTAATTCCTAATTTCCAATTTGCAAGAAGAGAGAGCCTTAAACCTCCATCTCACCAGCCCAGCAATCACACAGATGATCCAAGTATCTCTGGACAGCCTTTAATTTATTTCCCAGTGCACGCGGGCACTGCTGAGAGACTTGATGGCACCAGCTTAAACATAATAAATTACTCAAGTACCAGAGATTAGTTAATAAAGCTCCAGGCTCCCTCCCAGCCCCTGCTGACTTGGTCTGTGACACCAAAGATTCCTTTGAAGATACCCAACTGGAGGGGTGGGGGGTTCTGAAGTGGGGGTCCCCAGGTCTGAGTCAGCTAGCCAGCCCTCCTCAGGACCCTTGAAGCCAGGCAGAAGTTGTGCCGGGGCTGGAGAGGCAGGGACCCCAGAAATCCACAGGGTGGACTCCAGCATTTTCTACTCCACATCTCAACATATCAGTGGAAGTCATAATCTAATGGTAAATCTGATCCTGGCATGAGCACAGCTTGGAAGACGAGGAGTCAGATGTGTGCCCAAGAATGAAGAAAGATGCTGGTTACTTTTGGAGCCAAGCAAAGGGAACAGAGATGCTTTTTCATGGAGACACAAAGGATCAGGATAGTCTCTAAGCATCTGAAGGCTGATCCCTGCCCCTCAGTCCTATGACCTTCCAGGTGTGTCTTCACAGGGCGTCATGTTGTCCACATACCATCCCCTCACCCCAGTGCCTTTGGCCCTGGCCTGACAACAGTCGCGCCTCACCCAGTCGCGCCTCACCCACACCTGCACAGTCCCCACCCTCCCCCATCAGAACTGTCTATAAAACTCACATCTAACCATATTGCTTTTCTGACTACAAATTCCTGATGTTCTGCTGTTGCCTGCCTAATAAAATGTGGTGCCAGAACCTGGACTTCGTCGTCTTCCTCTAGCGGTAATGAAAATAGGGAATTGGAAAAGATATTTGAAGGAAAGGGTGTAGCTTGCCTCCTGGGGAGCCTCAAAAGAGAAGATTCTCATCTGCTTGGATGGCTCAGCAGATTCCTGAGTGAGATGAAGAAATGGACAAGACAAACTCAGAATTCAGTCCTAGTCTGTGATACTGGAAAAACAGCCTTGGCAGGGGTCAAAGAAAGGCATAGAGAAAGGATGTCTGGAAAATGGTAGGAGTTGAGCGGTTCCCTGAGCTCCCCCAGGAACCCCATCCTCCCTAAGAACCTCAGCCGCTGGCCTCACACCAGTGCCCCAAGTCTAATGGTCTCAAGGAAGATAAACCCAATAGCTTTTGTTCTGACACCAAAGCCAGAGCTCCTGGCGCCCAGGCCCCTGACCACTCCTAGCCCCCACATACGCTGCTGAAACCAAAGTCAGACTTGTGAGCAGGGAGCTGGACTTCTTCCCCAGGCCTGTGTGGCACTGCAGTGCTCCTGAGACTAAGGAAACTGTGATCCACAGTCACCTTTGTTCCCAGGCGCTAGTATTATTCATTGTTATCAGCAATAAAGACCTCTTCAGTATCTCTAATTCTTTCCTTCCATAATGCTCAAAGTACTGCCTACACATGCTCTTGTTTATGCAGAGGGCCTCCCGTCACACAATAGATGGTTGCTGAATATGGTGTAAATTGAATCACATTATAAACACACTAGGGGAATCCTAACATGAATCCTTTCATAAAGTGAATAATTATCCCCTAATTTATCATTAGTGTAAGCCCAGGTTTTTATATAACCGGTTTTGATGTGAGCAAAACCCGCCTATGTGTGTGCGCGCACACACACACACACACATTCCTGACGAGCGAAAGCTGCAGTGTTCCATATAGTGCCAGGCACAAATCAGCCTTAATAAAAGTTTCTGAGAGCAACACTGCTGAACCGAAGCACCAAGGATTCTATAAGAGTGTTGTTTCCATTTCAGAAAAAAGGAAACTGAAGCCCAGAAAGGAGCAATGGTTTTGCTAGTGTCCTTCATCCCCATAGAGAAGATCATTTCAAGAATTTTATAAGAACTTTAGGCACTCTTTGGTCACAGGAGATGGCAGGGAAGTGGGGGAAATGGAGGGATGATTGGCTGGGGCATGGGGGTTGACTTGGGAGAGTGTTGGATGTCACATCAGTTCCTTCAGGCTCAGGGGTGGGTCCAGAGTAAGTGTGTGTGAAGAGGGAGTAGGTGGGATGCTATCATTTAAGTCTACCCTGACTTCTGCCTGATGGGGAGGTTTCAAGGTGGGGGCTTCTCTGAGCCCCTGTAGATAGGGTGCTGGGGTCCAGCAGCAGGCATTCGCCTCTGCCTCAGGGGATGCAGCCTCCCCCAATCTCCTTCTCCAGGCCTTCCCAACACTGCACTGTTTGGGCACCATCCTTCTTACCTGTTCCCTCCAGACACATCTAGAAGCCTCTAGAAGTGGCTGGGAGCTGTCCCTATGTGAATAGCCCTCCCCAGACCTCACCCGAGACACCATAGCTTGGGCAGGTCAGAGATCCAGGATCCCAAGTACACTACATAATTTTCTGCTCTCTAATCCCAATTCTCTGGGTCCTGGAAAGATGCCCAGCCTCCCTAAGCTGGGGGCTCTGGGATTCCCCCACCCCAGGAAAACCTGGGTTCCATGCCCTACTCTGCCACTGCCAACAGTCCATCCTATTTGCATGGGCTTTAAGATTGACAAGACACTATCCTGCACCATCTCATTTAAACCTCACCACAACACTGAGAGGAAGAAATGATTTAGCTCCATTTTGCCCATGAGGAAACTGATGCTTAGAGATGTCAAGACACTTCCCCCAAATCACCCCAGGTTTTTTAAGGGGAAGCCAGTTGTCTTCTCTATCTCAGTAATAGATCTCTGTCACACCTGTCAGTGCTTCAGTGATGATTGCTAAGACCTTTGAACTAGAGGTAGTGATCTTAGGAGACAAGGCAGAGTTCTTAACTTTGGAATTACAATACCATATGCCAGTCACCAGTTTGTAGGAATGCCTTGTTGCCATTAGCAATAAACTAGACATAGAAACTAGAGTGCATTCAAGATTATCCTTTTTAAAATATCACTTATATTACTTGTACTTCAGTATACCCTCAGCTGAGAAAGGCAAGGCTTTCTGGTGAGGAGTCAGGTCAGGTAAGCTCGAATTTGATATCCTACCATCCTGTGAAGCCAAAGCTCAGAATCCTGCAGCTAATCCAGGGAGACTGCCTGGAGTAGGTGTGTTTAGAACCAGGTGTGGGAAAAGAAACAGAGCTGGTTGGTGGAATAGTGGGAAAGAGTCCTGGGTTTTCTCTATCAAGGGACTGCCCAATGCACCTCTTTTTCCCTCCATGTTCTAAGAAAGCAAGAAAAAAGACAAACAGTGACCTGTGGGACAGAGAAAGGCCACCTTTGTTGCTAATAGAAGCTAAGTTGGAGGATATGGCTGAGTGAGAGAGCAAATGGGCCTCCTGGGCCCCACAGTCAGAGGTCTCACCCTCGCCATCACAGGCAGCATAGACGGGCAGCCTCTGCACTTGGTGCTGGTGATGGCGAGGGTCTGCCCAGCTACCACTGATGTCATGGACAGGTGAAAGGCAACCTGGACTCTCTGCAATCAGTCTCACCTTTATCAGAGGAAAGAAACCAGCAGGAGCCGAGTTGAACATGCTGAACATGCCCTGTGTATTCTCCCCAAACCCCCAATCAGAAAAGTCAGCTCTTCTTCCCTGGAGCAGAGAGAGTAATGGAAAGACAGAAGCCAAGAGATCCAAGTGAGCTCCCTCCACATAGAAGGAAACATCAGGAGTGGCTGAGAAAGAAATGTGTCCTCCAACAGAGGGAGCACTTCCTGTGCCCCCTCACCTCAAGTCCGGTTCACCCTCAGAGTTCTATTTTTTTTTTTTTTTTTGAGAGGGAGTCTCGCTCTGTCACCCACGCTGGAGTGCAATGGCACGATCTCAGCTCACTGCAACCTCCGCCTCCCGGGTTCAAGCGATTCTCCCACCTCAGCCTCCGGAGTAGCTGGAATTATAGGTGCCCGCCACCACACCCGGCTAATTTTGTATTTTTAGAAGACAGACGGGGTTTCTCCATGTTGGTCAGACTGGTCTCGAACTCCAGACCTCAGGTAATCCACCCACCTCGGCCTCCAAAAGTGCTGGGATTACAGGCATGAGCCACTGTGCCCGGAGTTCTCAAAGAATCAGAGGACAGGGCCACTGTTGCCCAGAGATGAGAATGAGCCTTCCTCTGTCCGTGCCTCCTCAGGCCACTGTCAACTCCCCATGCACTGTCCCTGGATTCGGAAGGTACAGGCGCTGGGGAGATGGCTTTATTCATTTTCTGCAATGGGGATTCAGGAAACTTTCTTTTCTAGCCAGTAAATTCAAGCTCATGACCTTCAAGGAGGTCAAAGAAGACCTAGAGAACCTAGTATGTGGGGTAGAAGAGTATTTTCTAAAGCACATTAGGCCCATGCTGATCTGTTGCACTCATCAATGCTTCAATGATGATTGCTAAGGACCTGCGTAAACTAGTGGTAGTGATCATAAGAGACAGGGCAGAGTTCTTAACTTTGGGATTACAACACCATACGCCAGTCACCAGTTTGTGGTAAGTACCCTTGTTACCATTAGCAATAAACTAGACACAGAAACTGGAGTGCATTCAAGATTATCCTTTTTAAAATATCACTTATATTACTTTTACTTCAGTGTACCCTCAGCTGCAAAAGAAGTGGTATTACGGTTGGTGCCACGGGGTAATGCACAACCCACAGGCAGTCTTATCTATGCATATAACCTACGTAAACTTAAAAGCCATCTGTCCTGGAAGAAAAGTGAAGGACCACAGAAATAATGTATGCAAAATATCCTGGTAAACTAAAGAGTGATTTTTATATGCCAGTTGTTATTACTCTTATTATTATTATTACCGTCCTGGGAAAGAAAGGACCTTTACTTTCAGTCTGGAACATGGATGAAGATGAAGCCCTCCCAGACCTCTCCCATCCACATCTGACTCAGATAATCCCTGAGTGTGTTCTACACAATGTAGTAGTCCGTGATTCTGGTCCCCTGGCTATTGGCTGCTGTTTTATGTATAGCCCAGGTATCAGCTGAGGCCTCTCTCTCCCACCCCACCACCCCAGATGTTGGTAAGCTTGACCCAAGTTGCCAGTGCTCAGCCTGCAGGAGTCCAGAGTCTCCCCCAATTTGCACAAGTTTCTACCACTGGTTGCTGTATGTTCCCGTGGTCTTTGCTCCTGCACCCATCCACGCTCTCTCCATGCTGCTTGGCACTGCCCAGGGCATGAAGCTTGGGCTCTCCTGGAAGTTCTGCAAAAGACACATGCACCCCAAGCATTTCCTGCATTTAGAAACATTCCTGGAAATGTGTGGCATCTGGGACAGAGGCCATGGCAGACACACAGTCTCTCATGACCTCACTTCCTCGCTCTTGCCCTTTACTTCTCTTTCTTCTGAGAAACAAGCTCATTCTTCCCCCTTGTTCTGCAGAGAACAATTTATCCAGTACTTGGGGCACTTGGAATCTCAGCTTCATTCCTTCCAAACACTAAGAGAATAAAAGTGACATAGCTAGGAAAGAGCTATCAACTCAACCTGATTATAAGCACCCTGAGGTCAGGGACGGGGTCTTAAATACTACTGGAGCCCCACTGTAACTAGCCTAGAGCTCTGCTAAATAAATACCACAATTATAGTCAGTTCTCATTACTGATGGTAGTTATGTTCTCTAAAGTCATTGCACACACTGAATTAGCAAATACTGAACCTTTGTTCCTAGGGGAAATAAAGTGTTAGGTTCTGCAAGCCTCTGGTTACAAAATTTTCACCAACTGATCAATATATAACTTTTTAAAATGTGTGTTTCAGTTTAAAGACACCTTATTTAATATGGATTGTTGATCCATTAACATTGAACTCAAGGCCAACAGCAGCATAACTCATGCATGAACAAAACATCGAAAAATACCTATTTTCTCCACAAGGCAGGAACACTAGACAGTGTTTCAGCATTATTCACAGGCCCCCTTTTTTTCTTTTTAGAGATGGGGTCTGTCTATGATGCCCAGGCTGGAGCACAGTGACAAGTCACAGGTGTGATTGTAGCACACCACAGCCTCGAACTCCTAGGCTCAAGAGATTCCTCCTGCCTCAGTCTCCCAGGTTGGGCCCATTTTAAAGGTGAAGTCACCAACAAAAAGCACAACAATGCAAAAAAAAAATTGTTTCACTAAATAGACCACAAAAAGGACACTATTATAGCATAAGAGCTGAAACAAGAAAATAGGGTATTGCCTTATTCACCCTCAGCTGGGAATGTGTGCATCAGGCATGTCAAATTCTTCACCACTCTGTCCATGTCTGCAATTGACTGTGAAGTGCCAGGTGTATTGATTTTTAGGTTACAAATTTTAGCAAGTAGGCAAATTTGCAAATGTAGAATCCAGGAACAATGAAGATCAACTATGCATGAATGCTATGGAGTACTATTCAACAATAAAAAGGAACAAACAATGGATACACACAAGAACTTTGATAAATCTCAAAGGCACTGTGCCAAGAAGCCAGTCACAAATGGTGATACACTGTATGAGTCCATTTATTCCTACATTCTTGAAAAGACAGAAGTAGAGTGATGGAGAACAGATCAGTGGCAGTCAGGGGATGGAGGTGGAGGGAAGGTGTTGTTGCAATAAAGGGATAGGGCAAGAAAATTCAGGGGATAACAAAACTGTTCTGTCTCATGATTATAGTGGTAGTAACACAAATCTACGCATGTGTTAAAATTCATAAAACTGTACATCAAGAGAAAGCAGTTAATCTTATTCTATGGTGATTTAAGAAATAAGATCAATAAGTAAAATACCATAACAATGAGTAACCAGAGATGCAACACCCCAGCTCAAATCTGGACTGCCCCACTGCACGGAATGGGCCTCCCAGGCAATCTTGTTGGAGGGAGCACAGCTGCCACCTGTGTGCTTGGGTTATGGCCACATGCCATATGCAAGTGGCTCGAACAGCCTGCCAGTCTCCAAGAGGGCACCAGCATGGTCCTGGGTTTCCCAGCCACTTTCCGTTTATTCACTCCTCTGTGAGAAGACCCCCTTCCTACAGGGTCCCAGGGCATTGGTTTTATATCCACATGCAAAGATCCCTCCTTAGAAGTTAGTGTTGCCCCTAGCAACCAGCTCTTTCTCCAAACTGCTTTGAATACAGACACACTGCCTTAGGAAGACTGCTCCTCAGAACTGAATTTCTAAAAGACCTCCTATCACTATGTGAACAAAACATTTTTAAACAGAAAATTTAACAAGATTTTAAAACAAAGGTTCAAAGTATTTTTATCATATTCTGACTATGTGTTTGCTGAGTGGCTTGAGGGGGACTCTCTGTACTTTGCAAAGGAAGACAGAAGGAATGATGGTGGCAGATCATGAAATGGTGCCTGTTCTGAAAGACCTATGAGAGATAAAGTTGAAATAATGTGATGTCCCTATAGAACCCTCTAGTACAGGCATAGGCCCATAGTAGGTGCTTAATAAGTGCCACAGGAAATCAAGACAAATCTCCAAATATAAAAGACTTATACATTGTAATTACTAAAACACATTTATTGATTACCATCTATGTGGCAGGCTCCCTCTGTACTGGGGTATGAGGAACACAGAAATGAATAAGACATGGCCCATATTTTCTGGGGACTTCGAGTCTAGTAGAGAGAAAGATATACGTAAATAATAGAACAAAGCATAGACAGCATGCTGTGGGAAAATGAGTAAGGAGCAGTTTATTAATCAAGGTTCTTTGATTGCAAGTGACAGAATCCCAACTCAAGTGAACATGACCAATACAGCAAATACATTGGTTTACATAATTTGGAAGGACATAGGTGTATCCAGAGACTCAAAAGGTTGTTGGCGGGAAATTCTGCTCTTCTGCAGTCCTTCGTCTTTCTCTGCTTTCATGAAAGAGGTCTTAATTTTGGTCCCCAACCAGCACCAGGTACCTCTGGCTATATTTACTCCTTTTGGCAGCCCTAGGGCCCAGCTAGCCAGCAGCGGATGCTGTGATGGGGAGCAGATAATGGGTCTGACCCTTCAAGGAGGCCATCTAACTGCACAGGTGTTCAGATCACTCAACTCATTCAGGAAGAGCTAAGGGAAACCACTGCCCACTGGATTGCAGCCATTGATGCCTGGCAAGATGATGAACTCCAAGGCCCTATGCCTGCCTTTCTTCTACATAGCTCTGAGCACAAACAACTTGGACCCCAGGAGAAGTTCAACTCTGGACATCATCAAACCATGAAACCACCTAATGACAGAGCATTGAGGCCCAAGGGGAGCAGAAATCTTCAGGATAGAATGTTTGAGACTGCTGAGATTGTGCTGGTATGGTAGAAAGAGCTTGGGCTTTGGAAATGGATCTGGCTTGAATCCCAGCTCTGATACTTACAAGCTATGAGTCTTTCTGAGCTGAGAATTCCTCATTCGTAAAATGGGAATAATAATACCTGCCTCACAGGTGTTAGTGAGGCTAAGGGAGGTAAATTAAATTACAACAGTAATTGCTGTTAATGAACTTTGTACCCCTTTTCAGCTCCACTGTCGTCTAATTCTCAAGCATCATTTTATTCATTCGTCCGTCCATCTACCCAACCACTCATCCAATCATCCATCCATCTAATTTTTATTAAGTACCTGCTCTGTCTCAGACAATATGCAATATATCAGAAATATGGATATTAATACAATAGACCTCCCTACCCTCCAGTTAATTACAGTTGTGTAAAAGTGAGAAGGTAAGCAATTATGAAACACAACATGTAGGGAAGTACATAGAAGTATAAAAAAATCCCTTAAATCTGTATAGTGCTTTTTATTCTTAAAGAACACTTTCACACCCAGTATCTCACTAAATTCTCATAACAACCTCATGAGAGATATTCTCACTCCCATCTCACTTATGAAGAAACTGAGACAATGTATCAGCAGCCATGGCTAAAATGTTCAGTGTCAGTGAGAGGCAGGAGCAAGTTCCACTTTCTCTGATGCTAAAGTCTTAGGGAGCATTAAGAATTTACTGGCTGGGCGTGGTGGCTCATGCCTGTAATAGCAGCACTTTGGGGGGCCAAGGCAGGTGGATCACCTGAGGTCAGGAATTCTAGACCAGGCTAGTCAACATGGTGAAACCCTGTCTCTACTAAAAATTCAAAAAATTAGCCGGGCGTGGTGGCAGATGCCTGTAATCCCAGCTACTCAGGAGTCTGGGGCAGGAGAATTGCTTGAACCCGGGAGGTGGAGGTTGCAGTGAGCTGAGATCACACCACTGCACTCCAGCCTGGGCAACAGAGCAAGACTCCATCTCAAAAAAAAAAAAAGTACTGAGGGGAAAAATATTTGTTTTGATATTATGTTCAAATAAACATAGTGACCAATGAACAAGCTGCAACCCAAACATCAGACAACTAAAGGGAAGTAGGAAAGGAGCAAACCAGATAAGACAAAACCCTGCAAGCATGAACATGGGTAAAAAAGCAGTTTGCCATCTGTATAGAATTGTCTAGATTAAAGCATGAGCAGTTGAATCATATCAAAATGCTCATAGTTTTCCTTTTCAGCCTTGATGGAGATTTTACAGTTTTTCACATTACCATAGAACACTTAGAATTCTGACATGGTACACAGTATACATGCTGAATCTCATTTCTATTATACTTCTCACATTTACATATTATCTTTTGGGGAGATAGTAGGATAGTTTTGGCTCCCACTCCCTCAATCCCCAGACTACATTTAGTCAAGGCAAATACTATAAGTGAGTTGCCCAAGGTGACACACCCAGTGGGCAGGAAAACTAGACATTGAAGCCAGGTCTTGAGATAACATGCTCTTGCCCATTAGTCACGTGATGCTGCACTCTGTACCAGATGCCAGAGGCAGAGAAGGACTCAAGTTCCTCTGTGCCCCACCTGGGTATTCCCTGCCTAGAGGAGTCTCCTGTCATGACCTGAACTTTTTCCTCTTTCTTCTCTCCCTCCACCCAGGCTAAACTAACCAATCTTGGAGTACATTTCTTCAGATCTCTTCACTTAGAGGAATGAGGTGAACATATGCCTCCCCATTGTGTTGGATCAGCAAAGGAGAGATTTGGAGTTGGGGGAAGGGTCCTTTAGGACTCCCAAGAGACTGCCTACTCCACCTATAGGCACAGGGACCCTTGTTGGCTTTGCAAGGGAGGCCTGATACCACCTTGGCCTTCCCAGAATCAGAACTACCTTCTGCCATGGGATGAGGCTGCCATCACTGGGGCCAAGTCTGGGGCTTAAGAGTATAAGAATAATGCCATACTTTGGAACCAAGTAGCTGGGTTTGAGTTTCATCTCTTCTCCCTCCTAGGTGTATGATCTAGGCAAGTCCCTTTACTTTCCTGGCCCTCAGTTTTTTTGTCCACCAAATGGGGTGGTGATGATACTAATACCTATGCTACGGGATTGTTGTGAGAATCAAATGGGTTCATTTAATTTACGCAAATACATTTTGTTAAGTGTGAGGGTAAGAAAATGCTGTTCTTGACAAGTGAGGGTTACGGAGAAGACTGTGAGTGTCCCCAGAGTTCCCACAGGAAACTTCCAGAAATTCCCTGGGATAGAGAAAGCAGAAAACCTTTGGGCAAAGTCATAAAGAGTCTCACAACCAGGGATAGCATAAAATTCTGATTTGGGGGCTCGGGTTTTTTTAAATCCCAAAAAAACTGTAAAATAGTTGTAGAAGGAAGAGTAGATAAAATGGGGGAACAAATGGGACATTTTCCCAGCTGGGCAGGAGGATGCTGATTGAGTACAATCAATGCCACCAGCCCGCTAACGAGACCCAATCAGGCGGGGCGATTAGAGATATTCTTCAGGGAAAGAAGCCTGACAGCTGCAGGAAAGTTTCTGCTTTTCCAGAGGAGAGTGAGTGGGAGAGACAGGCAGAGTGGTGTGGCAGAGAGGGGAGGGAGAGTTGGGGGAAATCGAATCAACAAAGCTGAGCACCCACCCAGCCCTTCCTTGAAGAAGTCAAAGAGGAGAAAAGGAGGGTAAAGCCTCCAGAGAGATCCTTCTGCTGTCTCCATTTTCTTAGACATTGATTTTCATATTCATTCCCACTGACTTCCATTCTCCTGCTGGGCTAGGGAGTCATGGGTCTGCCACAGTGGCCTTGAGATGGGCAGGGCTTGAGCCCCTAACAAGGATCCCAGCACACAGCTACGAGGCTTGTTATAGGTTGCAAAGCTTTCTCCTGTGCAAGATCTGATTTCAGCCTTGCTAAAACTTTTGAGGGCAGATAGTTTTAATTTGTTACCCATTTGGAGGGTGAATTTAGTACTGTTTATTTCAGTACATATTTATTGAGCATCAACTTTCCACACAGAATTGGTGTTAGAGTTTAATAAAAATACAACTCCTGCTCTCAGGAAGTTGGTAGCCTAGTGAGAGACACATATATCATTTCAATGGTGTATGGTAACTCTTCCTTTCAGTAGACTGGCAACTAATACATATAGGAGGAATTATTTCATTTAAAAAGTCACGATTTTGCAAATATCAAAATAATGATTTATTCAAGCAAGAATCATCAATTGATGCTGAAAACATTGGGTGCAAGTTGTATGAGGACTAGGATATTTAAAGCCTCAAAGTATATCCCCATAGATGATTAATTAATTACAAAGGAGGAAATGATAATCTTACAGTTGAGAAACTTGGAGGATAATACTTAACCAGGGGATCAAAGTAAATAAGACCAACAGCAGGACAAAGTGATACCATGTACCTCCTGATATGATGCACTGAGGAGGACACAACATAATTTATACATTTCTCATGCCAAAAATGCTGAATCTGAAATTAACCATGGGGAAATCATCATATATATCCAAATTGAGGGACATGCAACATAACAACTTGCCAGAAATCTTCAAAACTGCCAATGTCACAAGACAAGGAAATGCTAAAGCATCGTTCCCAGTTAAAGAGACTGAAAAGGTATCACAACTGAAAGCACTATATGACACAGGATTGGGTCCTACATCAAATAAAGAATTTCTCTAACAGACATTTCGTTGGTAAATTTGGCAAAATTTAAATATGGACTATATAAAAATAGAAGCCTGTTTGGAGTAGATATGTGGGTGGCAAAATTCAACTGCCTACTTGACATCTACATATTAATGTCTACAAAAAGATTTCTCATACTAACTCTTGATTCCTCCCATCCCCAAACCTGTAACTGTCATATTTCTCATGTGGATCAATGTCACCACCATCTACCCAGTTGCTCAAGCCAAATGCTTGGAAGATATCCTTCGTTTTTTTCTTTCTGTTACCCCCCTAGCCCATCTGCCAGCAATTCCTTATGACTATACCTTCAAAGCATATTTCACATTGATCCACTGCTTTTCATCTCTACTGCTACCACTCTGGTCCAAGCCATTATCATCTGATGGGAGGACTACAGCAATAATCTCTTCATTTGCCCCTATGAGTCATTATTAACACAGAGGCTAAAGAATCTTTTTTTACTTGTAAATCAATACATGTCACTACCCTGCCTAAAACTTTGCAAAGTTCCCTTTGAGCTTAGAATAGAATTCTGAAAGCTTCTCTCTCTTCCCTCAAAGAAACCTTTATCTTCTGTAGCCTCAGGGATGGGAGTTCTAAAAATCCAAACCCAGAATTTTATCCTGCAAGTGACTGAATTACACTACAGATTGTGTTTCCATGCATGGCATCTTCCAGTAAAGTTATGGCATGGATTGGGAAGAAGTAAGATCCTGAAAATTAGAATGGAGAGATATGGGCAGATCCCAATGAATCTTAGGACCTTGTACCCCTAAACTCTGCTGAGTCTTCTTTGTAGAAGCAGCTCTTCTACCCCTGACTGAGGAGTTTGCCCTCCTTTGCCTGAAGAAATGCTAATGATCTTCGCTAAAGTAGTTGCCTTACAAGGCATTGCTGATTCTTCTCAGGACCCACCCCTGGCAATCCTCTTTGCTTCTACACCTGTAATAGACTCAACTCTCAACTGGCCTCAAAGGGTAAGGTACAAAGTATGAGCTACAAGAAGGTTCACTACACATCAAAACAGCTACATTATAGCTGGGTTTGGTGGCATATGCTTATGGTCTCAGCTACTTAGGAGGCTGAGGCAGAAGGATCCCTTGAGCCCAGGAGCTCGAGACCAGCCTGGGCAACATAGCAAGACTCTGTTTCTATAAAATGTTTAAAAATTAGTCAGGCATGGTGGCACATGCCTGTAGTACCAGCTACCCAAGAGGCAAAGGCAGGAGGATCAGTTGAGCCCGGGAATTTGAGGTTGCAGTGAACTATGATTTCACCACTATACTCTAGCCTGGGTGACAAAGCAAGACCCTGTCTTGAAAAAAAAAAAAAGTGACTTTTTTTTTAATTTACACAGATAGAAATCTGGAGAATATGTGTGGGAATGAATACTAAGAGTACGGGATCAAGGTGAAAGGAACATAAAATTGGGTCAGGCTGAATTTATTGATATGGGCTGTTTAAAAAAAAGTTAGCCCAATTAAATTTAAAAAAATTTAATTGAGCAAAGAAAAATTCACAAATAGGTCAGCCTCCCAAACCAGAGCAGGCTCAGAGACTCCAGCGCAGCCATGTGGTGGAAGAAGATTTATGGACAGAAAAAGGAAAATGATGGACAGAAAATGGAAGTGAGGTACAGAAAAAGCTGGATTAGTTACAGCTCAGTGTTTCCATTATTTGAACAGTTTCAACAGTTGACCACCTTTGATTGACCAAAACTTGCAGTTCATGATGTACAGAGAAACCTTTAGGTTGAACTTAAAGTATGTAAGGAGGAAACTTTAGGCTAAACTTGATTTAACAGGGCCCACTAAGCAGAGATTCTGGATGCAAGCTCAGCTTGAAGGGCTGGGAAGACCTTTAACAATCTCGTTAGTTGGTTGGTTGGTTGGTTAGCTGAAACAAGGACCCAAATATGGCCTCCACTAGATGAAACTGAAATGCCCAAAATACTTTGGTACAGTATAGAAGAAGGTATCTAACGACTTAGGAAGACTGGAATACTAGAGTGAATTTATCATGTGAAATCTGTTCACCTACACCAGGGGTGTATTCATCTGTTTTCACACTGCTGATAAAGACATACCTGAGACTGGGCAATCTACAAAAGAAAGAGGTTTATTGGACTTACAGTTCCATGTGGCTGAGGAGGCCTCACAATCATGGCAGAAAGTCAAAGGCATGTCTCACATGGCAGTAGACAAGAAAAGAGAGAAACAGGAGTGCAGGGAAACTCCTGTTTTTAAAACCGTCAGATCTTGTGAGACTTATTCCTTATAACGAGAACAGCACCGGAAAGACCCACCCCCATGATTCAATTACCTCCCACCAGATTCCTCCCATGATACATAGGAACTGTGGGAGTTACAATTCAAGATGAGATTTGGGTGGGGACACAGCCAAACCATATCAAGGAGGGGTCCAGAGGAAACATTTCCCCCCATGAGGGGAGCCACAGCACCCTTAAAGAGTTCATTGATTGTTCTCTCCAGTAGATCAGAAATTAAAGTGGGACCTGCTACCATTGAACTGGGATCCCTAAATTTAATGGCTCAATGGGATCCTGAGTGGCAGGGCCCAAACAGGGTGGCACCTGGTCTGTCCAAAGGCCAGATAAGCATGGTTACTATAATGGACAATAGAGTCAAAACAGTTATCAGAATAGTCTGGCTCTCAGAGATCTATGGCAATTGGTAGTTGACCATGGTGTCCCTAGGGAAAAAAATTGATGTGCAGTCCACTAATTATTATCTGACCTATATAAACAGAAGAATTCTAAGTCTAGTGAACAGAAGTCTAATTTGAATTACAAAAACAAATAGTCATGGCCCCTCAGTCAATTCTCAGATTTGACGCAGTTTATAGACTCAGAACTCACTGAATGAAAGGGAGCCCAGGTCCCCTTAAGGAAAGACGCTACTATGTTGCCAAAAATTTATACTGTTAATCTTCCCCACCCCCTCACCCCCAGCCCCCGACCTTCTCCAAAGGGATCTACAGTCATTTAACAAGGTAGCTGCATCAGGGAAAGAGATAGTCACAACTTTCAGGGATTACTAAACATAGGTTCTATGTTGACATTAATTCCTGAGGATCTAAAATGTCACTGTGGTCCACTAATCGGAGTAGGAGCTTATACAAGCCAGATAATCAATAGAATTATTAGCTCATCCCTGTCTTACAGGGAGCACAGTGGAGCTTTGAACCCATTCTGTAGTTATTTCCCCAGCTCTGGAATGCATAATTGGAACAGACATTCTCAGCAACTGGCAGGATGCCTGTATTGGGTGCCTGTCTTGTGGAGAGAGGGCTATTTTGGTGGGAAAGGTCAAGTGGGAGACGCTAGAACTGCATCTACCTATAGAAATAGTAAGCTAAAAGTCATACAACATTCCTTGAGGAAGTTCAGAGATTAATGCTGTAGGGGAGAGAAAGCAATACCTTTTCCTCACCTATCTCAAGGGTCATGGCTAACACCCCTCTAACAAAAGACAGATTAACAAGGGAAAAGCATAGCAAATTTATTTAACCAAAGTTGTACATAACACAGGAGTCTTCAGAAATGAAGACACAAAGACCCAGGGAAAACTGTATATTTTTATGCTGTCTGATGAAAGAAGTAGATGGTTGTGGACATAATTGGACAAAAAAGGGGTATAACCTAACGGTAATAACTGGGAGAAACTTAATAAGGCCTATTTTTTCATATTCTTCTTGGCCTCTGGGTATAGGGTAAGACCCCTCTAGAATAAGAGTCTTATGACCTACTTTCAGGTGAGAAAGTTCAGAGAATTTCTTTATGACCATGCTTCAGGGGAGTCAGCTGAAAGAAAGTCAGAGTAACCTTTTTGCTTCTGTAATTCTTTCATTGCCAAGGTGCCATATTTTGGAGTATCTTGTTCTAAGCCCCAACAATGCCACCATTAAAGACTTGAAAGATGCAGGAATAGTGATTCCCACCACGTCCCCCATTTAATTTACCTAGGCAGAAGATAGATGGATTTTGGAGAATGGCGAAGGATTGTCATAAACTTGGTTTACAGTGCCAGCTAGGTGGCAATATCTTGCAGGGCTAGGACAAGGTCCCCCAGAAGGCTGTATATGTTCTAAATCAGCATTTAATATATGGTGTTGTTTCTCCTATAGCCAGGATTCATGTATCTAGAAATCAGAGTGGAAATGGGAGTGGCTTCATTAACTATTACTGCTAGTGATTCACAGCAAAACATTTGCTTCCCATCCCTAAAACTTTAGGCTCTGCTGGTCTAGAGGTCTTACCTGCAAAGAGAACAATTCTTCCACCAATAGACACAACAGTGATCCCACTGAACTAGGTGACTGCCACCCAGCCACTTTGGGCTTCTCATGTCTCTGAATCAGTAGAAGGAAATTACTGTATGAGTTGGGGTGATTAATCTTGATTGCCAAGGGGAATGTTGATTGTTGCTACACAAGGAAGATAAGGAAAATATATCCGGAATACAAGAGATCCTTTAGGGCCTCTCTTAGTACTCCCATGTCCTGTGATTAAAGTCAGTGGAAAACTACAACTCAATTCAGACAGGACTGTTAGCAGCAGAGATTCTTCAGGAATGAAGGTTTGAGTCACCTCAGCAGGCAAAGAACAAGACCAGCAAAGCTGCTTGTGGAGGACAAAAGGAATGTGGACTGGGTAGAAGAAGGCAGATTACATACCAGCTATGACCATGTGACCATTGAATAAACAAGGCTTGTCTTAGTTATGAGCATTTCTCCCTTATTTTTATGAATATATATAGACATAGATATAGATACACCAAATATTTTTCACTTATTTCTTTATCATCTAACATAAGCTATATTACTAATAGTTAACTTTATATCTCAGTACTTAAGATACAAGGCAAAAGCAGTGAACATCATCCAAGGGCTTTGTATTCTTTTCTAGGGAAAGTTTCAGTTGTACTCAGGACTGTTGTATCATGTTAGGCAGAAGTACAACCTTGTTATTATCTTTATTTGGAGATTAAGCATGGTTTAAGGAGATGTATATGAGTGCCGAGTTAACAAGAGGTGGTCTGTGATGGTCTTTTTGATGTGTCAACTTGGCTAGGCTAAAGTCCCCAGTTATTTGATCTAACACTAATCTACGTGTTGGCGTAAAGGTATTTTGTAGATGTGCTTAAAGTTCATAATCGGGTGACCTGAAGTAGTGGCAATAGATAACCTAGACAGGCCTAATTTAATTGGTCGAAAGCCCATTAAAGCAGGGTTAAGGCTTCACTGAGAGAAGAAAAAATTCTGTCTGTGGACAGCAGCTTCAGCCATGCCTGAGAGTTCCAGCCTGCGTTCCTGACAGCCTGTCCGGCAGATTTCAGACCTGCCTACTCAGTCCCCACCATCATGCGTGCTAACTCCCTGTGATAAATTTCTATACATCTCCCACTTGTTCAGCTTCCCTGATTGAATCCTAAGTGATACACTTGGGGAGGGAGGAGGTCATAGAATTTTACATAGCAAAGGACAGGTGGCAGGGCTTAACCATTAAAAGCAAAATGGGTATAATTATCAAAACAGTTTGCAAGACCTGAGGCATTGTGGGAGGAGCTTGAGCTGCAAGTATGTGTAGTAAAGGTAATTGATCAGGGAGAAATAGAAAGCTACCTACAGTATCATGCTGATTGCATACAAAAAAAAAAAAAACAAGAGCTTAGGAGAAGGCCAACATCAGTTGCCACAATGGAAATTTACAGTCCCTCACCCAGTTTCAATATTTAGAGCAGGTCCAGAGCCCTTAGATGAAATGGAGTCTGGGTCACCTTGTGGAAAGATTCTACAATGTCACTACAAATATACACAATGTTACTACCCCAACCCTTCCCCAAAGTGATGAGACAGGAGAATAGGGTCTGGAAGCAGGGAACCTAAGGCCAATTCATGCTTTCTATAGCTAAATCAAAAGGAAAACCCCAACTTTCCACACCTAAGTAACAAATGGCAAGACTCTGTCTCACCAAAAAAAAAAAAAAAAAAAGGACTGGAGGCTACTCCCTTTGCAAATCCCCCACAACCAATCAGACTGACTGTGGGCCAAGTCTTCATTTGCATAGAAGTGTAACTTTGTAACTTCAATTTAGCCTCTGATTGGTTGCTTTCCACAACCAATCAGATGCTTTGCATAGGGTGTAACCTTTGTAACTTCACTTCAGCCTCTAATTGTGGGCCACTACTTCATTTATGTAGGGCGTACACCAAGTAACCCATGGGAAACTCTAGAGAGTATTTAAACCCCAGAAAATAGGGACTCTAAATCTCTGCTTTTGTTGCTTCATTCTTTCCTTGCTTTGTTTATACATTTTGTCCAATTCTTTGTGCAGGACGCCAAGAACCTGGAAACTGGACACCCTCCACTGGTACTAGTGACATGAGAATATTTGCCAGGATAACTGTGCCCCGAGAAAAAGAAAACACCTTGACTTTTCAAGAACCATTAGGTATAGGATTTGAGCTGACTCTGATACCAGGGAACTCAAAATGCGATCATGATCCTCTGGTTAGAGTGGAGGTTTATGAAAGCCAGATGGTAAATGGAGCTTGGGCCAAGCCCATCCACAGTAAGTCCCTCTGAGTGTATCAAGCCATCCTGTGGTCATTTTTGGCATCTGGCAGAACCCATATGTTGATTCCCTGGCCTGTCAGGTAAGACTTTTAAGGTAGGCAAAAAGAATCATGTAGAAGCCCCTGACACTCCTTACCCTCAGCTCTGGCCAAAATTGTATATCAGAAACAATGTTGCAACTGAGGGAATTGCATAAGTGTCACCACCAACATCAAAAATTTATATGGTGTAGGAGTAATTCACATCATGCCTATTTTCAACTGATCTATCTTGGCCCTGAGAAAATCTGATTGATTATGACAGATAATCATATATTACCTAAACTTAACCAAATAGTAGTCCCAAATGTAGCTGATGTGTCAGGTGTTGTATCTATATAGGGTTAGATCAACCCAGCTGGGAATATAGCTAATATCTGGCAAATGTGTTCTTGGTTCCCATCAATAGAAAAGATTTTGAAAGTGTGCACTTACATAGTAAGGACAGCAGTATACAGGCACAATCTTTCCCAAAAGCTATGTCGTCAACTCTTTGCCATAGTGTCATCCATAAGGACCTTGTTCATCTTGACATTCTGCAGACCATCAAGGAGCCCACTATACTGGTGATTGTGCTTGGTGAATTAAAGTAGAAAGTACCCTAAATGAGTGTTTTTCAAACATTCTTAGAAAAGCTAAGTTTTATTCTTCAATTCATGATGGACTGGCATTTTATAAACTTGAACAAAAATGAATTACTAGAAAAATGAAATAAAGACATACAAAATGATTTTAAATTACTAGATTCAACACATATAATGTTACATTTCAATAATTATAATCAAGAAAAATATAGAAAAAAGATTTTTAAAACTGTACACTTTGTTCACTGAAAGTATACATTAGATGATTAATTTAAAAATCACTATTACACTCAAGGTTTTTTAGGTTTCTTTTTTGAGACAGGGTCTCACTCTGTTGCCTAGGCTGAATTGCAGTGGCATGATCATCACTCACTGCAGCCTCAGCTTCCTGGACCCAAGCAATCCTCCCAGTTCAGGTTCCTTCATAGCTGGGACTACAGGCATGCACCACTATGCCTGCTAATTTTTTATTTTTTGTAGAGATAAAGTCTCACTATGTTGTCAAGATTGGTCTTGAACTCCTGTGCTCAAGAAATCCTCTAGTCTGTGCCTTCCAAATTGTTGGGATTACAGGCGTAAGCCACCATGCTTGGCTCAAACTTTTTTTGTCATTCTTTATTTATAAATAAACAAAAAGTTATGAGCAAAATATTGATTTTCCCCATATTAAATACCTTTAAGCATGCTTGCTTCTTGCTTATAAAATTATCTAAACTAGATTAAATTGATGATAATCCTACTCACAAGGAATAATGTATATCTAAATCATTTCTATGATTTATTTCAATGACATAACCCTCATAGTAGAGAAACTAATCTTAAAAAGGCATGTAGCCAGGAATGGAAGAAAATATTTTAAAATCATTTTGAGCAATCTCAGGGTATTCATTTTCAACTTTTATCCAAAAGGAAACAAGTGATGCTATATTTTTTTTTCAACTTTTATTTTAGATACGCGTGTACATATGCAGGCTTGTTACATGGGTATATTCCACTCAGGTAGCAAGCATAGTACCCAACAAGTAGTTTCTTTGACCCATGACCCCCTCTTTCCCCTCCATACTCTAGTAGTCCACAGTGTCTTCTGTTCCCATGCTTATGTCCATGGGTGCTCAATGTTTAGCTCCCACTTATAAGCGAGAAAATGCCATATTTGGTTTTCTGTTCCTGCATTAATTCAGTTAGGATTATGGCCTCCAGCTCAATCCATGTTGCTGCAAAGGACATGATTTCATTCTTTTTTATGGCTGCATAGTAGTCCATAGTGTATATGCACCACGTTTTCTTTATCCAATCCAGCATTCATTGGCACCTAGGTTGATTCCATGTCTTTGCTATTGTAAGTAGTATGGCAATGAGCATATGAGTGATGCTATATTTTCAAAATCATTCTTCAGTTCCTCATTATTCATCCCCAATACTTTATCTTATAAAATTATACTTAAACATAGATTATCTTCTAATAAAAGAAGTTGATTCATGGTTTTACTTACAGAGATTACAGTTGACAAACTATCCTTAAAATATCACATTATAATGTGACTAATACACAGCTTATACTACACAGAACTCCTTGTGTGAGTTCAATAACAGCCAAAATGCATCTAACCTGGTTAAGTAAGACAAATCTACTTATCAAGAACTTAGATGTCACCACAATGTCAAGTTGCTATAAAATTTTCTAAAAGCTTACCTTTCAATTTCTGCATTTATCTCACTGCAGAATGGGGACAGATAGTTCATAAGTCAGCTTCACTCACAAACCATACTTTGAATATTACTGCTCTAGATAACCTACTAAGGAAAATGAGTGCAGCAAATAAGAGAAAAATTCCATGAAGATTGAGAATTCTGTCAGATAGGTGAAGCTTTCAGTACTCTAGTGATCTGGGACAGGCTGAGACATTGTCTCCAAGATAAATGACAAGTTCTTAGATCTAACATCTCCTACCACTAAGAAAAAGGCATACATTTGGGATATAAACTGTACTTGGGAATACTGCTTTGACCTATTAACAGGTGCCTTGGAAGGCTTTCAACAAGAACAGGCTTTGCAGCATATCTAGGCTAAGGGTACAAGCTGTCATGCCACTCAGGCCATGTAAACCAGAGGCAGAGAGAGTTATCCATAGTATGTAAGATTATTTTGTGGAGTCTTTTGTAAGCACCAACTGGAGAGACCCCTGACATGCTACTGGGCCCTAGAGACATGTGTGAAATCAAGAAACTATGTAACCAGAGGTGTCCATTAGGATCTGGGCATTATCAGATCTACCAAGCTATAAGGTTGAGTGGGCACAACAGAAATTCATCATATAATGGACATAGCACATTTTGGATTGAGCCAGAGCAGGTCCAGAAGACACAAGTGAATTACTAGAGGAAAAAAAAAAAAAACATAAACAGTTATTTTTTCTCTACTCACAACACTTATGTCACCAAATGTGTGGGGGTTTTTTTTGTTTGTTTTTTGTTTTTTGTTTTTCACACCAAAAAACAATTCTTCAATTCTCTGGACACTAACTGCGTGTCCTAGAATTCAATTCAGTTCTGATGCTATCTACTTGGAATTGACATCAGATCCCACAGGTTGAGGGCTCAGTTCCACAAGACTGTCCACACTTCAGAATGCCAATCACTAGTCCTGGACCTTCAGTACTTCTGACCCACTTGGCTACAAATCAGGGGTTCCCACAACCTGCTCCTAAGGTTCAATAATTTGCTATAATGCCTCACAGAACTCAGGGAAACACCTTACTCACTGTGACTGGTTTATTCTAAAGAATACTATTAAGGGTACAGATGAAGAATTACATAGGGCAGGGTTAGTGGGAAGGGGTACAGAGCTTTCATGTCCTCTCCAGTTGCACTTGGAAACTCTCCAAGCCCTGTTGTGTAGGGTTTTTATGGAGGTTCCATTATGCAGACATGGATGATTACATCATCGGCCTTTGGTGATTGAACTCAATATCCAGCCTCTCTCCCCTCCCTAGAGGTTTGGGGATGGGGCTGAAAGTTCCAACCCTTTAATCACATGGTTGATTCCTCTAGCAACCAGTCCCCACCCTGAAGCTATCTAGTGGCTTTTAGCCACCATCATTTCATTAACATATACAAAGACAGTCTTATCAGTTCTGAGATTCCAAGGGTCTTAGAAGCTCTGTGCCAGGAAGCTCTGTGACAGGTCTTTGAGGACAGAGACCAAATATATATTTCTAATTATGTCGCAGTATGTTCATAGGTGGGCTAGACTTCCATGTTTCCTACCTCTATTCAAAGATGCCTCTCCCCTAATTCATATTTAATACCTCAAATGACCAACTAAGGAAAAAGAAAGACCTCAGTCTGGTTTGTAAAAAGTACAATAAGTTAATATTAGCCAAAAATTGTAGTTGTATTAAAGCCCTACTCAAGAGTGACTAAAGAAAATTTTCCCAGTGGTAAATATTCCCAGTGGGCAGACAGGGAACATTATGCTTTGTCATTGACCACAGGTGAAGGAAAAGAAACCTGTGCTATGTATATACATGGACTCCTGAGTGGCAAGTGGTTTGGCTGGAAGGAACCTGGAAGGAACACACTTGGAAGGTTAGGAACAAGGAGGTCTGGTGAAGAGATAAGCAAATAAGCCTATAGGAGTAGGCATAAAGCACAAAGACCTTTGTACCTCCTGATACACACCAGAGATCATCTACTACTGAAGAAGTGCTCAATAACCATAGATTTGTCCTATGGAATCAGCCAGCCCATCTCCTCAGCCAACCAGTGTGGATGCAATGATCCCATAAACAGAGTAGCAGCAATGATCAAAGGGATGGAAGCTACACATGGACCCCAAAGCCTGGGTTCTCTCTCATCATGATTGATTGAGCTATTTCCACTGATGACTGCCTGACATGCAACATTAGAGACCTGCCCTGAACTTTGATATGGCACAACTTTTCCAGAAACCAGCCAGCCACTTGGAGACGCTCTGTTACATCAGACCCTTACACCAATTTTTCCTTGCCAGAATTGTCACTCTGGATGATTTTGCCTTCCTTGCCTATAATACCTCCAATACCTCCACTGATGCTACAACCCAAGGGCTTACCAGATGTCTGACCTATAAACATGATATCACATACAATGTTGCTTTGGATCAAAGCTCCCATTTTATGACCCAAAAAAAGGTGAACTGATAGGCTCATGACCAAGACCATGACCATGGGATACACTGATCTAACATGGTACTCTATCACCCCAAAATAGCCAGTCCAGTTGAAGAGTGGACTGACCTGCTAAAGCTCCAACTAAGATGCCAGCAAAGGTCATTACTCTATGGAATGACATCCTCCAAGGTGGATTAGATGTGCTGAAATAACAGCTGATGTATGCTGCTCTAGCCCCAATAGCTACAATTTACAGAAATGGGAATCAAGGGGTACAAGTAGGAATGGTCACTCTTACCATCACTTCCTGTAACCCACATAAGGAATCTGTCCTTCTTAACTCCATGACACTACACTAAACCAGGTTAGAGGCCCGGGTTCCCAGGGGCAGAATACATGTGTCAGGGAACACAGTAAAGATTTTGCTGAACTGAAAGCTGTGACTATCATCTAACTACTTTGGGATATTCATAACAATGGACCAATAGGCCACAAAAATATGGCCATATATATAATGGCCAAGGAAAACTACCATTCGGGCTGGGAAACACACCCTGATTTCGATGAGGATTTGGGGTTACTGCTACACAATAAGAATAGGGAGAAATATGTCTGGTATCTAGAGGTTTGCAGGTATGTCACTTGGTGCTTTCATGCCCAGAGATAACACTAAATATGCATTATAGCAACCACAGCCCAAAAAAGGCTACTAAAGGCTCAGACTCCTCAGGGATGAAAGGCAGGGTGGCCCTACCAAGATGAGTCAGAATGCTCACTGAGGGCAAAGAAATCTAGAGGAAGGTGAGGAATATCAACTACAACTTTGGGACCAGCTGAAGTAACAGACATAGCAGTTTGCTTTACAAACCTCTCATTTTGAGTCTTTTCAGAGATTGTGACTAGCCTCTTCCTTGAAGGGAATTCTGTGCATTGTGGGACTTGTAGCTTCTATAAGGAAAAAAAGAAGGCATCTTCTTTCATAAAAATAAGAGAATGTTCAACATAAGCAAAAGCGTGGAGGCAAAAAACATCAAGCAGTAGCACATTGCTGGACAAACTGTATTTAGGGGTGATGGGATGAATGTGAAATCTTGTCTAAGGGCACGTGGAGAAGGAACATAAGAGACCTCAAATTTAGGGCTTCTTATCCTAAATACCAAACTCTTTCCCCTGCATCTTGGTATTTACTGAGTAAGAGCCACATAGCAAGCCTCTGTTGATGTAAAGATGTATATACTGCGCCATCCTCAAGGATTAATTTAAACTTGTCCTTAAGCATGTATTTGCAAGTAAAGAAGAATAACACAAGGCAGCCAGAGCTAAGTGCCAAGAAAATTAATTATACAGTCAGACAGTGCTAGTAGAGCTCCTGAAGAAGAAATAGTTCCCCAAGGAGGGCCAGATGGGTAGATGCCACCTGCTGAGCTTCAGCCTGTGCTTGGCTTTACCAACTACCACTGTCTTAGAAGCATTTAGAAGCAAAAGTTGAGGGAGAGCTGTTCTTGTAGATGCAGTGACCTTTCATTTGGGCATAACTCTTGTGCCAGCTATGAAGCTAGGAGGATATTTGTGTGCCATATAAATCCTCACCAAAGGGCATCCAGTGCAGATGAGGCTCTTAAGCAGGGAGAACATGTAACATATTCTTTGGATGTCAGTCAGACTCTTTCCCTAGGCACTCCAGTACTTGATCGGTGGGCCTAGGTACAAAGTGCCATGATGGCATAGATAGAGGCTATTCATGGGATCAATAACATGAACTTTCTCTCTCCAAGGCTAACTTGCCTATCCCTATTGCCATACCTAACCTCCCAAAAGCAGAGATCAGCACATAGCCTCCTATATGGCACCATTTACCAGAGGGATCAGCCAGCCACCTGGTAGCAGGTTGACTGCATTGGACTCCCTCCATCATGAAGTGGGCAGAGAGTTAGACATGGGATAGACATGTACTCTGGGTTATAGATTTGCCATCATTTTCTTGTAATGCCTCTGCTAGCACCACTATCCGTGGGATTACAAAATGCCTTATTCACCATCATGGTGTTCCTCACAACATTGATTCTAATCAAGGAATTCATTTCTCAGCAAAAGAAGTGTGGCAACGGGCTCAGGTCCATGGAATTCACTCTTATTATATACCTTATCACCCAGAAACAACTGGCCTAAAATAATGGTGAAATGAGCTACTTAAGTCTCAGCTGTGGTTCTTCCAATTAGGAGATAGCCCTCTGAAATAATGGTGTTCTGCCATACAGCATAGAGTATACACTTTGAATCAGGGACCAATATATGGTGCTATTTTTTTCATGGCTAGAATACATAGATCTTAGAATCAAAGGGTAGAGTGGAAGTGGTTCCTCTCACCATTACACTTAATAACTCACAGAATTTTTGCTTCCTGTCACTGCAACTTTGAGCTCTGCTAGTTTGGAGATCTTGTATCCCGAGGAGAAAAGCTCCCACTAGGAGAAGTAACCGTGATTCCACTGAATTGGAAGTTGAGACTCCTCTCTGGCCATTTTGGGTTCCTGTACCACTGAATCAACAGATAAGAAAAGGGGATTACTCTACTAGTTGGGGTAATTGATTCAAGAGCTGGTTGCAGAAATGTCTATACCTAGAGCTCAGGGAATTCTCTGGGGCAGCCCACACTACTTCCATGCTAATGGAAGTTAAAAGTTAATAGAAATCATAGCAAACAAAAATATACAGGATCTCTAAGGATTCAGACTCTTTAGGAATAAAGGTTTGAGTCATCCCAACAAGTAAGAAATACTGAAATACAGACCAACTGATGTCCTGGCTGAGGATGATGAAAACACAAAACAGGTAGTGGAAAAAGGAAGATTGCACATGCATAGACAGGCAGACACACACACACACACACACACACACACACACACACACACTTTATGACCAGCTATATCAACACAAAGACTGTAGCCATTATACATATTTTCTTCTGTGTGTATGTATTATTTTATTTTCTGTCTTTCTTCCCTTATTATGTTACACCATACACATTGTTGGAGATTAACTTTGCAATTTACTCTTGAAGGAAAAACAATATTCAGGTGATGGAACTGTGACTACCTTTGAGGAGAGGATTAACATAACCTAGTAGTAGATAGTGAGACTGTCTCCCAAAAATGAATCCAATGACTGTTGAACGATTGCAACTCCTCATTTTGAAGGAAAGAATGAGAATATCTTTCTTTGTACAATAGAAGGTTGCACCTTGTCAGATAAAAGAATAAGATGGTTTTTAATGGTTGTAAGAAGTTCAAAGAAAGGACTGTATAAATATTGAGTATCCAAAGGGGTAACCTGTCACACACTTGTCTTTTCAATTTGAACTCATCCTCCTAAATTCTGCTTTATGATGCTGGGGCTTCTACTTGGCTACTGACCCGTATCAATTGAGGCTCTGTCAATCAAGGCTGCTGGAGGAAGACTGAAGAGCTGGAAGATGAGTAGGGAATTTGGTCCTTCCTCTTGGAGTCTTGTTTCTGTCAGACTTATTTGCCCAGCAATGGCAATTTGTTTCATAGCAGGAGTTGAATACAGTTTGAAGTTTTTCCAACACGGACTCTACACGGACTCTCTGTGCCTCCTCAGAGCCATCAGTTGTAGACTTCCTTAGAAGGTTTGAGTCTCAGCTCTATGGGGCCCCTTCTGCAAGCTCAGAGACATTAGCTCCAAACAAGCAGTTCCCCCTTCTCAGAGGTTTAACTCTCAGCTCTGTGTGGCCCCCGGTTCTAGGGATGGTAGCTGCTTCCTGAAGTTGCTAAGTCCCTGAGACCCTTGTGTTCTCTTTTGCCTTTTCAGTTAGTAAGCAATTATTCTTGGCTATTTAAAAGTCTTTTGTGTAAATTCCCTATGTTTAAAATGCTCACGATACCTGGCATAGTTTCTGTCCCCTGATTAGACCCTGGCTAATATGTCTCTTAAAAGGGAACTGTACGATGAGGGAGTGAGACAAAAGCGGAAGCCTTACCTTTGAATCTGGCCTTCACACTTCCTTCTCCACAAGATCTTATCCAACTCTGAGTACAGCACTCCCCATCTCATATGTTATGCTCTAGCAACATTGGAACAGCCTGCAGCTCTGCCTACACCATGTGGTGTCTGCGTCTATGTGACCTACCTCTTCTAGGAATCATGACAGGACCATCTCTTTAGATCAAAGTTGAGTAATAAGGGATGGAGCTGGAGACATAGGTTGGGCCAGGCCTTGAATGGATGACCAAGAGTTTGACTTTCTGCTGCTGAGAGGATAGACTTCCAGAAAGATTTTAAGCTGGAGACTCATATGAAAACAGCAGTACTTCAGGAGCTACATTTGGAAGCCACATTGGAATGTTCTTCCAGCCCAAAATTTCCCTTCCCCATTCTAACATTCCTATTAAGGAAAATATGTCCCCAAAGCTATGCAACTCTTTCTTCCTCTCCTTACCCTGTCAGTGCTACTCTGAGGGCAAAGCTTGTACCTTTTTGCCACCAGAGGAGACACCCTCCATCCCCATCATCATGATCACCACTACCACCGTTGCATTTTGTAAGTTACCAGTAGTGGATGGAAGAAACCTGGCCAAGGAGGTGGAAGATTGAGAAAGGGAAGAGTAGAGGCTGACGTAAGAGGAGGCTAGAAGAGAGAGACTGGTAGGAAAGAAAGAAGTTTATAAGAGGAGAAATGGGAGATGGGCCTTAGTGAGAATAGTGTGCTTTCATTAATAAGTGAATGCATCAATTCAATAACGACAGAGCAAAATGGACAGAGGGCAAACACTGTTCAGACCCTTCTCTTTGTAGCAGAAGGCTATGCTGTCTTCATTTGAGAGCAACTTGACTGGCAACTTGATACTGCAAATCTAATGGGAATGAGAGTGTCTCATAGGACAATCTTTCCATTAATCTACACCACTTCATTACTTAACAGGGGATGGTGAAACTTAAGAAAAGCTAATTATGGAACAGAAGGGAGAGTTTACTTCCTGATCCCTATGATCCCAAACTCTTCATCCATTAAACAAGTATTTCAATGAGTGTGTCTGTGCTAGATGTTGGGCTCATAGTATTAAAAGAGATAGACAGTATGCTTGCCCTCATGAGGTTTATAGTCAGAAATTAAGGTGTGGACATAGGCTAGGCACAGTGGCTAATGCCTGTAATCCCAGCAATTTGGGAGGCTGAGGCATGCAGATCACTTGAGGTCAGGAGTTCAAGACCAGCCTGGCAAACATGGTGAAACCCTGTGTCTAGTAAAAATACAAAAATTAGCTGGGTGTGGTTGCACACACCTGTAATCCCAGGTACTTGGGAGGCTGAGGCAAGAGAATCACTTGAACCCAGGAGGCAGAGGTTGCAGTGAGCCAAGATCACATCATTGAACTCCAGCCTGGGCAACAGAGCAAGACTCCATCTCAAAAAAGTAAAGAAAAGAAAAAAAGATGTGGACATAGCAGAAAGTGTTAAGCGTCCTAAGAGATAAAGCACTATAGGCATGTAAAAAAAATGAGAAATTCCGATTAGCAATAGATGGGGGAGAGAACCAAAAAATGCTTCATGAAAGCATGGCATTTGATCTGGGTCTGGAAATGCAGGTAGAGTTTGAACAAGTCAGAGAGGAAGAGGAAGGGCTATAGGCATAGGAAGGGAAGCACGGACTAAGCAAAGGGATGGGAAATCCTGGGGCATGGATGGAGAATAGTAAGTAGGATTATCTGGACAGAGCCTAATGTGACCAAGAGGGTCTTCTTCTCTCTCTCCACCCCTCACAATAATTTCCCCAGCCTCATCCCTCTAGAGCCAACCCACTCTAGCTTTCCCATCTCTTGCTACTTACACCTCCCCATCCGTGCCCCCAGGGAACCCTCAGTCAGAACAGAGGGATTTATGAGCTGCAACTCTCCCTTCCTGAGATCAATGGCCTAAGATCAATAGCTATAATGCAGAAAATTAATCCATATTCATTAGAATTGAATTCAGCAAATGATATTATTAATATAAAAATTCCTTTGGAAGTATACGGAAAAGAATTAAAGAGAAAATTGTTCTAATGTCACTACTATCTGCCAAGCCACAGATTTAAGAAATTCAGGCAAGGAGAACAGTTTATTTTCAAAGAAAGCTTGAAAAGTCCTTTAGGGGTATAGCTACGTTTGCCATTAAGATGCAGCAGGTGTGGAGATGGAACAGATGCTTTCCTCCCTATGGATTTGGAGGTCTAGGAAGTAGAATTGACTAACCCACTTATGAGTCACCTCCAGTCCTAGAATCCTAGGACTGCCATGCTTCTCCCTAACATCACGAGGAGTCACAGCTGTGTTTGAGGGATATCAACCACAATCACTAACTCAGAAAACAGCCTGGACTCCTGAAGACCAGTCTGTCTCCTGAACCCCACATCCCAAACCATCATGCACTCACAAACTAAGAAGAGATGTCACAGGAACCATTGTTAGAAATCAAAGGGGCCGGGTGTGGTGGCTCACTCCTGCAATCCCCACAGTTTGAAAGGCCGAGACAGGTGGATCACCTGAGGTCAGGAATTCCAGACCAGCCTGGCCAACATGGTGAAACCTCGTCTCTACTAAAAATACAAAAAATTAGCTGGGCTTGGTGGTGCATGCCTGTAATCCAAGCTGCTCGGGAGGCTGAGGCAGGAGAGTCACTTGAACCTGGGAGGCGGAGGTTGCAGTCAGTCAAGATCCCATCACCGCACTCCAGCCTGGGCAACAGAGTGAGACTCTGTCTCAAAAAAAGAAAAAACTCAAAGAGAAGGCACAAGCGTGGCCAGATGAAAGTTCATGGGAATGCAAGCAGAGGGCCTGATTCCAATTTTTACTTCTTCTGTTACTAGTTGTGGGAAACTGATATAATTCCTTTGAGGCTTGTTTTCTTTATCTGTAAATAAAGACAATAATATAATAATTCCTACCTTAACAGGGTTATTATGAAGATTAACTAACAGAAGGCACTATGAAAGAGATTTGCAAACTGCAAAATGCTATTTAACATCATTATATTGCCCTAAAATCTCAAAAATGTTATTCTGAAGGAGGTATATTATTAATGGGATCTATTGGTGGGTTCCATGAGGTCCATAAATGCCCTGAAGCTATATGCCAAATTGTACATATATGTATATATGTACACTTTGAAGTAGAAGAGGGTCCATAGCTTTTAACAAATTCTCTAGGAAGTTTGTGACCCACTAGAGATTGAGAATTGAGAACCCTGACATAAAGATACTGAGTGGCAACTCCCCATCCATGTGCAGATTGAACTAGAGTCTTTCATTTGTTAAAGCAATAGGCTTTATTTAAGCAGGAGTCACTGCAAGATGAAGCATCAAAGCCATTGAGGAAAGCTGTAAAATCTTGATGGTTAGAGACAGGAATGGTCTGGGTGCTGATTTGCCGTAAAGCACGTGGAATGGTTTTAATGGCTTCTTGGCCAGTCCTTCAACCCTACACCCAGGGCCTCCATGCCGCCCAACTCCAGGGAGCCCTGTTCAGCCCTATGTGATTAGAGCCTTTTGGAGCCCAGCTGCAGGACTTGCTCTCCTCATATTACATGTGGTGCTCCCTGGAGATGGGCGATTCTCAATCCTCACAGCTAAAGGGGTCAGAGATTCTCTGAGAGCCTCTTGCTTTCTCCAAAACTCTAGTTGCTTCCTTCTTCTGGGCATGAGAGGAGATTTCTGCCCAGAGGGTGAGGGGAGGGTGCATCCAGATTGCTTCTTACTTGATTTTTTACTTTATATTATCTCATATATGCAATCCACACTCAGGTACAGGGTGGTACTATACTCTCTTCTTCTAAGTGAGGGCTGCCTGGTGTCTCCCTGGGGCCTCTGGAATCCTCCAAGGGAAAAAAGACTGATCAGCAACCCAACTCAGTAAAGTCACGGTTGGCCAATTGTTGAGCTTTTCTGGTTTTATTACTCACTCCACTTTATTCCCCACTGATACCACATGCAAATTCCATCCAATTGGAAGGCCTCTCTCCAAGGCCTTTTCCAGTGCCTATAAGCTGAGGGCTGCTATCATCTGAATGTCCCCTGAAGTTTATGTGTTGAAACTTACTCACCAATGTGACAGTATCAAGAGGTGGGGCCTTTAGGAGGAAATTAAGTCATGAGGGCAGAGCACTCAAGGATGGCATGAGAGCCCTCACTTATTAAAGGGCTGGAGGGAGTGGGTTCACCCCTTTTCCATCCCTTTAGCCATGTGAGGACACAGCGTTTGTCCCCTCTGAAGGATGCAGACACAAGCCATCATCTTGGAAGCAGAGAGGTGGGGCCCTCACTAGACACCGAACCTACCAGTGCTTTGATCTTGAATTTTCCAGCCTCTGGAACTGTGAGAAATAAATTTCTATTATGTATAAATTACCCAGTCAGTGGTATTTTGTTACAGCAGCGCAAACAAACTAAGACAGGGGCTTAGAGGATGGCCCCATATTGGAAGGAAATGAGGAGGTCCTCTCGTCCTTGCCCCTGTGAATCTCATGTATCTCTTTCCCTGAAAGGCTCCCAGGATGGGCATTTCACAAACTCCCCTCATCAAGAGGCCAAGAGCCTCCTCCCAGGGTTAACCGAAATCCCGTTACTAGTGCCGCATGAAGCAGGGAAAATGACCCCTCTCTGGGCTCAGTCCCTTGCAGCCCTTTCAGCCTTTCTCACGGCCCCATTAACTACTTGGGTCTGTTTTCTTCCTCTGGAATGTATGTGTCTTTTCCTGGGAAACTGCCAAGCACTTGGGGGAGACGGTATGGGCAGAAATGACCACAAAGCTAGAGGGAATGCTTAAGAAATCCAACAACCATTCAACACAGATTTATTGAGCATCTGTCATGTTCCAGGAACTACGCGAGGCACATGGGAGAGATGGGCTCTGGCTGGGCGAGCCCCTCCAGCAACCCAGCTTCTGAGGGCATATTAGCCACTCTATGATGCAGTTCCACAAACTTCTTTTACCTTTGTAGAATTTATTTCAGTCTGTCTAATGGGTAGCGTGGCAATTTGTGTAAAGAACATAACCCCCTACTGGACTGCAAATGCCTTAAGGGTGAGGAGGATCCACACAGGTGTTCTGTACCTGTTTGTTGAATTAATCAAAAGCAGAATTCATCCTCTGTTATTATCTCTGGAGGCGGTGGGGAGCAAAATTAAATAGGAAAAGAGCAGTGAACATGCACAAAGCTCCTGAAGCTTTCTCCTCGATTAAACACAGACACATGCATGCATGCATATGCACATGTGTATGTGAGTGCATGCGCATGCACACACACGTGCACGCACACACACACACACACACACGTTTAAAAGGGACTCTTGGCTTCCTGCTGCTTGCTTGAAAATGCAAGCTTCAAGAGACAATTAAATATTGATATCTTTACATCTCAGTATTTTTTCAAATCCAAACAGCCCCAACAGGGGCCATTGCTGGTACTTATTTAACTCCTTAAAAATATCGACAAGGGGTTTTATCTTTTTAAAATTAAGTCGTTAAGTGCAGAGAAGATGCAACAGGCTATGGGGTGGGAATAGGCTAACTCCCCTGAAACAAGCCTGTGGGGAGTCCCAATTCACTCTCATAGATTTCACCTGGGAGAGCTGGCTCTAAGGGGCCTGGCCAGCTCTGCTAGATCCTGGATTCCGGGCCCAGCCCCCCAGGCCACACCCCCTCCATGGTCTGAAAAGGACAAAGGGATGCTCTCTTGGCAGCTTTCCCCAACAGGCACTTGTGCACCCTGCAATCAGAGGCTTGGCAGAGTTATATAAATTGCCTGTGCATAATGATGGCCTTACTGAATAGATTAACTCAGCAGGGAGTACCGGACAAAGGCAAGCGGGTGCTGGCTGCTGGGCCCTCAACTCTCTGCCCTAGCACCAAGTGTGGTGCCAGTGCTTCTGGACCACACATGCTAATGGCCTTTTCATCACACTATACTCTCTTTCCCACCTACCATGCCTACCACACACCTCTATCCCAAACATACTCTTGCCTCGTCTCCCACAATCAGTCCCAATAGCCTGCCCTCTAGGATCTTCAAGATCAGGGCTGGAAGGGAAAGTGATGAAACCCTTTCTCAGGAGTTGTTTCATGTAAGGGAGCTTTCAAATGGCTGAATCTTAGCCCCTTGAGTCATTGACAAACATGTCCTATATGTGTCTGTGTTTCATTTTCCATCACGTGAGCAGGACCCATGTTCTCATATTCTCCACAGGACCCAGTCGAGGACCCTCAACACAATAAGTGCTCACCAAATTCTTTTTGGAATAGAATCGAATTCCAAAATTATAGAGCAAGAAAGCATCTTTGAAGTTACGCAAGCAGCCAACAGGCATATTCTGATTGTGACGGATGTGCCATGCACTGCGTGAACGCTGACACAGGGATCCTAGCCTAGCTCCTATGAGTTCCTGGAAACTATAGGCAAATTATATCTTTATGTGCTTGTTTACAGGGAAAAGGTCCATGGCTTTTACCGGCTCCTTCACTGGGCCGTGGCCTCTCCCTAAAAAAGGAATGAACAACTGCTAGTCCAATAGGAAGAACAGATATGAAAACCAACAACCACAACAGTGTGCTATGACCTGGGACAGAGATCAACACAAGATGCTTGAGGACGTAAAGGAAGGCCCAGTCTAAGAGGACAGAGCCCTGAAATCAGGATTGCTCCTTTCTAAGGCAGATATTACTAGTCCCGTATCACTAATAAGGAAAATGAGGTTCAGAGAGGTTAGGCTACTTGCCCAAGGTCACACATCAGTAAAGCCAAAATCAAAATCTAAGTCTCTCTGATTCCAAGCTTAGTGCTGTTTTGCACTGTCCTTGGCATTTGAGAGCCTGGCCTTGAGACCCCTCATGTTCTCTTAGGCATGGGACCCCTGCAATGGCTGTCTGAATTCTGAACAGCCATGGAGCAGGATTGGCAGATAGGCCTCTCTGTCTCCAGTGTGCACATCTTTGCATGCTTCAGCGAACTTTGTGGAGTCTATTTACCACATCTAAGACCAATTTCCTTCCCTTCAGTTGCTTTGAAGATAATTGGAGGTACTTGCATTGTCTGCCTGGGAATGTAAAAAGCCAGCTAATGCTGCAATCGATGCTTCCTGCTTAATGCTGTGCCTCTGCCCAAGCCCGCCCTGAGCAGCAGCTAACAGCCTTCAATGATGGCTTCGGCAGATCTTCCCGGCCGGCTACTTTGTTAATCAGAAAGGGGCTGGGGGCTGTGGGGGCCCTCAGGATAATGGCAGGCAGATTGAGTTGTTAAGCCCGAATGAAATATTTAGTAGCACCATTTGCAGGATTCAGCTGGTGGGAGCAGTACTCTTAGCACTGCTTGGGGATAAAAATGGGGGAAGGGTGCCCGCCTTGAGCTCCCCAGGCGAGGGGCACTGATTAGTCTGTTTCAGTCTGCAGTGATGGCGGGAGAGGCAGCACCAGCCCGGGCTGAGGAAATGCCGCAGAGAGGAGGGAGGCGGGGACTGGCCAGGACATGACCTCCTAGCTGGCACCTTTCCCAGGGCAGGCTGGGACTGCCTCAGGAGGGCAAGATGCCAGGCTCTGCAAAACCACATCTGCAGCCCCTTAGAGGACAAGAAACAGGGATACCCACAACTATGGAAAAAGCTCCTGTTGTCTTCATTCATCCCCACTTCTTCTAGGCTCTTATGCTCTGTGTTGGAGCTCAGCTTAACATGTAAGTTTAACAAGGACGCGTAGAGTTGGCTGAAGCAAGGGATTGTGAGAGGAGGAAATGGAAAAGATGGTATTCTCCGTTCCTCCTCCTAATGTACTCTGGAAACATAGCATCCCAGCCCTGTGTGCTTTATACCACACCACCACGCTACACTGGCTTCCTCACTTATAAAATAATGGAATCCTGGCATTAGATGGGACTCTGTAGATCACATGTTTGCTCAACATTTATTGAGCTCCTGCCAGGCATGGTGGCTGATGCCTATAATCCCAGCACTTTGGAAGACTGAGATGGGAGGATCACTTGAGCCCAGGAGTTCCAGGCTGCAGTAAGCTATGATCGTGCCACTGCACTCCAGACTGGGTGACAAAGAAAGACCCTGTCTCTTAAAAAGGAAAAGAAAAGAAAATATTTATTGAGCTCCTAACCTACTATGATCAAGTATATACTAAGCCGTCTAGTCCATCTCACATTCAATATTCTAATGTCTTCTATTTAAGGCTCAGAAAAGTTAGGCTACTTGCCCACGGAAGAGCCAAAATCAAACTCTAAGTCTCTCTGATTCAAAGCTTAGTGCTGTTTTGCCTTGCACTTGGCATTTGAGAGTCTGGCCTTAAGACCCCTCATGTTCTCTCAGGTATGGGACCCTTACAATTGCTGTCTGAATTCTGAATAGCCATAGAGCTGTTGGCCAATTGGCTTCACCCCAGGTAGACAGTCTTTGAATGCCTTATGAATAAGAAATGCATTATTTCACATTGATCCTCATTCTAACCCATCTTTGTTAAAAATACTTCCTTTTGATCAAGCCAAAATTTGTTTCAGTTTCTATTTATACCATCAGCCCTTGTTCCCTTTTACCCTTCCTCCATTATTGCCAAAGCCACAGTAGAGTCCTTCTGATATCTGAAAACAGCTTCCAGGTTCCTTCCAACCCAGTGGCAAGACCAAAATGTAATTACTAATCTGAGGAACAAGGTGGACTGCAGCAATGCCAAGCCTCTTGGATGTCAAGCAACTTAATCTTTTCCTAACTCTTCTCCCTCATGTTTTTTTTATTCTTTTTCTCCTTAATCTCCAGGTCTAACACAAAGTCACAAACTCCTTCATAAAAGCAGGTTACAAGATTTCATTTCTTGTCTGTGATAGACTGGCTTGTATCAGACAGATTCTCATGCTCGCTCTGCTGCCTGGCTGGAGTGCAGAGGTGATCTTGGCTCACTGCGTCCTCCACCTCCTGGGTTCAAGCGATTCTCCTGCCTCAGCCTCCCAAGTGGCTGAGACTGCAGGCGTGTGCCAACATGCCCAGCTAATTTTTGTATTTTTAATAGAGACGGGGTTTCACCATGTTGGCCAGGATGATCTCAATCTCCTGACCTCATGATCCACCCACCTTGGTCTCCCAAAGTGCTGGGATTACAGGCATGAGCCACTGTGCCCGGCCAGAAAAAAAGGTTTTTACAATTATTGAAGATCTACCAAAGAAGGCAGGACATATGAGCCAAATTTCTGAAGAGAAATGAATTGAGAAGCGCCCTCCGTTCATGATTGCTCTTCCCTTCGTGTATTCACTGAATCATATATAGCAGCTCAGACTGAAAAGATAAGCATCAGACAGTAGCTAAGATACTGTAAGGCCAAGCAGAGTTTTAGACAGTCTCATGTGGCTGAGGAGACAAATAGAAGTTCAAAGCTACCAAGGCATCAAGGACATGAGGAGATGAGATCCTGGAGAGAAGAGATCAAATAAGTGAACCCAATATTCAATGCCAATTTCTCTCAAGCCATTTGTGATCTGTAATCAGCAACTGAGGGGCTGAGAAACCTAACCAAAAAGTGCCTATGAGGCTAGAAAATTTAAAAAGAGCATTTTAGCACTCTTACAGTGCTAGGGAGACTTGAAGACCACCAAGGAGGAGACCTGGTAAACATTTCAGGCTTTAATTTGGGACACACGAAGTACTAAAGCCAAAGAATAAAAGCAAGTAGGGAATTTATGAACCTTCACAGAGAATAGAACCGAGCTTCAGATACAGATGACCTGCCCCCACCCTAATTGACTAAGTAAACCTTAACTGGAAAATGATAACATCATCCAGAGACTACAGTTTTTCATAACAATGGGTGACATTTAATAAGAACTAACTAGACATTCTAGGACATAAAATGAAATAACTAAGAACCAAAATAAAAAACAGATTATAGAAACAGATTCACAGCTGAACCAAAATATTGGTGTTTTCAGACACAGATTTTAAAATAACTGTGATAAATATCTATAAGGAAATAGATCAAAAATGGGAAATTTCAGCAAAGAAACCACCTTGAGATCTATAAAAAGAACCAAATTACAATTCTAAAACTAAAAATATATAACTAAAATTAGTAAGTTGTATTTAACAAGAGATTAAACACCACTGAAAGAAGGAAGAGGCTGGAATGATAGATTAGAAGACAACACCCAGATTATAACAAGAGAGAATATTTTTAAGAGATGGAAATATAGAAAAGAGTGTAAGAAACATATGGGACGATGAAAAGGCCTAATATATTTGGAGTCCCAGAGGAAAAGGAGAGAAAAAAATGTGGCATAAACAATATTTGAAAATTACTGGCTGAGAATTTTCTAAGACTGACAAGTGACATCAAGCTACAGATTTTCAGACAGCCCTAAGCAGGATAAATGTATACTCAAGCATACCATACCCAAACTGCCAAAAATCCAAAACCAAGAGAAATAGTTAAGGCAGCCAGAGAAAAACCCACATTATTTTCAAATGAGTAACAATAATACATAGATAACTTATCAGTAGAAATTATAAAAGTGATCAAAGTAATAATTGTCCATTTATTATCATTTATCAAAGATGCATGTGTAATCTCAGGAATAAACACTAAAAGGATAGCAAAAAACTATATAACTAACACAATAATGGAAATAAGAAAACAAAGCTAGGCATGCTGGCTCACACCTGTAATCCCAGTGCTTTGGCTGGCCAATCTGAGTGAATTGCTTGAGCTTAGGAGTTCGAGACCAGCCTGAATAACATGGCAAAACCCCCTCTCTAAAAAAAATACAAAAATTTGCCAGATGTGGTGGTACACATCCATGATGCCAGCTACTCATGAGGTTGAAGTGGGAGGAGTGAAGAGTGAGTACCACTGCACTCCAACCTGGGCAACAAAGCGAGACTCTGAAAAAAAAAAAAAAAAGAAGGAAGGAAGAAAGAAAGAGAGACAGAGAGAGCGAGGGAGGGAGGGAAGGAGAGAAGGAAGGAGGGAGAGAAGGAAAGAAAAAGAAAAAAAGAAGAAAACATACTTGATTAACTCGAGCTGAGCATGGTGATGGGTGCCTGTAATCCCAGCTACTTCGAAAGCTGAGGCAGGAGAATCGCTTGAACCCAGGAGGCAGAGGTTGCAGTGAGTTGAGATCGCGCCACTGCACTCCAGCCTGGGCAATAGAGCAAGACTCTATCTCAAAAAAAACAAAACAAAACAAAAAAAAAAAACACTCGATTAACTCAAAACAAGAAAAGAAAGGAGGACAAAAGGGGCATCTGGAAGATACAAATAGAAAACATGTAGTGCACTTAAGCCCCAAAATGTTAGTAATCACAAAAAAGGATAAATACACTAAATCCTTATACTGGAAACAAAAATTGTAAGACTATTGATAAGATCTTAATGTCTATATATATTTATATTATCCTGAAGACAAACATAAAATTTCTGAATTGGAGAAGACTATTATTACTCACAGCAATAACGACAGCAGTTTCCCATGCCCAATCTCCCACTGAGGTGTGGGGCAATGAGACCCAGATGGTTAGGCCTGTGCATGCAAGGCAGGGAGTGGGGTGGTGGGGCGGCGGTATGGTTTCTGGTTTCTGGCTTTACAGGAGAGAAGTTCCAAAATTATAAGTATGGGCATTTACATAGAAACAGATACAACTGCCTTCCCTGTCGTCTTCTAAGAGAGGGAGAGGAGCCTTGTTTTTCTAATGCAAACAAATTTTCTCGGGGAAGAGAAAAGAAAAAGTCTCTACTCTGAAGTGCAAGTATTTGGCTCTTGGCAAGATGAGTTTGCCTATCCCTTGAATAGGAGCAGATGGCTCCATTACAAAGGAAAAAAGTGGTTCCAGGTCTATCATCCTTAGACTGTGAGAAGCAAATGTGTCTGGGGAGAAGAGAAATGCTCCATTGTTAGAGCATGTCAATTTTCTTTGTTCCAAAAGCTCTAACCATGCAGGAACATGGAAATATTCATATTGCTTTTCAATAACTATGATGAAAATAAACAACTATAGGCTACTTACAAGTGATGGACCTTAAATATAAGACCACAAAAAGGATGAAAGGAAAAGAATGGAAAAAAATATACTATGCAAACACTAACCAAAAAAAGATAGTATGGCTATACTGTCTTTAGATAGAGTAGACTTTGAGGCAAGAAGAGTTGACAGAGAAAATGAAATATGTTTTACAATAACAAAAACAATATAAAAACATATATCATATATTTTATAATAAGAAAACGATCAATCCACTGGGAAGATATAAAAATTTTATCTGTGTATCCACCTCATAACATGGCCTCAAAATGTAAAATGCAAAATTTGGAGCAAGGAAAAATAATTTCATATATTTTTCCCAGTAACAGAGTAGGCACATAGAAATAACACAAAGGATATAGAAGATTTGAAAAATATACTTAATAAACCTAAACTAATTGAAATATATAAAAATACCATACCTCACAGCCTCTTGGAGCCAAGGTAGAGTAACCAGTACCAGATATACCCTCCTACCGAAAATAACTAAGAATTTTAAGAAAATTTTACTTTCCTGTTTGTGAAACAATGTTTCTTAAAACTTTAGACATTAAGCAAAAAAGAACAGTGATTTCTGAGAGATGGGAAATAAAGGAGATAAGTGAACTCTACAGCTGCCCTTGGTTCATTGCCTAAAGAGAGTTTCCAGGCTGTGGTGCAAGGAGGGAAACCCAGGAGGAGTCCAGTGATCTCTGAATTGAGGGGATAGATCAAGAGTCAGAGGAGACCAGGGGAGTTAGGGTTCACTCATACCACAGCTCACTAATTCTCTCTTTTTATTTTTTTAGTCTTATTGTATTTCTGTATTTTATTTACCTGTGTATCCACCTCATAACATGGCCTCAAAATGTAAAATGCAAAATTTGCAGCAAGGAAAAATAAATAATTTCATAGCAATGGCAGAAACTCCTGCTATGTATTCAGGTTTCCTAATATTTTCTTGTACAATGTCTAAGCTACCATAATTTTATTCAGTGTATTTTTTATCTCAAACATTGCAGTTTTCATCTCTTGAAGTTCAAATTGAGTCTATTGTTATATCTTTTATGCCTCTACTTTACATAGCATAATATTTCTTTTAGCTTTTTGAACATATGGAATATAGTTATAATAAGTGTTATTATGCCCTTTTGTACTAATTCTACCATCTGGATCAATTTTTATTGATTTTTCTCCCCATTATGGGTATAATTTTAATGCTTCTTTACACAGTTGTTTTTTTATGGGATGCCAAGCATTATAAATTTTATCCTGTTTAGGTGCTGGATATTTTTGTATTCCTATAAGTATTCCTTAGATTTTTTCTGAGATGCAGTTAAAATATTTGAAAACAGGTTGACCTTTTTGAAGCTTGCTTTTCAGCTTTGTTAGATAAGACTAGAGTAGCATTTATTCTAGGGTGAATGTTCTCCACTACCAAGGCAAAACACTTCTGGATTCTGTCCCTGATGCTCTATGAATTATGGTTTCCACTTTGTATAGTGGGAATAGTCACCACATCAGTCAAGTATGAGAGCCATAGATTGCCGCATCTCATCTTTTCAGGTATTTCTTTCCCTGGCCACAGGTAGTTTCCTCAAATGTATACTCTTAGTAGTATCCAGATGAATATTTAAAGAAAACCCTCTGCAGATTTTTGAAGTTCTTTCTGTCTTTCATATGACTCTCTCCTATCCTTCAGTTAGACTGCAATAAGTTAGAAATGTATACTATAAATCCTTAAGAAAACACTAAAATGACAAAACAAAAAATTATAACAAATAGGTCAACAAAAGTAATAAAATGGAATAACAAAAATACTCACAAATAATAGCAGACATCTTAGGCAAATCAAATACAATAATATATAAAAAGGATAATGCTTCATGACCAGGAACTTTAGGTTGGTTTAATATCCAAAAATTAATATAATTCACCATGCTAACAGAAAAAAAAAACAAATAATATAATCCTCTCAATAGATACAGAAAAAGCATTTGACAAAATTTAATGATCATTTCTTATTTTTAAAGTTCTCAGAAAACTGGGAATCAAAGAGAACTACCTCGCCCTGATAAAGTCCATCTGTAATAACCTATACCTAATATCACACTTGAAGCAAAAGTTAAGTACAAATGGCTTTACCAGTGGATTCTACCATGCATTGAAGAAAAAAAATAATGCCGATCATATGCAAACATAGATGCAAAAATTCAAAACAAATTATTAGTAAATTGAATCCAGCAATTTATAAAAAGAACAATACAATTAACTTGGGCTTATTCTAAGAAAGCAAAGTTTGTTTACTACTTAAAAATTGATCAGTGTAATTGATTGTAATTCACCAATTAAAAGGATGAAGAAGAAAAAAATTACATAATTATCTCAATAGATATAGGAAAGTCATTTGCTAAAATTCAATGTCTGTCCTTGTTTAAAATTAGAAAGGAATAAAAAGTTTAGCAAATTAATGACAAAAGGAAATTTCCTTAATTTCATAAAGGACAACGACAAAAAAATTGCAGCAAACACCATTCTTAATGATAAATATTGAAAGACTTACCTTTGATATCAGGAGTGATGCAATGATGTTCGTTTTCACCTTCCTTATTCAACATTATATTGCAGGTCTTATATAGTCCAGGGCAAGAGGCAGAGGAGGATAAAATAATTGAAAATGAATATATAGGATAATCTTGTAGTTCATAAGCATGATGATTGCCTTTTCACACTCGTATGAGATGTGCCTCCCTTGAACCTTGTTATGATGTTGGCACATTACCCATCTGATGTGAAAAAGAAAAATAAGGAAAAAAATAAATAAAGCTGTCACTTTGTGTATTTGAAAACTGAAAATAATGTACAAATAAACTGATAGAGTTAAATTAATTTCAATTCTATCAACAAGTCAAACGAGGTCACAGCTCAACATGCAAAAATTAATTGTATTTATGTATACAACCAACATTTTTTTAAAAAATTATAAAATATCCTTTTCTGTAGCATCAAAACATGAGTACCGTAAAATAAATACAACAAAATATGTGCAAAACCTGAAGACAAAAAACCAATATGAATGATTAAGATAAATTAAAGAAGACCAAAACTGGTGGGTTAAGATAACATAGTTACTGATTGAAAAAATCAATATGGTAAATGTGTTAATTCTCCCCAAACTGATAAAACATTCATTGTCATTACAATCAAAATTTTCAACTTTTTAAAAAATTTTGAAGACATTGACAAACTGTATCCAAAATTTATGTAGAAGCGCAAAGTATTAAAATAACTAGAAGAATTTTGAAAAATAGTAACAAATTTGGAGGTCTTAAACTACCAGATATTAAGATAGATTATAAAGCTCCTGTAATTAAGATGCTTGTAGAAAGGGCACAAAGTTAGCCAATGCACAACAGAACAGAATAGAGAACCCTAAAACAGACTAATGTGTGCTGTCATTTGCCTTATCACAAAGGCAAGATGACAGAACAATGGGAAATAGTCTTTTAAAGAAATGAAGCTTAATCAATTGAATATTCATATGAAAAAAAAAAAAGCAAATTTTGATCCCTACCTCACACCATACACAGAATCAATTTTGGATGTGTTGTAAATGAAAAAGTGAAAAGTAAAACAATGAAGCTTTTAGAACATGGGAGAACATGTTAATGGCTTTGGAGTAAGCAAATATTTCTTAAACAGGGCACAAAACACATTAATCATGAAGAAAAATATTGGTAATGAGCTGTTATCAAAATTTAAAACTTCTGTTTATCAAATGATACCTTAAGAGTGAAAAAGCAGGCTGGGTGCGGTGGCTCACGCCTGTAATCTCAGCACTTTGGGAGGCCGAGGCAGGCAGATCATGAGGTCAGGAGATCGAGACCATCCTGGCTAACATGGTGAAACCCTGTCTTTACCAAAAATACAAAAAATTAGCCAGGCGTGGTGGCGGGCACCTGTAGTCCCAGCTACTCGGGAGGCTGAGGCAGAAGAATGGTGTGAACCCAGGAGGCGGAGCTTGCAGTGAGCTGAGATTGTGCCACTGCACTCCAGCCTGGGTGAAAGTGTGAGACTCCATCTCAAAAAAAAAAAAGAGTGAAAAAGCAATTCACATAGTAGGAGAAGGTATTCACACTATACACTGTGAATAAATTCATGTCCAACATATATAAAGGAATTCTACAATCAGTAGGAAGAAGTATACATATTTCACATTTTCCAACAGAAAAATGTGAAAAATATGAATAGGTACTGCACAAAGGATGATATGCGTGTATGCAAAAAGCCTATGAAAAGGCACTCAATTTCACTAGTCATTAGGGAAATGTAAATTAAGAAACCACAATGAATTACTACTACACACTCACCAGAATAAAAAAATTTAAAACACTGATAATAACCAAGTAATGGCAAAGATGTGGAGCAAATGAAACTCTTATAGATTGCTGGTATAAGCATAAGTTGGTAAAACCACAAGTCTGCTCCTAAGTATATATCTTAGGAAATGTCATGTAGAAAATATATGTGGAAATGCACGCATATGTGTACAAAATAATATTCCTAATAGCAACACACTGGGTCAGGGCAGGAGGAGTCCATCAATAGTAGAATGGATAAATAAAGTGTGATATACTCACACAGTGGAGTAGTACACAACAACAAAAAAATGAATTAGTGCTACTACATACAACAGCGCAGATTTACCTTATAAATATAAAATGGAACAAAAGAAGTTACACAGAGAAAAGCACATACTGCATGATTCTATTTGTATAAAATTCAAAAGTAGGCAAAACTCATCTGTAGCAATGGAAGTCAGAATAGTGGCTATGTTTAATGGGGTTAATGACTAAGAGAGGCATGACAGAAGTTTGGGGCTACAGGTAATAATGTTCCCTGATCTGGATGACAGTTGGTTAAATGACAGTGAAAATTTGTGAACTTGTACACTTGTAATTTGCACGCTTCTTTGTATGCATTTTATACTTCAATTTTGTAAATGCTTGCCAAAAATAATAAAAAAGGTTATAAACATCATCCATAGCATGATTCTATATATGTAAGTTTGTATAAATAATATGTACTAAGCATAATATATAAAACTATATCTAACAAAATGCTAACAGTAATTGTACCTAGGTGCTGGTTTATGAGTCATTTTCACTTTCTTCTTTATACCTTTTTGTATTGTCTGAATACTTTCAATGAAAATGTATTGCTTTCATAAAAGCTAAAATAAAGTTCACATTTTTAGATGGTACAATGGTATTGTGGTTATGTTTAAAGAATAAGAGTTCTTATCTCCAAGAAACACATAACTGAAGCATTTACAGATGAAATAATATGATGTCTAGCAGGGGGTAGGGAGAAGTAGGAAACATAGATTTTTTTTTTTAATGGCCGTATGTTGGTAATTGCTGAGACTGAGTGACAGTCCATGGGGATTCATTATACTTTTTCCTCTACCTATGTGTGTTTGAATAATAAAGACTTGAAAAACAAACAAACAGTCTTTCATAAACATAGAACTTATGCATAGCAGACATTACCCATAGCAAAAGCTATGCATAATCTGTATACAGCCGAGAGAAGATGGATTATTAGAGAACATTTTCTCAATAACTGGGTGGAGGGCAGCTGGATTCCACCAAAAAATGTTGTCATGGAGACTGTGTTCATGCCTTGTTAAAGGTCCTCTGGGATCCAAGCCTTGTTCAAGAGTCCAGCCTTATAGAAAAACTGCCCAAAGGGAGGAAATTACTCATGGGACCATAGACTCGCACCAACCTAGAAAGGATCTAAGCCCTAATGGAGAGTGCAGTCGTGCAGAAGATGGACCACCAATACCTGAGCCTTCTCTAGGGCTTTTCTGAAAGAAGACAAAGGGCAACTTCTTTCACAGAGAATCAGAACCTACCTTAGAAGTTTTTTGCCTTTTTAACTCTGGGAGTAAGGTATCAGGACAGGAATTGGTGAGGAGATGGGGAGAAGAGAGTCTTGTTGCCTTAGATGAAAAGGCTGCTGTGAGTTCTGGCCAGACTACAGGCCCTTGGGTGCTGTCTACAGTGGCCCTGGGATCCCCGCTCGGATAATCTGATTGGCTCTCATCCTAACGTTGGTCTACTCTTTGGTCACTTAAGCCTGATCCAGCCTTGATCTGAGTACAACCATACCTCAAATTGTCTTTTTGACCAACCTTGTGTTGACATTCTCAGATGCTATAGTCTTTTCTATAACCTCTTTTGACTAATGGATAAAAGTACCACTAGCTGAATTTGCAACAAATTTCAAGTACAGGTCAAAGACCTTAATTCCTTTTGGAGAGGGATGTTAAGTAGGAGGAGTCAGTAAGGCAGCTGAGAAACCTTCTAACTAGGGAAAAGCCTGCCATGCTTCACAAAAACAAGAATTAAGCTGCTGCCTAAAATTTATGTTTCACTTTGGCTTTTAATCTGGGAACAACCTGGAACTTGAGGATTGATCAAGGACAGCAAACTAAGGCATTCTCTAGAACAACACTGTCCAATTGAAATACAATGCCAACTACAAATGTGAACCACATATGTAATTTTACATTTTCTCATAAGCAATTTTATTTATGTATTTATTTATTTATTTATTTATTTATTTATTTATTTATTTATTTATTAAGACAGAGTCTCGCTTTGTTGCCCAGGCTGGAGTGCAATGGCGCGATCTCGGCTCACTGCAAACTCTGCCTCTCAGGTTCAAGTGATTCTCCCACCTCAGCCTCCCGAGTAGCTGGGATTGCAGGCACCCGCCATCATGCCCAGCTAATTTTTGTATTTTTGTGGAGATGGGGTTTCACCATGTTGGCCAGGTTGGTCTTGAACTCCTGACCTCAGGTGATCCACCCACCTCGGCCTCCCAAAGTGCTGGGATCACAGGTGTGAAACACCACACCCAGCCTCATAAGCAATTTTAAAAGTAAAAAAGAAGCAGGTGAAATTAATACAGTAGTCAGTTCTTTAGTCTAATATATCCAAAATATTATTATTTCAATATGTAATAAAAATGTTAATGGAATATTTTACATCTCTTTTGTACTATATCTTTGAAACCCAGTGTATATTTTATACTTGGGGTACATTTCTTTCAATTCAGAATAGCCATAATTCAATAACCCAATAGCACATGTGGCTAGTAACCATCTTCTTGGACAAGGACAGCACTAGAAGCCAAGGAGGGAACTATCCTGTTCTGACTACCAAAGACTATTATAGCTGAGGAACTGGACATTCCATCATAAACTGTCCTAACATCCTCCACGTGCCAGCCATGCACAAGCCCTGGAGAAATCACTGGTGAGCTTGTTCTATTCAAGTCCTGAGATAATACTGGATCTACATGAAGCAATAACTGACAATAGTTATGGAATGGGTAAAAATGTTATCAAGCTGTTCCCAGAATCTATTTTATTCATGCTGAATGATGATACTTGGCTATTTCAATAAAGTTGAATAATTTATATATTTAAAGTATAATTGACATGTAAAGGTGTGCTAACATCTCTTAAAAGTCATTGGAAACCTGGTGGTTCCAACCACATGACCCTCTCTCAGTGAGGAGCTAAGTACTCAAAGGAAAATATAATCACACTTCCACATGCAAAACTTGTGGAGGTAATCCCAGAAAATGAAAAGATCTCAATGAAATACCAGAAAGATAAATCTGGGAAAAAATATAACATGATGCAATCAATTGCAGTTTGAGAGTAAGGGGCAATGGGCAGGATGACGTGATGAAGCAGTGTGGGCTTTGCAGCAATACTGTTTGACCTTGAGATGTCTCGAGTCTCTATTCTCTTCCTTATAAAATGGAATAATGGTGTCTGCTTCTCAGTGGCTATAAGGATTAAATGAGGTAAAACACAATGCATAGCAAGTGCCTTACGCAGGGTAGATGCAAAAAAATGGATTATTTTCTTTTTGTTATCAATCAATATTTGTTCAATAGCCACTATGTAATAGACACTGAAAAAAATCACAGCATATAAAGAGGTATTAGTGGATGTAGGGTGGTGAGTACAACTCATAGGGCTTGTCCTATCTAAGAAAAGCTTCTACTCAGCTCTGTGACCCAAGACAGGATTTGTTGCTTGTGTACCCCTCACTTAGGGGTCTCTAGAGCAACAACACATTAGCCTCAAGAGTTTAGCTTTGTCCAATCCCTTGAACATTATTCTGGCTTTTGACAGACATTGCATTCAAGGAGAGGTTGGGAAAATTTCTAGAGTGTGCAGAGGGCCAATGAGGATGTGTCCACATAACTTAAAGGTGCAGAATCCAGGAAAGCCCAATACTACAGGAATGAAAGTATGGCAAGACAGAGACAACTACCAAAAATCCTCTGTGACTTTCTGGATCACCTCTTTCTCTTGCCTTGCTCCACACTGCTCTGGAGTGCCCATTGTTTTCCAAGCTGCCCAGTGCCGAGCAGGGGACCACAGTACCATGATGAACCAGTAATTTCTGGAGAGCTGCAGCTAAACAGTGTCTCACCTGCTGCATCAGATCTCAACAGAAGCACAGGTGTGGAACAGGGGAGCATATTGACAGTCTACAGGTACACGCCTAGAGATACAAGATTTAAGCACCAGCTAGTAAAGGGGTTGTTAATGTGCAGGGTTTTATGCTTTTGTTCTTGTTCAGCCACTTGGCTTTGCAATGAGAACCTCTACCTGCTCCCACCCACTTCCCTTTCCCAGCATCTGGATTCTCACTCCAGCAGTCACCCTGCACCCTTCTGTGGCACATCTGCAGAGGGCAGGCCATGACCTTGGGTTTCTCCTGGCCTGCTGATCTCCCAACAAGCCAGAGGTAAGCAATAGCTCCTGGGGCCGTGCATCTTACCCAAGGTAGGTGCCTGCCAGTCAGATCACCAACAGGGATTTAGTACATATGAGGCCCCATGCTGGACATCAGGGATATCACTGTAAATGAGACCTAGGAGGGGACAGCTAAGAGACAGTGAGGGAGATAAGAAAGCCCAGATCATAGGAGAGGTGGAACTGACTACCTTTGAATCCTACCATGAAACACTGCACCTTTCAGGCATTGCCTAATTTAGCCTTCAGCACAGTTCTGTGAAATAGAAACTGTTACCCCATTTCACAGATGAGAAAATTAAAGCGACTCATAGAGTGAAAATAATTTGTCCAAGGTCCTCTTTACAGGATTCGTCAGAGCCGATACTGGAATCCAAGTCCCTCTGACTTTAGTAATGCTTTCACTACCAAGTCACTACACTTTATGTGAACATCTACCAGCCTCTTAGACCCCAGCAAGTGAACCTACCCAAGAAATTCAGTAGAATGTGTATGGAAGGGGCAGTTTTGGTGGAATTTTCCTTTTCCTCATGGGAAGCCTCACTCAGTTAAATCCCTCAGCCACTGTGATTCTGTGCCTGACTCTCTGGCTCATACGCAAAGAACATTCATCCCATGAGACTTTCACCCTGCATCTGCCCAGTCACCTTTGGGATCTGCCACTTCCCACACACTGTGGAGCAGGCCCAGAGCAGCTGCAATGAGCCCCAGCCCAGCCTGGAAGCTAAATCATCAGTGACCCAAGTCTTCTCAAACCTGAAAATCTTACAGCTGGAAGGAGCCTTCAAGGTCATCTCATCCAACCCCACATAGTTGGAGTCATCTCTGTAGGGACTCCAACTGCCTCTCACTCTCCTTCTCCTCTTAAGAAGTTTCCCAGCCTCTGCTCAATGGCCTACATCCAGTGATCAGGAACTTGCCCAGGCCACCCTTGGTCAGCTTTAGCTGGAGAAAGCTCTTTCTTGCATGGAGCCCAAGGCTATCTATGTCCCTTTTGGCTTCTACACATGTCCTATTTCTGCCCATTAGAAATATGGAGAACAAGCATGTCCTCTCATGCACACACAGGCCCTCAGAAGATGGTTATAACACTCCCACCAGTCTTTTGGCCTCCAGACCAGACATCTACATTTTCTTCAACCATCTTCAACAAGACATAGCATTTACCTCCCACCCCATCTTGATCACTGTCCACGCAATGTGCTGCCACTGACAAGTTGTTCAGTGTACTGTACAAGAGGGTCATTATTTGCTACAGTTTTCTCCTCTTTCCTCTCTCTCCTCTCTTTCTTCTCTCTCCTCTCCTCTCCCATCTCCTCCCCTCCCCTCCCCTCCTCTGTCTCTCTCTCTCTCTCTCTGTCTCTGTCTCCTTCTCTTTCTCCCAGGTTCATCACAAAGAAAAAGTTAGACCAGGTGCTGTAGCCTCATTCCCAGGTACTCCCATGGGCTCTGGCAGCCAACTTGTTAGTATCTCTATCAGGGGTGCAGCAGGCCCCCACCACCACCTTGCAGAGACTTTTGCTACCAGCCATTGCTAGAGGAGATGGGCACATACAAGCAGAACAGGTTACATTGCCAGGACTTGGCATGGACTCAGAAACTTCAGAACTCTTTGAGTATTGCTGTGGGACAATCTGCCCCTTTAATTCCACAGTACTACCTTCATCCACATACTACGGGCAGTCCAGGGCAAATAACAACTTCCATGCCAACTGCCTCTAGAGCTGGAACTGCACACTTTATTTTCGAGGATATTTCTCTACTTCCCACCATAGGAGCTCTTCTGTGTTTTGGGGGGCCATAAGAGAAGCTGCAAAGACTTGGCCTAGAGGATGGGACAATATCCTGGACTACATGCTGGGATGCTGAGACTCATGGCAAAGCTATCTGATGACAGCTGTAGAAACTATCCTTTGCCCAGAGATTAAGAGTGGCAGGAAACTTCATCACCCAAACATTGTGGGAAACCCCTCAGATCTGAAGAGCATATCTTGAAGTTCAGCCTGAACCCACACATGTGGCTCGCTCCTGCTCCCCACAGTTACACAATCAGCCTGCCTGACTGCCCACGAGGCTGGAAGCACCGGAAGAGCAAACTGTACTCCTTCTGCAGCCTGGCTGTGACATCACACCAGTTCTGAGGATACATGCAGGGGATGCCAGGGGCAGCTCCTGGGCAGGAGGGCCCTGGGACCGCTGCCTGCCTCACAAATTTTATATGCCATCTAAGACCTGTCCCCAAGGCCTTACAGTCAATTAGGGGACACATCACACCCTGGTGGTGGAGAGTTCAGTCATACAACAGGCAGCAGAGATGGGGTATAGGCCATCCAGGGAGTTAACCACACAGGAAAGGCTAGAGGAGGAATCTTGTAGAGAAAGTGAACTCTCCCAGGAATATAAAAGTGGGCGGTCTGGTGGATCTCTGAAGCCAATACATCCGTTCTAGCAATTCCTCTGATGCTGGCCTGGATAGGGCTGTAACAGCAAACACCCACTGGATGGTACCCTCAGGTCCATGCACCCACCTTCCCCACACCTCTGGCCCAGCCAGCCCACCCCAGCTCCAGGCCTAGAGGCCGGGGAACATTGTAAAAGGAGGACCAGCCCTCTTCATGAGCCTTAGTCTCCCTTTCTGCAGCTTCCCTTCTGCACTCCCAGGCTCCCCTCTCACTCTATCCTCCTGCTTATCCCCCATCTACAAGCACTCACAAAGGGACCTGGCAAAGCTCATTCACAGCTACACATTGCCTTTTAAAACACAGATGCATTAAACTAAGGGAATAAACATTCAAACCTTGGAATCTTACATATCAAGACATGGGTAGGGTGGCCGGGTGTGGTGGCTCACGCCTGTACTCCCAGCAATCTGGGAGGCCAAGGCAGGTGGATCATCTGAGGTCAGGAATTCGAGACCAGCCTGGCCAACATGACAAAACCCTATCTCTACTAAAAATACAAAACTTAGCCAGGAGCGGTGGTGCGTGCCTGTAATCCCAGCTGCCAGGGAGGCTGAGGCAGGAGAATCACTGGAACCCAGGAGGCGGAGCCTGCAGTGAGCTGAGATCATGCAACTGTACTCCAGCCTGGGCAACACAGCAAGACTCTGACTCAAAGGAAAAAAAAAGACATGGGTAGGGAAAGTATTTCCGGTTCAGGAAGTGGGAGGAGATGCTTCCAAGATTCTACAGTCCCACTGCCGGTAGGGCCTCCCCTGGTTCCCATGAGGCTCTCTTCTGGGGCTGGGAATCTCGTCAAAGAACAGCAGGCACCCACTGAGATCCCTTTTCCCTATTCACAGTGTGACTTGTGGGCCAGTATCCACACTCAACCATAGATATCCCTGACTAGATCCCACCCCAGCCAAACCATGGGTTCACCATGTGACCAGGGGAAGGTCTCTTCCCCTCCTTGGCTTGGTTTTCTCCACAGTAAAATAAGAGGCTTGAACTAGATGGTTCCTAAAGCCATTTCCTCTCTGCCCTTCTGGTTGCCTGGGTCTCTATGCCACAGCTGACACTCCCTTATTGGGAGGAAATGTTGTCCTCATCTTCCCCCACACCGTCTCTCCCTGGTGACCTACATTCCCACCCTCAACAGAAAAGAAGATTCACAAAACATGTGCTTAAAGGCTCGGCTTTTTTTCAGGCCCTTTCTTTGCAGGCACTTGGGAGACACCGGTGGAACAAGAACTGGGAAGTAGGAAGAAAATCTCTTTAATATCACTAATAGATCAATTTGGTATTTTCCTCCTGGCATAGGATGAGGAGCGGGGAAAGGAAGTCCCAGAGGTTGAACTTGATGCCCTAACCCAATTAGATCCTAATTTGAACAAACATCCAGTCCTGAGTTCACTCCAGCACAAGATACATAGACAGAGAGAGGCCAGGGTCACGCTTCCTTTCTTGCCAGGCTAGGGTGCACCATCATTTCCCAAGAGGGTTGGCAAAGGGGTTCAAGCTTCATACAAGGGGCTGGACTCACTCACCACTAGGGACCCTTTCAGTCCTGGCATCCTATGAGAAGTGGGGCCCAGGTGGTCATTTCCCCAGGCCATTTTCTTGAAGTAGCTGCAATGCCCGCCTTATCTGTCCTGGCTTGGAGACCTCTGCCAGCCAAGGGCCCAGTTTCCAAGGCTGGATGGCCATGTGGGTCACTGTCAGCATCACCACCACCCTCTACCACCCACCCCTCTGTGCACACACTGGCAGATTCCTATTTATGGACCTGGGAGAGGCAAGCAGATCGGGAAACAGCCATTTCTATGCTAACTGCCCACATGTGGCCTGAGGGTTGAAAAATGAATCAGTGAAACTGCTCAGAAATCAGGAGAGCTGGAGTTCCTCAGCCCTGAAGGAGCCTGGGCCACCTGGGTCTGACCTGAATTTGAGCCCTGGCCCCGGACGATGAGGGCCCTTCCAGCTGGGGGAAGGACTGCCAGCCCTGGAAGCCAGCGGCCACTGTGACTGCACTTGGAACACTGCTGTGCCCAAGACTGGAAAAGCACTTGACCCCCTTAGCACAGTCACAACGGCACACAGCCAGCCTGCCCTTGCCTTCTCCTTGTCAAAACTGACTCTCCTAGAGGAGAAAGCCATGCCCAATGGAAGAAGTAAACCCAGGTCTCCGGAGATGGGGCTCTTCTAACTGTGCCACCATATCACCTGGGTTATGCCCCTCTCTGGGCCTCAGTTGCCCCATAAGGGGGTTAACCTATACAACCCCAAAGCTCTTTCAACAGGATGTCCTCCTAGCAGGCGATCTGATAGGCTCATTTACAGTGAGGTACCCCTCAGCGATAAAGCTGAAGTATTTCCTCTCCAAACTCAGCTCTCTTCTAACAGGGAGAAGAAACTCTGCCAGAAGCATTAAGGGACAATGACAAACTTCAGGTGGAAGCTCGATCCAGCTGGTGTACCCTCTTGAGACAGAGAAAAGAGGTGAGAGATGTCTTCTGATAAGGGTGAAAGGTTTGACCTACAGTAGAAACTGCCACCTCACGATTTGGCTGAGTCCCTCCCCAAAATAGGCAGGAAGAGGGAGGCAGTCATCAGCCTTGGCCCCAACACTCCTGTGGGCAAGTTCAGGAAGGGGCAGGTGTCCCCAGATGCCCCCACTGCCCACTGAGCATCAACCCTGCTGCTGGACTGTCCACTGCGGACTAAGGGGCTGGCTACTCCCTGCCAATGCCATGGCTGTGGGGGCGGGATTTCCTACAAATCACCCTGTATACAAGAGACACTGGATTAAAATAAACACCAAGGGCAGACTTACAGGATGGAAGCTAAAAACAGTAGCTGTAACCCAGAGGAAGGGGCTGGCACAACTAGGGGGAAGCAAAACCTACCCATTTGCTTCAGTGATTAGGAAAAAGGAGCTTGGGTTGATTACATGTGGCATATGAATATCTGGTCTTTTCCAATACTTCTGGCTAAACCACCTGGTGGCCCTGCCCAGCACCTAGTTAATCATACATGGACTTCCCTCTCTCCATCTCCTCCTTGTCTCATGTAATAACATCCAGCATTAAGTCATTATCTTAACCTATATGTCAGAGACCCCAAATTTTGTCCATATGCCTTATCCCATTTAAATATTTTTGCATTTTACTAACAAGAAAATTAGGGCTCAGAAAGATTAAAAGACTTAGGTGAGATCAGACACGCAACAATTGGATTTGAACCCAGGTCTCATCCAGACTTTACATCCAGAGCTCTTCCACTGCATCAGAGCTGCTGAGCTGGACTGGGAGCAAGGTGGAGAGTGCCCACTTGTGAGCAGGCCTCAGTCAACTCCACCAGACAGGAGGGCAGCAGGGCCAGCACTGTTGGAGGCCCTGGAGCACGTGGCATGGCGGGGGAGTTTCCCCGCAAAATGGAGCAGGCGGCCAGCATGTTCATTACCCAACCTTATTCCATCTCATAATAAATGGAGCCCCGGAGGGCCAGGCATGATGGGGTGGGGTGAGATGGGGAGCGAAGACTATTACGGGATTTTAACCTTCGTCTTCTCTTTCCGGGCCTCTGGAACAGCTGTTCCACAAAATGGATCTGTGCAGACAATCATTTTTGCTGCATTACTTAATATACAGTTGCTCTCGGCAAGAGATATAATTGACTTGCTTAACTAATCAATCTTTCTATAAGCATAGCTGCTTTTCCTCTCCCACTGGGGGAGGAAAGCAGGGGGAGAGGGAGAAAAAGAGAAATTGTGAGGAGCAACCTTTGGCATGAATTACCGTGCTCTAACACCCAGCTGAGCTTTCCGAGCTGGGGGGCAAACATTACTGTAAAGCATTCCCATCAAGGTTTCTTCTTGGACCAGATGTGGTCTGTGGTGGCCTGGGGTTAGCAGTCACCCAGCATGAAATAGGGGCACAAGGGCCAACAGAGGTCAAAGTGGGCTGTGGCCCAAACAATGCAAAAATCACTTTGGGTTGTCTTTGGAGTGACTTGTATATTTGGTAAGATGAATGTGTTCGATGACCAGGAACTTCCCATCTGTCAAGTCACGAAGCCATGGGCAAAACCTCACTTGGGCTGAGCAAGAAAATATCCATCTTCCCCCATATTTCACCCCTGACCCCCACCCACTTGACAGCTCAATCTCCCCATTTCTCTTTTTCTAGGGGATGAGCAGCATCCGTGTAACCCAGGAAACCCCTCCAAAGCAAAGGCCTCACACCCTTCACAGATCAGTTTCCTCATTTCTCCTCTTCTAGGGGATGACCAGTGTCAGGATCACCCAGGAAACCCCTTCAAAGCCAAAGCCTCTCTCTAACATATTCTGTGTCTGACTCACCCCTTCTCTCGATTCAAAAGAGGAAACTTAACACTCCTTCCTTTCTATCTCTAATCTCCATTGCCCTCCACACCTACACACACAGGCTCCCCAGGGCACTGTTGAATTTGGGGTTATCATTCTAAATGCAGAGGAAATAAAGCCAGAGAATGAGTCACAAAGTAGAGAGGATGACTGAGTTAAAATGATGATGGTACCCAAATAGCTAGATGATGAAATCAAAAATGCCCCTCAGGGCCCATTCCCTACCCGCTCCCAGCACTCCTGACTTCAGATGTCATCATTATTTGTCTTTGTGCATCTCCCCAACTCCGGGGGGAGCTTTGTGAAAGCAAGGATTTTGACTTGAACATCTGTGCTTCCTCAGTGCCTAGCACTCTGCCTGAAATATAGTTAGGCATTCAATGTAGGATTAATATAGAATGATGAAGACAAAAATCACAAACATTTGTATTTCAAAAGAATGATTTCCTGCCACCCAGTGGGAAATCTTTCTCTAGAGAAGAGGCACAAGGCTCATCTTCTGTCTCATTCAACATTTTTACCAATGGCATGGATGAAGTTTGAGACAGGATGATTACCTAATCTGCATATGACAAACTGGAGAGATTAATTGCATGGCAGACTAAGACTCTCGCTATTTCAGCAGGCTAGAATATGAGCCAAAATCACACAGATGAAATCTAGTAGTGTGAAGTATGAAGTCCTACATTTAGGTTCAAAGAATCAACTGGACAAGTCCAAGGTAAAGGAGTTCTAGCTTGGCAGAGATCTATGAGAAAAAGATCTTGGGGTCTGAGTTGACCACAAGCTCAATATGGTGGTACGGCTACTAAGAAGAGAAAGAAATCTTAAATGGGTACAATTAGAAGGAAGAAAAAAACAGCCTCTCTATAGTCTACCTTGGTTGGGCCCATCTGGACCACTGGGTTATGCTCTATCTCGTTTTAAAACAAACAGAGGAAAGTGACCAGGATACCTAGGGTTTAGAAACAGTGGCAAAGATGCAAAGTGTTCCACTGAGAACAATTGACAGTTTCGAATATGAGATAGGCTGCCACTTGAAGGAGAGGGAAGCTGAGACCTACCTGGCAGTTTAGAGGTTTAAAAGATGTGCTTAGGAGCCAGGGTGCCTGTGTTCAAATCTAAGCTCTGCCATTTACTAGGGGGGTGACCTATGACAAGTTTCTTGACTTCTCTGTACCCCATTTTCCTCATCTATAAAATAGCTATAATGCTCCTTATCTCCTGGGTTAAATGAGTTAACATATGCAAAGCTCTCCAAACAAAGAGAGGCACAAAGTAAACACCCACTGAATGATGGCTATGACTAGGCTGTGACTCCACAAGGCTGACCAGGATGGAAGTGTAGAAGTTCCCAGAAGGCTTGTTTCAATGAAGCAAACTTCCTAACAATCAGAACTGCTCCCTGCATGGGATGGGGAGCCTGTGAGGTAGACAGCTGCTGGTCACTGGACCTGTCAAACAGGCTGGTCGCTGCGGACGGGGCCTCTGTACTGGGTGAAAGCCTGGACAAGATTTCACATAAGGTCTCTTTCAACTCTAAGTTTCTTGAGGTCTTCAGAAAATCTCCTTGCCTTCCTTACCCCTTTGGGGACCTAGTCAATGTATTTCTTTTATATGGGAAATATAAGAATAGAGCATCAATGGGATTTCATAGTCTGCAGAGGGGCCTTTGAGCCCCCACATCCATCCATTGGAACAGATGATGCCTCGCCCCAGCAGAGCCTACAGTAAGAGTCGAGTCAGTCTGATGCTCCAAGTGCTCCCCTAGGAGGGAAGAAGCACCCTGCTGGTGAGCACCTGAACCCCACAGGTTGGGTCTTGGCCCCCCAGCAATAAGTGAGAACCAGAAAAGTCCAGGTACCTGGGGGGCAGCAAGGGGGGGACAGAAATGAGATTTAATTACAAGAGCCACCAGGCTTGCTCCCCTGGGAACAGAGGCTTTACAGCCATGTCCAAGGGTGACATTTCAGTAGGTCCAGGGAAAAGGGTTTGCTTTCTTTTCATGCCTCTGCCTCCCAGAGCAGACAGCTGCCAGCGTTATTTCAGCAGAGAGGCTGCTTTGGCATGGCAGAGGCCCCATTAAGACTCTACCAGTGGGATGGGGGCAGGAAGGGTGGGGGGTCATGGATTGAATTACTGACCCAGGAAAGGGGGACTAGGTGGGAGTGGTCTGATGTCCTGGTGGCTGCAGTGAAGTTTTGTGCTAAGGAAACCCTACCTCGGATCCCACTCTCCATGGGCCTTGGCTTGGAATTAATAATAATGATTTTACCACTCTCTCCCAGGCTGACCTTGAACTAAGTTGTTTCATCTGTTTGAGACTCAGCTTCCATATCCATAAATGAAGGCCTGTGCTGGTCGCTCTCAAATGCCTCTTCCTGTTCAAACACAGTTTACCAAGAAACCTCACATCCTTGGGTTAACTCTCCCCCAGCCCAATGAGGCAGACAGGCCAAACTGTAGAGCTTACAGAAGGGGAAACTTTAACAGGGGTAAGCCACTTGACTAAATTCCCAGATCTAGGAAGCCAAAGAAGTGAGACTAGAGCCCAAGTCTGTTGGACTCCCAAAATGGGGCATTTTTTTGCAACTACTTGCCCCTTCCTCACCTCACATAGGGCACCCTGCCCTCATGTCCCTGCCTCAAGTCCTATGCAGTCTCCTCTCTGATCAAAGTGTTATCCCACTCATGGTTAGCTAGGCAGAGGCAAGGAAGGGGACAGAGACTGGTGAGGGTCAGAGCCAGCCCCTCTAGTTCTTCAGACAGCAGTTGGAATATACCCTCCCTGGGAGGCAGCCTCCTGGCCCCCTTAAGAAGATCGATCGGGGTTTGATGCTGTGAGCGCACAGCCTTGTTTTGGCACATTAGCCATGAGCCTTTCTTGGCAAATGGATGTGATTTTTATGGCATTGTTTATGGAGCTGAATTTTCAGATTGATCATCTTTTTTCTTTCCCAGGGCTCTTCTGGGAAGGAACAGAAACACAGCAGCTCCTCTCCCCCTGTGGGTGGGAAACTGCTCCCTGCACCTCTGAGACAGACAATGGCTCAGGTCCCTCCCCACCACAAGCTCCTCCACAGTTCCCCAGGAATGCCCAGGTAGAGCCCCAGAGCATCAGATGCCTCCCAATCCTCATCCAATTACTCCCCTGAAACTTAGAAGCCCGTGATCAGGAAAAACAAGACCACACAAATAAAACCAAACCAAACAAACAAAAGAAAATCCAGTCCCTGGGCTATTTCATGTTGGCTGGGTCATCTGGGTTGTCTGCTATTCCAATCCTCCATGGAGCCATTTATCTCCTGGTAATCTCTGAGCAGGTGTCTTCCCATCAAACCAACAGGTGCCAGCTCCCTTCCCTTTATTCAGTAACAGAGCAGCGACAAGCTTCCTCTTCCCCTCTGCCAGCCCCAGGTCTCACCTAAGGCTGCAAGCCCCACTCCAGGCTGTATTTGAAAAGGCCTGCCTATTATTCACACCTCAACCTGAGGCCCCCAGCATCTGGCCATCTGCTGTTCCTTGGTAAGAAACAGTGTGCCATCATCACCAGCAGAACCCCACCCCACTCTCATCCCAAACCACTAATCTCCCTTGGGGGCTCAGAGAGTGAGAGCAGACCTGAGAGATAACACAGTCCAACTGTCACCAATAACTACCTAGACTAGTGTATCTGCATCCTCTCCCAAACCTTGGCTCTTCATTTACACACAACAAGGAAGTGTTCTGAGGTCCAACATACGTTCCTCCTCTTATGGATTCATGAAGCATATTAATACCTGAAAGGCACCCAAAGTCCTACAGGGAAGCAACATCTTCTACTGTGTTTAACCCAAGGTTCTCCAAGCTTATTTCACCATGAATTCTTTTCTTTTTATAATGATTGCCATTTTGGAACAAAGTTTCCATGGAATAATTTGGAAACTCTGGACTAGCTGATTCTCTGGGTGCCTTGCAAACCCTGACAGCTTATGATCCTATAAGCTAAACCTCTACAATACTATTGAACATAGCCGAAGATAAGCACACAGCCTCTCTGGGCCCCTAAGGCATGCCTCTATGGTCAATCAAGCCCTGCCTATGGGGCCATTGAAGATCTCTTCATTGCTGTTACCTACCAAAAGGGGAAAGGTTTCAAGGTCTACATCCCCGAATCTCAATTCTACCATTAATCTTTCTACCCACTGCTCCTACAGCAGCACAACTGCAATGGGCTCTTATGAGATGGATTTCAGTTCTATCTCTGCCACTTACAGGCCATGGGGTTTCTCTCAGGCAACTCATTGAAGTCCTCTGAGCCTTAGGGTGGTATGCATAGTTCTAAGATGGTTCCCAAGCTCTCCATTCCAAGTGTACCTCCCTACACAATACCCTCCCCTGGAGTGTGGAGTATCACTCACATGATTAGATTACCAATTAGTTGACTTTGTGTTAATCAAAAGGGAGGTGGTCTTGGGTGGGTCTGACCTAATCAGGAGAGCTCTTTCTAAAAAGGTAGTCAGACTCAGCAACTCCATAACTTGGTATCTACCCAAAGGAAAATAGATCAAACTGCCAAAAAGACACCTGCACTTACATGTTTATCACAGCACTAGTCACAATAGCAAAGACATGGAACCAACCTAGATGCCCAATAAGGGTGGATTGAATAAAGGAAATATGGTACATATACACTGTGGAGTACTATATAGCCATAAAAAGAACAAAATCATGTTCTTTGCAGCAAGATGGATGTAGCTGGAGGTCATTATCCTAAGTGAATTTTTGCAGAAATCAAAAACTAAATACCACATATTCCCACTTGTTAGCAGGAGCTAAACATTGGGTACACATGGACATAAGGATGGGAACGATAGATACTGGGGACTCCAATAGATACTGGGAACTCCACTTTGGGGGAAGGTAGGAAGGGGGCCATGGATTGCAAAACTGTCTATTGGGTACTATGTTCACTATTTGGGTGACGAGTTCAGTTGAAGCCTAAACCTCAGTATCACACAATATATTCATGTAAACAAACCTGCACGTGCACCCCTGAATCTAAAATAAAATAAAACTTAAAATTTCTAAACTGCCCAATTACTATATTTGCACATCCATTTATGCAAACCTAGATGATTTTAAATTTTTTTTACTTAAAAAAATTAAAAGGTGGTCAGAGCCCAGCAATCCCATTACTGGGTATATATCGAAAGGAATATCAATCATTCTATTATAAAGATACATGCAGGCACATGTTCATTTGAGCAGTATTCACAATAGCGAAGACACAGAATCAACCCAAATGCCCATCAGTGATAGGCTGGATGAAGAAAATGTGGTGCATATACACCATGGAATACTATGCAGCAATGAAAAGGAACAAGATTATGTCCTTTGCAGGGACATGGATGGAGCTGGAAGCCATTATCCTCCGCAAACTAACACAGGAACAGAAAACCAAACACCACATGTTCTAACTCATAAGCGGGAGCTGAACAATGAGAACACATGGACACAGGGAGGGGAACAACACACACTGGGGCCTGTGGGTTGAGGGAAGGGGGAGGGAGAGCATCAGGAAAAATAGCTAATGCGTGATGGGCTTAATAATACTTAGGTGATGGGTTGATAGGTGCAGCAAACCACCATGGCACACGTTTACATATGTAATAAACCTGCACATCCTGCACATGTGCCCCGGAAGTTAAAATAAAATAATTTTTAAAGTCTACAGCAAATATTATACTTAGTGGTAATATGTTGAAAGTTTTCCTATTAAGGTTAAGAAGCTGTACTGGCAATCCTAGCTACTATCTGATCATTTCTGATAATGATCAGAAATGAAGAAATAAAAGTTTCATTATCCCAAAAAAGAAAAAAAAACAAAAAGGTGGTCAGAGAATGCTCCCAACCCCCACCCCGTGTGCCTCAGCAAGGAGGAGCAAATAGCCACAGTGAGTTGCCTATGGATGGAATCACTGGGCTGGGAGCTGAGGGTGGCCTTCAGTTCTGAGAGCAACCTCAAGCCAACAGTCAGCAGAAAATAGGGACGACCGCAGCAAAGTGAATTCTGCAAACAACCCAGATGAGCTTAGGAAGGGACCCTCAGCCTCAGTGAGATCACAGCTCTGGCTAACACCTTGCTTTCATGCTCGTGAGACTCTGAGCAAAGAACCCAACTACATCATGCCTGGACTTCTGACCCGTAGAAGCTGTGAGATAATAAACAAGCATTGTTTAAAGCCAGTAAGTTTCACAATGTGTTATGCAGCAAGAGAAAACAAACACTCTATTCTGTAAGGTGGAAATAATACCTTCCTCGTAAGTGCTTGTGAGGATCCAACGGTGTGGTGTCTGTTACATGCTCAGCACAGAGCCCAGCACATACTAGATGTTCAATCATCATTTTAAAACAAAGATAGTAACAACATATACTATTTGAGATTATTGTGAGGATGAAAAGGCAAAAATGCATGTAAAATGCTCAAAAACATTCGTGCCCACAAAGATGACAACTATGATTGAAGCATAGGACAGGCCATGAGAGGTGACAGCAAAGTTATATAAGATCATATGTTCCTTTCCAGCCACAGCCTTCCTCCTGCCCAGGAGGACCTTGAGCTCCCTCTCACAGCACACTTGATTGCTACCCGCCACTGCCGGATGCCTTCCAGGAGCCTGATCACTTCTATTCTTTTGTACATCTTTTTCTCACTCTTTTAAGACTGTCCCTGGGTGTGCCTTAGGATTAAGGTGTGCTGATGGGGATTTCCACCTTGTGAAAAAAAAGAAACTTCTCAAGAGTAGATTAACAAATTTAACCTCCTGGAAGTAAGAAGGTCTTACCAAGTTTCCAAATTCTACTCACCAGAAGGTCAAAGCCTCGTTGACAGTTCATCATGATTTTATTCCATTGCAAGCATTTATTGTGGGCCAACCACATGTTGAGCCTGTGCTAGGCGTTGAGAATAAGACAGCAGCCCTGGACACAAGAAGCTCCCAGTGTGTTATGGGTGCAAACAGATAATGACAATGATAAAATTTCCATCAGGGACCCAGCCTTGCACTGGAATCCTGCAGACCTATGTAGCTGTGCATATCAAAGGAGAGACAATGACTATTTCTTTGGGGCAGACATCGGATGCCCAGTTATAAGATTTTCAAGTAGTTCATTATCAAGACTGCCTGCTAATTCTAAGGAAGCAACCACCCACTTAGGGGAAGAACACACCCTGAATGAAGATAGAGTACCTGAATCAGGTGTACCTGTGGATCCAAGGAGGAGAAAGTCAGCAGGAAGAAAATACTGAGAGCCACACTGTGTGAGCACTCACCATCTCCTACCCCTGGCAAAAAATAAAGAGGAAAAAACTTGTGTGGAAGTCTCAGAGAGGGACATTCTGGCAAATTTATTCAAAAGTCCAAGGGATTACTAAGTACCTGGACATTGTAGATTACAAATGCAGGGTGGGGAGCGCGGGGCGGGGGGCAGGTTGCAATTTTAAGTAAGCGGTTAGTGTGGTCTCATCAAGAAAGTGAGACTTGGCCGGGCGCAGTGGCTCACACCTGTAATGCCAGCACTTTGGGAGGCTGAGGCAGGCAGACCACCTGAGGTCAGGAGTTCAAGACCAGCTTGGCCAACATAGTGAAACCCCATCTCTACAAAAATACAAAAATTAGCTGGGCATGATGGCGGGTGCCTGTAATCTCAGCTACTTGGGAGGCTGAGGCAGGAGGATCGCTTAAACTTGGGAGGTGGAGGTTGCAGTGAGTCAAGATTGCACCATTGCACTCCAGCCTGGGCAACAGAGTGTGAGACTGTCTCAAAAAAAAAAAAAAGAAAAAAAGAAAAAAAAGTGAGACCTGAACAAAGACTTTAAGGAAATGTGAGTATGCCAATAAGATACCTTGAAAAAGAGTTTTTCAGCCAAGGAAATAGCTAGAACAAAGGCCCCAGGGCAGAACCTCATCTGGGAGCAGCAAGAAGGTCATTGATGCTAAAGCAGAGTGAGCCACAGTGAGGATAGTAGCATATAAGGTAAAAGCAGGGAGGAGGGAGGGCTTCAGCTTTCACTCCAAGGGGAATAGGGAGCCACTGCAGAGTTTTGAGCAGGGGAGTGACGTAATCTTTCTTAGGCTTTAAAAAGATCCTTGTGGTTGTTATAACGGTGATATGGTTTGGCTGAGTCCCCACCCAAATCTTACCTTGAATTGTAATAATCCCCACATGTCAAGGGCAGAACCAGACAGAGATAGTTGAATCATGGGGGCAGATTCCCTCATACTGTTCTCATGGTAGTGAATAAGTCTCATGAGATCTGATGGTTTTATAAATGTGGGTTCCCCTGCACAAACTTTCTCTTGCCTGCCATCATGTAAGATGTGACTTTGTCCCTCCTTGCCTTCCGTCATGATTGTGAGGCCTCCGCAGCCATGTGGAACTGTGAATCAATTAAACCTCTTTCCTTATAAATTACCCAGTCTCAGGTATGTCTTTATTAGCAACGTGAGAACAGACTAATACAAATGGGAATGAGAGGAATAGTAGAATCAGAAAGACCTATTAAGAGGGTACTACAGTGACTCAGGTGTGAGATGAAGGTGGCTCCAACCACAGTGGGAGCAGTGGAAGCATGAGAAATGGTCAGATTCCATATATATATATATATATATTTTAACGTAGAGCCAAAAGTAGAGTATTTCCTGGTAAACTGAAGTGTGTGAGAGAAAGGAGAAAAAGATGACTACATTTTTTGGCCTAAGGAGCAACTAGAAGGTTGGAGTTGTCATCAGCAGAGACAGAAAAGGCCATAGGTAGAGCAGATTTGGAATGGGTTGAGGGAGGGGGTCAGCGGTTCTGTTTGGGGCAGGTTGAGCCTGAGAAGTCTACCAGAATTCAGGCAAATGCAAGAAGGTTGTGCACTTCTAAATAGGTCAGAGAAGGCTTACCGAAGCTATTGGATATGCGAGTCTGAAGTTCAGGAGAGAGGTAAACATTGAGGTCATCAGTATACAGCTGATATTTCAAGTCGCAAGACTAAGTGAGATCATATAGAGAAGATGAACAAAGCCACCATTAGGAGGCCTAGCAAAAGAGATGAGAAAGCAAAGGAGGTGAGGGAGAATCGTCTGGGCAGATCATCTGGGAGAGCGAGTGGCACCACCTGAATCAAAACATTGCTGATAGGTCAAGCAAGATGCAGGCTGAATACTGTCCACGAGATCTAGCCATGAGGGAGTCACTGGTTACCTTGACAAGAACGGTTTCAGCATGGTGGTGGGGAGAAGGCCTTATTGGCTGGTGCCAACTCTTTTGAGGACTTTTCCGTAGTAAGAAGCAAAGATATGGCAGGAGATTAAAAGAGAAATGGGATCAAGAGAAGGATTTTCTTCCCATTGGAGCATAATAGCAATACGTTTATATGCAGACTGAAATGGTCCAATATAGTGCTAAAAGTTGATGATATGTACGAGAGGAAAGAACCGCAGGAGGTGAGAGGGGGAGGAATGCACACCCTGGTGGAGGAGTTGGCTTTGGAGAGCAGCACAGACAGTTCATCCACAGTATCATGCGGGAAAGGCAGAGCATGAATGGGCAGATGCTGGTAGTTGGTAGATGCAGTGGTAGAAGTTTGTGGAAGTCCTCCTTTGACTGTCTCCATTTTCTCAATGAAGTAGGAAGTAGGAGAGGTGTCTTGTGAGAAACCTTAGGGCTTGCTGCCATCATTGACAGGGTGTTCACACACATATTTATCAAGCTTTTGCTCCCGGCCACATACTGAGCTCTTGACATGCAGCATCTTCACAACAGTCTCCAGATTTTAGTCACTATATACCCTTTAAAGATGGAGAAATGAGGCTCCAAATGATTAAGCAAATTGCCCTTATCACCTGGCTGATAAGGCTAGAGCCAGGATTCAAACAGCAGCCTGACGCGCTGCAAATCCTGTGCTCGTAACTGGGGTGGGAGTGGAGGGCAGAAGCAAGGGAGGTGCGTGGAGAGAAGAAACTTGCCCTGCCCCAAGGCGGTGATGGGCCAGAAGGAGGGGACTGGCTTGGCTGCCTCAAAGACCTGTGAATGAAGGACTTAGTCAGTGAGTTGCTCAGATGTTCCCCACACCTGCCAGGTCCCTTTTGGGGGCTCTCACCATGTTTTACACATATCTTAATTAAATACAGTGCTTCTCATGGTCTATTAGACTCTATTACCATGTGCCTCAGCCTTCCCTCAACCACGTCAGCCAGATGCAGGATATCTGAGAAACATAGGTATTTCTGCATTCATTTCCTGTTGTTGCTAAAACAAATCACCACAAACTTAGTAGCTTGGAACAACACAAATGTATTACCTTTTTTTTTTTTTTTTCTTGAGATGGAGTTTCACTCTTGTTGCCCAGGCTGGAGTACAGTGGTGCTATCTCGGTTCACCGCAACCTCCACCTCCCAGGTTCAAGCAATCCTCCTGCCTTAGCCTCCAGAGTAGCTGGAATTACAGGCACCCGCTGCCATGGCTAATTTTTGTAATTTTTAGTAGAGACGGGGTTTCACCATGTTGGTCAGGCTGATCTGGAACTCCTGACCTCAGGTGATCCACCTGCCTCGGCCTCCCAAACTGCTGGGATTACAGGCATGAGCCACCGCCCCCCAGCCACAAATGTATTATCTTACAGTTACGGAGGTCAGAAGTCTGACGCAGGTCTTACTGGCTAAAATCAAGGTGTTGGTAGGGCTTTGTTCCCTTCCAGAGACTCCAGGAAAGAACCTATTTCCTTACCTTTTCCTGCTTCCAGAGGCTGCCTGCATCTCTTGGCTCATGGCTCCTTCCTCCATCTTCAGAGTAAGCAATGCTGGCTGAGTCCCTTTTGCATAGAACCTCTCTGACCTCTTCTACCTTCTTCTTCCTTTTTTAAGGACCCTTGTAATTACATTGAGCCCAACCAGATAATCCGTTCATTGTGCTCACAGGTTCAGAAGAGAGACAAAAGGGTTGATATTATTCTGCCTGCCAAAATGAGTCTAAACGTGTAACTCATAGCCTGCACAAGTCACACCTCCAGTACACTAGTTTGCAAGTCCTTATGGTCTTCATTCATTCATGCGGGAGTCTGGGCTTTAGGAACCAGCCTTGGTCTGGGAGTCGTTTTCCCGCCTCCCCTACAATGTTTATTTTATTTAATGGATGTGTTATTTTGCCCAGAAAGCCTGCAGAATGTCTGAAATGAAAAAGGATTTTGTGTCTAAACCACTGTGTGCTCCGGGAGGTGTGGGAGGTGCGGGAGGGTGTGGGGAGTGGGATGGGGTGGAGACGGGACTGGTCCCCTCCATTTTCCCAGCATCTTTTCCACTCCTTCCCTGGCCAGGATATAACAGATGTATGGGGTGAGCCCTGGTAGGTTGTGGGGATTTTCCTGACAAACTTTGTTAGCAGGGCTATTTAAATCATTCTAATTACTCCAGAAACACCCCATTAAGTTTCCCAGTGAGGCATGCCGAGGAAAAGGGCGAGGAGAAATTAAGGAGAGGCTGAACGAGAAAAACTGCCACAGACCTGCCATTCGGCTCCTGCAGCCCCAGGTAAAGTTTGCTTAAAACAAGGAGGCAGGGGAGGGAGCCAAGGGCAAAAGAGAAAATAAACAGATAGTGTCAGGTCCTGCCATTAGAAATGCAAAATTCATTAGACAAACATTGATTGCAAAGAATTGATTTCGTAGTGATTTGATTGTCAGGCATACACTACATCCAAGGAAATTTTTCATTATAATTCAGAATTTGTTAAAAAGAAGCAAAGACAGGAAGGCAGTGGAGCAAGGACGTGCTGCGGCGAATACCTGCTGTCGGGGACCCACACCTGGCCTGGGAGCTGCCTTGCAAGACGACCCTATTATTGCACCAAGGAACTAGTGATCTGCTTGTTGCTGCCACAGCACATATCAGTCTGTGTACTCTGTGAAGAGGCATAGACCCCTGGGACATGACCCCATCATATGGGCTGGTTGGGACAGTTTCTCTGTTGCTTCCACCTCCCAGTTGGAGAGACCACACTCCAGCCTAGGTACCCCTCTACTGTTCCTCCCTCTTCCCCTGAAGAGCAACTGTGCAGCTGAGTCTGGGGCCAGATAAAGAACAGGGGCTTCTGATGACCAAGGATGCCCAGCTGAATGCTGCCCTGGCCCAGCAGCCCGTTCCTCAGAGGGCTTTGCTAAGCTTTGCTCCCTCTCACTGCACACCCTGCCTGTGGTCCTGGGGCTTCTCCCCTCTTCTCTCTCATCCTACTGCTACTTCTCACTCCTCTAGGTCCCTGGAAAAGCCAGGTCCTTCCAGTTTGGAATCCCAGTGTATTCCTTCTGGCTTCCAGTCTTGACTTCACCTTTCTCACCAACATGGATTTGCTAGAAAAAAACTTGACATTTCTCTGTCCCATCTTTGCAGCCCTTGACAAAAGCCAGGCCCCTCAGCTGACTCTGAAAATGGCTTCCTATCCGCTGAAATCACTTGGATATTTTCTAGCTTATTATTGAGCAATTTATTCTAGCAGGCTCTGTCCCCTTCCTTGCACATGAGTTCTGCCATCATCTACCCTCCTGCCTCCTGTCCCTTTTCTTGCCTGGTACTGTTTCCTCTCGCCTCTCTTTTACCAAACACCAACCACTAGCTTTTCCCAGCCCTGCTCCTTTAATCCCCTGGACAACTGGCTGAGTGTAGGATCTTCTCCATCACTCAGGGCTTAAACGTCATCTCCCTTTTCAAGGTTTCCTGACCTCTTACCCTAGATCCTCCTCTATAAAATGAAGTGATGATAACAACTTGCCTATCCACCACAGAGGATCAGATATAATCATACCATGTAAGTGCTTTGCAAACCGAAAGGGCTACTCAAATGTAAGCTGCGTTATGTCTCCAGTTGAGGGATTCACAATACAATTTGCATTTTGAAAGCAATCCTTAGTTATTAAATATTTAAGAAATACTTTTGGCCAGTGATTCTCAAGCCTAGATGAAAAATAGTGATTCCATTGTTCTGGGTTGAGACTTGAGTAAAGGATCTTTGAAAGTCCCCAGGTCCTGGTCCCGGTCCCTCTCCCTCTCCCTCTCCCCACGGTCTCCCTCTCCCTCTCTTTCCACGGTCTCCCTCTGATGCTGAGCCGAAGCTGGACTGTACTGCCGCCATCTCTGCTCACTGCAACCTCACTGCCTGATTCTCCTGCCTCAACCTGCCGAGTGCCTGCGATTGCAGGCGCGCGCCGCCATGCCTGACTGGTTTTCGTATTTTTTTGGTGGAGACGGGGTTTCGCTGTGTTGGCCGGGCTGGTCTCCAGCTCCTAACCGCGAGTGATCTGCCAGCCTCGGCCTCCCAAGGTGCGGGGATTGCAGATGGAGTCTCGTTCACTCAGTGCTCAATGTTGCCCAGGCTGGAGTGCAGTGGCGTGATCTCGGCTCACTACAACCTCCACCTCCCAGCCGCCTGCCTTGGCCTCCCAAAGGGCCGAGATTGCAGCCTCTGCCCAGCCGCCACCCCGTCTGGGAAGTGAGGAGCGTCTCTGCCTGGCCGCCCATCGTCTGGGATGTGAGGAGCCCCTCTGCCCGGCTGCCCAGTCTGGGAAGTGAGGAGCACCTCTTCCCGGCCGCCATCCCGCACCTCTTCCCGGCCGCCATCCCGTCTGGGAAGTGAGGAGCGTCTCTGTCCTGCCGCCCATCGTCTGAGATGTGGGGAGCGCCTCTGCCCCGCCGCCCCGTCTGGGATGTGAGGAGCGCCTCTGCCCATCCGCGACCCTGTCTGGGAGGTGAGGAGCGTCTCCGCCCGGGCAGCCGCCCCGTCTGAGAAGTGAGGAGCCCCTCCGCCCGGCAGCCGCCCCGTCTGAGAAGTGAGGAGCCCCTCCGCCCGGCAGCCGCCCCGTCTGGGAAGTGAGGAGCCCCTCCGCCCGGCAGCCGCCCCGTCTGGGAAGTGAGGAGCCCCTCCGCCCAGCAGCCGCCCCATCTGGGAAGTGAGGAGCGTCTCTGCCCGGCAGCCACCCCGTCTGGGAGGTGGGGGAGCAGCCCCCGCCCGGCCAGCCGCCCCGTCCGGGAGGGAGGTGGGGGGTCAGCCCCCCCACCCGGCAGCCGCCCCATCCGGGAGGGAGGTGGGGGGCAGCCTCCGCCCGGCCGCCGCCCCATCCGGGAGGTGGGGGGCACCTCTGCCCGGCCGCCCCTTCTGGGAAGTGAGGAGCCCCTCTGCCCGGCCGCCACCCCGTCTGGGAGGTATACCCAACAGCTCATTGAGAACGGGCCATGATGACGATGGCGGTTTTGTCGAATAGAAAAGGGGGAAATGTGGGGAAAAGATAGAGAAATCAGATTGTCTCTGTGTCTGTGTAGAAAGAAGTAGACATAGGAGACTCCATTTTGTTCTGTACTAAGAAAAATTCTTCTGCCTTGGGATGCTGTTGATCTATGACCTTACCCCCAACCCGGTGCTCTCTGAAACATGTGCTGTGTCCACTCAGGGTTAAATGGATTAAGGGCGGTGCAAGATGTGCTTTGTTAAACAGATGCTTGAAGGCAGCATGCTGGTTAAGAGTCATCACCACTCCCTAATCTCAAGTACCCAGGGACACAAACACTGCGGAAGGCCCCAGGGTCCTCTGCCTAGGAAAACCAGAGACCTTTGTTCACTTGTTTATCTGCTGACCTTCCCTCCACTATTGTCCTATGACCCTGCCAAATCCCCCTCTGCGAGAAACACCCAAGAATGATCAATTTAAAAAAAAAAAAAAAAAAAAAGAAGTTACAGGAAGGACGCACTTAAAAAAAAAAAAAGAAAGAAAGAAAGTCCCCAGGTAATGCAAATTTTCAGCCAGGGTTGGGAATCAATGATTTGTACTTGACTTTCACGTTATTATGGAGCCATCAGCTATCTATCCACTTGGTCCAGGAATAAACTCCCCTTCACCTACTTTCCTTCCTTATTTTTTTCACCCACAGTGGGTCTTTGGGAAGAGATGTGTAAAGGAGATGAGTCCTAGAATTTGAGAGACTGAAGACGGACCTTGGGAAGATAATCCACCCCCCTCTGAAGTTTCACTTCCTAGGGGGCACCCACAGAGGAAGAGGGAAGCTCTCCTCCTCCTTCTAACAGCAACACAGCTGCAGGGATGCAACAACTAAGCCCCTGCTTCCTGTTTCCTCTTTTAGACATCTTGCCTGCCTCACCCTTGTCCTGGCCCTGCCTCTTCCTCTTCCTAACATTCAAATCTGACTCTAGTGTTGACTTTATTCAGTCATCCATGTGTGAGACCCAACCTTTGCTAACAGGTGGCAACCTCTTTCATGAAATATAAGGTGCCATCATTTGTAAAATGCACCATCATGCTATGTATCACTAAGAAAGAAATGCGTGTTGTCAAATAAACTGTGAGATGGCATTGATAGTAAGATGCATTTCGACTTCAGGGACGCTAAAATGTGAACCAATGTAGAATTGATGAAACACAAATTCCACTCACTGATTCCACCTCTTGTCCCCCCACCTCTTGTCCGCCATCATGTATTTGATGTTCATCAGCTGCTTCTCTGGGACTGAGTCACCTCAGACCTCTAGTTTCCCCTCACTCTGAAATTCCTGACTCCCTCTAGCTGTTGGCTAAAAAGAGAAGAAGAAAAGTATTCCTGTTCTCAATCCTCTCAGCCTTCTCCATCCTAAAGAGCTGGTCTGGTGAAAACCTTGAAACCAGGGAAGGCTGGGTCCAAGGGGCCAAGGAGTCAAGGGGTGTGGGGGAATATTTGCAAAGGGAAAGGTCCTTTTGTCCCAGACAAAGCCCCATTGGAGCAGCCTTTGTCCCCACCATAATGCACTGGCAGGAGCCACCACCACTCAGGCAGTATTCACGGGAACATGCATACTAAATGCCAAACACTGAGCTGAATGCTGGGGGCACAATGGTAGCTAAGACTTGCTCCCTGACCTCAGGCATCCATCTAAGTCTAGACAGCTGCCAACTCTAAACATGTGTAAGTTCTCTATGATGGGGCATGATCTAAATGAGGGAGTTGCTAACTCTGGTTGAGGCTGGGGTGAAAGTCAGGAAAGATGTCACAGAAGTGACAACAAGCCACGTCTAAAAATATAAAGAGAAAACTAACAAGCCAAGAAGAGGGGGTATTCCAGGCAAAGGGAAAAGCATAAACAAAGAAACCCAGGTATAAAAAGTCAAGCATATTGAGGAGCTGCAATGGTCCCAGGTGCGTCATGAGGGGTCGTATTGGGAGAATGGCAAGGGATACAATGGAGCCTGGTTGTGAACATCCTGAATGATAAGCTACAGAGTTAAGACTCTGGCCCTCACAATAGGGAGTCATGAAAGGTGTTTGAGCAGAAGCGTAGCATGCCTTCTATGCATGCATGTAGCTTACTTGGTGGCTTAGGACTTCTGTTAACTGAATAGATCTTGGTGACCTTCTGACCCATGGCCTCCTCATATTACCATGTTGTTTCATAGGCTCTACCCCACTTCTGCTTCTGGAAGAGCTGAAATTCCAAGAATGTCATAGATACATTAGAGGGCTTACCTTGGGGGAAATCCTCGGAAGCAATTAATGAGATCATTAGCCCTAACCCAGGTTGCAGCAACAGAATCTACTCCCTGCTGCAGCTCATGGGGCTGGGGTCTGGAAGACCTCTTATCAGGACCATTTGGGAAGAGGAAAGGGTTCCAAGGTGGGAGGGAGTTTGATGAGAGAAGTCAAATATGAGCTCCTGGTCAGCAAATGTCACATAGATCAATCCTCCAAGGGACAAAGCCATTGGCCTGAAGAGATGATATGTGCAGGGAAAGCTGTCTCTATCCACGGTCTTAAATGATGATTCTCAGGCATTGTGAGTAAAAGCCAGTGATCCTTCTGAGGAGTGAAATTTGCTAAAAGGACAGCCAGAATTGCTGTAATGAGCACATCCATTAATTTTATTCTACACTGCAGGAATAGTCGCCATGACGACTCAGGCTTTCCCACTAGGGTTGAGATGCTCCTGGGGATCAAGAGGGACCCCAGTCTTGGGCACCCTGTGTTTGAAGACAAGGTCAGCGAGAAGGGACTTGGGAGTTTTTTCATGAGAGTCATTTCCTGACAAAGAAAGAGGCAGTGTATTAATTAAGATAATGCTAGCTGCTGACACAAATAAACGCAAAATCTCAGTGGTTCTACCCAATGGAAGTTTTATTTCTTCCTCTCATAGGAAAGTGCTATGCTTCAAGGAGTCAATTAAGAACCCAGACTGATAAAACTTTGCTGCCATCAACATGTGGTTACCCCATGACCACCCTGGGCACTAACTTCCAGCCAGCAAGTAGGGGAAGGCAGGGAATCCATGCCCAGAAGGGCATCATGAACAAGGCCTGGAACTGGTATAGGTCAACCACCTCCTCCCACATCCTCAACATTCTATGTTCAGAGCTCAGTCACATGGCCCACGTAGGTGCAAGGAATGATGGAAGCCCCTATCCTGGGGATTCATACTGTAGAAGCGAAACCTCAGTCTTGCTAGACAGTAAGCCATCTGCCCCAGGAAGCCCAACGTAAATGAGGGAAAAAGAACTGGGTTGAGAGTCCAAGAGTGCCACGTCCACTCTAAGCTCTCTCACCATCAAAATGTGTAATCTCTAAGTCCCTTTCCTCCTGGGCCTCGGTGCCTTCACCCCTATAATAGTGGGGGGTGGATTTAATAGTCTCTGGAAGCCTTTGACCATAATGCTGAGGTTCAGGCTGCACTGTGGGAAAGAAAGAGTTACCCAAGTTCCACCCAGCGAGCCACCTTCTGGGCACAGAGTCACACTTCTTCAGGAAGACTGCACCAGGCCACAGTCTCACTCCCAACTTGACATCATATAAATGGGGCCCCAGAGAGGCTGGAAATTGAACAGTCCCCACAGGAGAGGAAACATGAAAGGTTACATGATTCGAGCCCACACGGGGGTCCAAGTGACCTTTCCTTGAGTGGAAAGACACAGGTTGCCGGTCCAGTGACCAATAAGGCAGACAGCACCAGGAGCTGGACTGCCCCCAGGGACCACAAGGATGGAGTAGGAGGGCTCATTCTGCCAGAGTCACAAAGGTGAGCACACTGAGTGCAGGCAGGAAATGCTGGAGCTATATGGAAATAGACACACAACCCATCCGTTACCACAAACACACAGAGAATTTACATGGCATTTACATATCCACAGTCAGGTACACATTGTAAATGCACACACAGGGATGTACATACATACATAAGTGCACATAGATGGGTACACAGTCAGTACATACTTGCCTGGGGCAGACAAGGGTGGACTTGTAGATACAGTTGTTTGTGAATGGGTATACACACTTATATACGCACGGGGGCATTTGGATATTGCACCAGGACCCATGGTGGATACACAATTAGGTATATGTAAATGGATACATCAGCTCATTTACACAGAATTCACAGCATTCTCATGGTTATACACAGATAGAAACCCACCCAGGAATACATACACGGGAACACACGGACGCAGCCACCCATACATGACTAAGATCATGGGACTATCCACACATATACGTAGAGCACACACAGGTGAACGCCTCACAGTTAACCACATAATCCCAGGATGCACACAAATGGGAAGTGGGAAGCTAGTCCTCACCCCTGGTCAGTTATGTCAACCCTAGGCAAATCATTTCCTCTCTTTGGGCTTCATTATCCTCATCAGTAAAATATGGGGGCGGGACTAGGAGGCCTCTAAATGCCAGTTCTGAACTGACTGATAAATGTTGACAATTAAATTAAGAGATGTGGCCCCTGTCCCTGGGGTGCTTCCAGTCTAAGGAGAAGTGGGCAAACGCAGTCCAGAAATGACAGGAAAGCACATAGACAGCAATAAATGTGTGAGTGACTTAATGGTGCCATCTATGCAGATAGGCAGGGTCTGAGGAGTTAGAATAAAGATGGCACCAGAGCTTCCCTTAAAGCCAACTTGGTTCCTCAACTGGATGATGATGTGAGCCAGATGGCTTGCCGTCCCTTCCTGCCAGGGCAGACTGCAGAGGCCAGGTTTTAAGGGGGATTTAGGAAGGAAGGGATGAGGCAGGGCTATCTTTCAAGCCTTGGGACCATAGAGGACAGGCAAATCTGTCCAGGGGTCCCCCAGAAGGCCAGCACCATGCTAGAAGGCGCAGACTGGCAACATGCTGTGAGCTGTAAGAAACAGCCTTAGTGATAGGCTAGATGCTGATCACTCTGCCAACATGAAGCCCACCGCAATCCTCTGGCTTAGGAAACTCCATAAAGTGGCCCCAGGATAGATCTGTGCACTCTTTCTTCTGTTGTCAAGTGGCTCATCACTCCCTGCAGGATAATGCTGGCCAGCATCCAGGAGGTGAGTTTTTACATAGTATGGGCACCTGGATACAAGTGTATCTGTATATGTGTGTATATGTGTGAGGCTTCTTGTATCCATTTCCTGTGTCTCCAGGCACATGCTTGACTGTCTACACTACATAGGTCTAACTGTTTAATCCTTGCTCACCTGGTCCTTTTGGGTAATATACACATAAATATGCAAATTGTGTGTAAATGTCTTTGTACATATTTTTTGTCCATTCGCCAGTACCCAGATATAAACCATTTCCTGTGTCCCTGCCCTGGCTTGTATAAGGTAGGGAGAAATCCTCTGCCCTCTTCTCCATCTGCCTCCTTTCCCTGGCTCTCTCCTTACCTAATTGGTAAGGCTGGGAAAAGACAGGGTCATGGCACCTGCACGGCTGGCATCAGTGGTACAGTGCTCATGTTCTCTCCTCCTCAGCCACAGGTAAGCTGGCCACAGCAGGCTCTGCCCGAGAGCAAGGAGGCCTGCAGGTGTCTGGATTCTTGGCTTGCAACTCTGGGCAACCTCTAAGCAGAAGGCAAGGGTAGGAAGTCCATGGGAGCTTTATGTCTTTAAATCAAGTTCGTTAATGATAAAGCTAGCATGCTGACAAATCTAATTGGAGTGCATTTTATAAGCCACAAGCTGCTGATTGTAAAACAAACCCCAATTTCAGAAATGTGAAAATATATATGTCATAAAAAAGTGATGAGATAGAGGAATATCTTGATCCCTGTCTGCCTGTTGTGTCTATTTTTCACTTGGTTCAGAAATTGGTGGGAAGAGAAATACAGTGATCACCCCCAAATCACTATACATTTGCACATACCTGTACACAGGGGGTATCTGTGCATATCCGACCATTTTAGCCAGGCCTGAGGTGTCTGTCCATCTGTGGGTTACTGTTTGTGTACACTGCTTGCTGAGAAACTGCACTTGTGTGTGTGCATCGCTGAGCATGTAACAGCTACACACACAGGTGTTTTAATGGGAGTGTGTGTGAATGATTTCCTGGGTGCCTGTACTTGTCAGCATGTGCTGTCTTTGTGTGTGAATGTGAGTCATCGCCCCCAACCTGGACTCCCTAGCCATCATCCTGAAAGGCCACCGGCTATAAACAAGGAGTTACAAGAGCACCACGGCCCCTCTTCCTTGCTCCTTCACTCTCCTTGTGCTGGCTTCTCCCTCTCCAGGAGAGGTCACCCAGAGGTGCCTCCAGAGTCAGGCCCCGCCTCGCCTGTCTGAGAACAACAGGCACAAAGCAATCTAGTAATTAGTAATAATCGTGTCTCCCTGACAAGCCATTATTTCACTAGAACAAAGAAGGAGCTCAGGGGGCTCCAAGGGCCAGGAACAAGAAGGCTGGAAGAATGACTCCTTTACATCTCTGGGTTTGGTGGAATCTGGGGACTCCTCAGAGCAAAGCAGGGGCCTTTGCTCTGTCAGGGCCTCAGTCTCCTCCCCATCCCCATCCTTCCATCCTCTCCTGCCTCCTTTCTCTCCCTTGCCCAAGTGTCCAGACAGCCCTTACTTCCCAGTCCTGCAGAGGGAATGAACTGGATCGGGCACCAAGGAACCCAGACACAGCCCAAGGCTCAGGGCAGAAGCACAGGAACAACTGACAGGGAAGACCTGGACTTGCCAGTCCACTGCCCATGGACTTGAACTCAGCAGGACATACATTTTGCAGAACAGAGTGAGCATGAGGCTGCCTTAGAAAATATGTCCTACAGGACATGCCTCAGCACCCAGCCTAGCACTCTGGTCTCACTGATGCTTCTGAAGACAGATAAGTTCTTAATCCCTTCAGCATTTGGGGGGACATTCAGGAGTACACAAAAGTCCAGAAGGCCTGGTCCTTTCCCTTGAGGGGCTTAAATCCAACAGGAAAGAAAGGAAATGTCCACAGATGACTGAAATACAGAGCACAAAGAAAAAGCACCATAAAAAAAAATGGCCAACAAGTGCTATGGGAGATGAGACCACTGCCACCTAGGGAAACTGAGAAACACTTCCCAGAAGAGGCCATTAAAAATTAAGAAATAGAGCCGGCGCGATGGCTCACACCTGTAATCCCAGCACTTTGGGAGACTGAGACGGGTGGATTACTTGAGGCCAAGAGTTCAAGACCAGCCTGGCCAACATGGCAAAACCCCGTCTCTACTCAAAATGCAAAAATTAGCCGGGCATGGTGGCACATGCCTGTAGTCCCAGCTACTTGGGAGGCTGAGGCACAAGAATAGCTCGAACCTAGGAGGCAGAGGTTGCAGTGAGCTGAGATTGCACCACTACACTCCAGCCTGGGTGACGGAGTGAGATTCCATCTTTTAAAAAAATTGAGAAATAAAGGATTCAAAAGGAGAAGATGGGTACAGGGCATTTTAGGTCCAGGGAATTATGAAGATGCCATCAAGATGATGATGGTGATGACGACAATAGCAATGATAAACATCAAGGATGACAATGAAAAAATGTTGTCATCCCCCTCTAGCATCTTTTCCTTGGGCAAACTCAGCCACACTGCTCCCTGCTGCCTGACCAAGTCCAGGCTCCCTGACCTCTCTGGCTTCTGCTTCCTGGAATTTCTGAAACATTGACATGTCCAGTCTGCCCTCCACAGCAGATCCACTGTGATATGGTAGGAGATAGGTCTTTGGTCCTGGCTCAATTACAGGGCAGGCTGAGAATAGATGAGAAGATAATAAAAGGAAAGGGAAAAAAAGATAATACTTTGCATCTGTATAATGCTTTATAGCTTTCAAAGCACTTTTATATACATTATCTCATGTTTGCAAGAAAGGTAATATCGACCACATTGCAAAGATGATAGCCAGACTCAGAGAGGTGGGGGTTAGCCAAGATCACGCTGCTGGCCTCGGCTCCATCTGCTGCTCCACCACTGTGCCTGGGAGGGCACGTGTGGGCCCATTTTGAGCCCATTCTAGAGGGCACAGGTGTGCGCTCTGAGGATCAATCTCACCACAGTGCGCCCTTCTACTAAACATCCAGAAGGACGACAGGGGTCATATGTCCAGCAAAGCCATGGCCAAAGGGCCAAGCCCAGATTCCCGTATCTAATTCTATCCCTTCGCAGCATCATGCTGTGCACCCAGCAGGGACCCAGCCATCTCAGAGATGCTCCACCAAAACTGATAAGGGGATCCCAGTTGCCTACAGAGCAAGTGAGCCTTCCACAACCTGGCCCAACCTGATCTCCCCCTACCCCTCCTTGTCCCTCTATTTCTTCCACAATAGCAGGATGCTCACCATTCATCTCCCAAACTCACCTGCACTCCTCGCCTCTCTGCCTTTGCTTTTCAGTCCCCTCCACCTTACACATCCTTCGCTTGCCTTTCTGCTGACCTTCAGACTTTATCTCCTTCATGAGGTCTCCCTCTCCCATCCACATCAGCATCCATCTCTCTTCCGCCAGCACTTTCTCTCTGCCTCAGTACTGCACCTCTCCCAGCCTGCCAGGTCGCAGAGCAATGGGTAAATTCTTCCTCCTCCCATAGTGGACTGCGGGCCATAGAAAACCATGGGGCAGGCCTCCTCACTCCCTTTCCCACCCCCAATACACACACAGTAGTTACTTGGTTCATATTTATTTAATGTTGTTTCATGTAAAAGGTCACAGTAACTCTCATCAGTACAGCTGCTGAGCCTTACATTGCAGGACAGGGTCCCACCAGGATGGTCTGAGGGTAGAACCAGGATGTCAATCTGGGCTGGTTGCAGATCTGGCTGCTCTGGGGCAGAGGAATACAGATGAAGTGTTCCAGGCCTGCCAGGCTCTGAAAGCCCTACAGGAACGACCCACCTGGGAACCCCTATTAGCGACCGCCTCTCTCAATCAGGTCTGCCCAGGGAAAGAAAGACACTGAAGACCATTCAGATCCCCAGAAATGTCAACACTCCTTGAAAGAGGTCTCCACTGGCCCGGAAATCTCCAGGCTGCCTGCACTTGTGATAAGCACAATAAATAAAACAATGAGACCCATTTGAAGGCACTTGTGAGACAGTAGAGCTTTGAGAATTTGACTTTGATGAGTTTGAAAGGCAGAGGAAAGAAAGAAGAATGAGTTTCCTCTTGGGCTCAGGTTTGTTTATCCCGCTTCTCGGGAATCCGAGCTTACAAGGTTGATGGTTTCAAAGGCCTCTAAATGTTTCTGGAATCCCAGACCAGGCTACAGTGGGCCTGAAGGCTCCTGTTTGCCTGGCCCCAGAAAAGGCACAGCCACATCAGCTCCCTGGAGGATTCCTGCCGGGGCCGAGAAGCAGGCACAGGTGGGAGCTCACCAAGCTGGAGCCCACCCTTGGGAGTGTGCAGAGGAGGCGAGGCAGCTCCACGTAAAGGGAGAACCACAAGGTACAAGTGACTGTGAGAAGATGACTGGGAAGCCTCAGTGGGGCCAAGGAGTGAAGGTGCCCTTTGTGGGGACTGAGAACAGAGTCCTGGACCACAAGTCCGGAGTACAAGGCCAAGCCTGGATCTGCTGCTAAGCTGTCCCATGCCAAGTCTCTACCCCACTTTGCATCTTCATAAAAGGTCCTCTCTGAGGTTCCTCTGAGCCCTATGTTGACTCCACCACTCTTTAAGCAGGTGGTTCTGCCATGGGTCCCCCGGCTTCTTCCTGACCCTGTCCTCCCTATCCTGCCCCAAGCCCAGCCCATCTGGACCCCACTCTGCAAGGGCCCTGCTCCCTCTCAGCCATCAGTGCACCCCTACCCACGACTCAGTCTTCCCTCTGAAAACTTCACTGTAGTACCCTGAGATGTTTTCCCACATTATAGAGACTTGAAACCTGCCCTCGGGGCCACAGTCTATGTACCTGTGCGCCGTGTGCATAGTTAACAGTAATGCCAAGACGGACTAATCGTCCTTCAGTCCATGCCGCACGTCAAGTCTTCATACGCACTCTCGTGCTCAGCAGCCCTTTCTACAGAGGAGAGAACCCTGAAGCTTGAAAAGATGCAGTAACTTGCCCTCCTGTTGCCTTCGCAAAGGGCCTTGGCACCCATGTCATCCTCACGACAAGCCTGCCAAGTGGACAGTTAGATATTCCCATTTTAGCATAAAGGAAATGGAGCTGAGAAAGGCGAAGCAACTTGCCAAGGTCACAGCTCACAAGGAGCGGAGCTGGGATGGGGCAGGGTCGCACTCCCCAAAGTGGCCCTGCCTTCCAAGGCCTTCTCCTGCTCTCCTCCGCCTGGCGGCCTTCTAGGCCCACGCTCCTGAAAGCCGCTCCTAGGCTCACACTCTGCTGAAGAAGCGTCAAGGACTGAGCGAGGCGAAGAGGCCACCTATTTACACGGCCCAGTGTACACCCCTTCCCAGGACTGCAGACGCACTCCCCGCCCACCGCCTTTGCCGCAGCAAGACAATCAGCCCACTCCGCCTCCCCTCTGGCTCATTTCAGAGTGCAGTCAGACACTAATTGGCTCTGAGAAGTGATTACTTCAAAGAAGTTCCCATCGGACCAAGACTTCTCGGAAAAAAACAAACAGCGTGCACCCTGCCTGGGGAGCCACCCGCCCCAGAGATGGGTTTTCTGCCTGCCTGTAGGCGGCGCTGCCGAGACACGCGGCGCTGCAGGACCGCGCCCCGCCTGCTGCGTTCCCTATGCTGTCGCCCCGCCTGGAATCAAAGGCGTTTGAGCTGGAAGGCACAAACCCCACAGGCAAGCAAGGCCAGAGAGGGGATGTATCCTCTTTAGAGTCACACGGCCAGTGGTTAGCAAAGCTGGGACTAGAACCCACAAGACTCAGTGCTCCGCCCCACCCTGCCCTGGGTGGCTCTGTACTCAGCTAGCTGTTGTCCCTGGCAGCACCGGACCCATGCCCACGGGTAGGGCGTGGGTGGAGGGTGCTCTTCAGGTAGCAATCAGGGCCCCTGCCAAGGGAACTTGCTGGAGAGCCCACGGCGGCTCACCCCACCCTCCCTGTGCACACGTGTGCTCAACACCTAAAACGTTCTAGGTCCCTCTGGGCCTGGGGGTTCCGAGTAAACAGGAGACTGCCCCCGGCGCCCCTGACACTTATAGCGTGGCAGTGACAAAGCATATCTGCTTATGAGCATTCCCGGCCTTCCTCCCCACCTCCCCTGCCTTGGAAGAGGAAGGAGCCATGGACTTTTGGGCAACCTCTGGGCCTGCCCTTTCTGAAGTGTTGAAATCAGGTGGAGGCTAAAGAGGGAATTCAAGAAGCCCAGCAAGCTTGGGTCAGAAATCATACCTGCCAACACGGGCACCTGCCCCATAGTGAGTTTTTAAAAGATGTTTGAGATAATGTCCAACAGTTAAAGCTCAGATTTCTCATTCAGATTCAGATTCCTGGCCTCTCATGGTAAACTAGGAAATCTGGTCACACCAGGCCCCTATTGCTTCATTCATTCGTACTTTCGTTTAAGCATGGGGCTGGTCCCATCCCAAGTGCTGGAATACCAAGGTGAACAGGACAATCGAGTCCCCTGTTTTTGAGAGGCATCTCTTCAAGGAGCCTCTCTGTGCAGGGCATATTCACTCTAGTTTGCCACAGTCTCCACCATTCCCTATTATCACGTAGACCACTTCCCTTGTTTGTGATCTTTGCATGACCACCGTTTATAACCACCTCCACCAGACCTGCTGCTGAGAAAGGGCAGAGAGCTAAGCCAGTAAACAAAATGCTCACCTCTCTTTAATCTGTGGCAGGTGCATGAGTGTTTGTCTTACTATGTTCTTACTATGTTCTGTTTTCGTATGAATATTTGAATTTTTATTTTTCTTTTATTTATTTATTTATTTATTTTTGAGATGGAGTTTTGCTCTTGTTGCCCAGGCTGGAGTGCAATGGTGTGATCTCACCTCACCACAACCTCCACCTCCCAGGTTCAAGTGATTCTCCTGCCTCAGCCTCCCAAGTAGCTGGGATTACAGGCATGTGCCACCATGCCTGGCTAATTTTGTATTTTTAGTAAAGACAGGGTTTCTCCATGTTGGCCAGCCTGGTCTCAAACTCCCGACCTCAGGTGATCTGCCTGCCCCAGCCTCCCAAAGTGCTGGGATTAGAGGCGTGAGCAACCGCACCTGGCAGAATTTTTCACTTTTAAATTTAAAAATGAGAATGAAAGTAAAGAGTTATCTATGAGTGAAAATCTAGAAGCAGGAAGGGAGTGAGAGAAATCAAAGCAGGAAAAGACTGTGTTCGGGATGGCTTTGGGAGAGTTTAGTGGGGGAAAGAGAATGTAGTGATGCTGCCATACTGTGTGGGGTATTGACAGAAAGCAGGGGGAGGGAGAAAAGAGGTTTTTAAAACTTTTGCTGTATGTTAGGAACGAATGCCCCTTTGGCATTTTCCAAGCAGCTTCATAAAAGATTTAAATCATTTCTCAATACTTTTTGGATGTCTGCCTTCTGCTTCTTTTGAATATAACAGTGTGGGATGGGTGTGGGGAGAGAAGATAAACAAAACATAGGCAGTGCCATGATGGGGAGGTGCAAGGTGCAGGGTGCAGGGGTGGCTCCTGAAAAGAGCACCTCCTGATCCAGAGTCACAAAAGGCCCCCAGGGAGGAATTGATCAAACCAAAATGTGGATGAGTAGATGTTAGGCGAACACCAGGCAAATGGTGGTGAGAGAAGGGAGCAAAGTGTATTCCAGGCAGGGGGAATAACTTGGGGGAAGGCAGACTCCAGGATCTGGAAGCAGTTTAGGCTGGTGGGACCGTCTGTATGCATGCGGTAGGGATGCGCAAAGAAATGGAGCTGAAGGGCCGGCAGGGACACTGCCAGGCCTCATGAGCTATGTGACAGCCCGTGGACCATGTCCAGCAGGCAACCAGGAGCCACCGAGGGTGTTAGCAGAACAGTCATGTGGTCAGTTTGCATTTTAAAATGTTCATCTGTCTGTTCTGTGGGAAATGGATTGGAGGAGGCAAAACAGAGGGGTGCAGATTAGGAGGCTATTGAGATAGATTGGACAAGAGACCCTGGCAGCTTGGGCTGGTCACTGCCAAGGGAAATGAGAAATGATGCTTGATTCTAATGACATGCAGGAAATGGAGGCCTAATTCAGTACCATGTCTCCAGCATCTAGCTTCCTTCCTGATACTCAGTACAAAAGGATAACGCATATTTATTGAATGACTCAATAAATGAACAGAAGACCTAATAAACACACAAAGAAGCTGGTACTGGTATGTAAACGTTAGCATGCTTAAACCTCATCCCTTCATTGTACAATGTTCATAAACAGCGGCTACCCGTTTCTGGAGGCCTGCTTGGACCAGGCAAGAGTATGAGGTACTTCATATGGATGATTTCCATGTCGCCTCTGCAGAACTCCTGTGGCCCAGGCATTTCTATTCCTATTTTGCAGGTCAGGAAACAGAAAAGTGAAGCAGCTTGCTCACATTCAGCTGGGGAGTAGGGAGCAGTGCTAAATTCTCACCCAGCGGTGTTCTTTCCATACCTCGTGATCCCTCAGAATGACCTCTTCCAGGTTGAGGCACCCCCACACCCAGCTCCTCCATTCCGGTCCCCACCAGCCTCATACTGCAGCTAAAAGGAAACAGCTACCAAGTGAAATGAAAGGTTGGAAAGCACTAACCTGAAGTTCCTGAATATCCATTTTGGATATATTTCATTAGTATCTTCATCATCATCAACAAACATTTAGTGAGCACCTTCTGTATACCAGGTGCTGTGCTAGATAATAAGGGTACAAAGAACTGGATACCTTCCCTGTCCTGGAGGAACTCATAGTTTAGTGGGCAGGAGGAGTGGTTGAGGAAGTGGTCTGGGTTCTGTAAGAGCTTGTGCAAAGCTCAGAACTGTGGACACACTGGGCACATCTAGTGAGGCCACGACATGGGGCCCAGGAGAGAAAGAGGTGGCAGATGAGAATGGAAAGGCAGGTGGGTGAGAACCTGACTTGGGACCATAACAATGGGGACAAACAGAAGAGTTCAGAAGTTAAAGATGCCTCAGTGATGGGCCTGACAGGACGCTGATCACTTAGTGATGAGAATGAACGGAAAAATGCTCACCTGGAGGTACTAGAGAATCTGGATGTTTCAGCCAATTGGCTGCCCAAGCAGACCCCGCCCCTGGCTCCAGTGTAACTGCTGAGATATTTCATTGATCCCCAAAGCCAATTGATCCCTCAGGAGTAGACTAAGAAACAAAGAAGGGATTGTCTGTGTCCCAACTCCCTTGACAGACAAAAGCTTCTGCTTTTCTGCTTCTCTCCTTACCTGTCGAAATTCAAAAATCTGATCAACCCTCTTGGCCCCTCAAACCAAATAACTCCGTCTTTGGCTAAATAGAGAAGAGGAGATCGAGGATTTGAAGAGACACTTATTTATCTCTTTACCAGACAGTCTAATGAATAATTTCATGTTTGCAAAAGCTCATTTTGAAATTTGAAGACAAGAGATATATTGCCAAGGCGGCTCTAATACTGCGACATTAATTTTGCACTGAAAGATTTACTCAAAAATTAGATTTTACAATTTTAATGCCTCCATTCTTTTCTTTAAATAAGCTGTGAAATACAGTTAATTAGACTTAAACCCTGGAAGCTTAGACGTTTGAGCTTTGGTGTAAGCTACAAAAGAAAGCAAGCTTTTTCACTTGCAAATTAAATCTAAATTCATTACACGCCTAAACCTATACCACTTGCAGAAATCCTACTGGGCTGAGGAAGGGTCTTCTTGAGGCTCCAGATGTCTCCCTACAGAATCCTGGCTGCAGAGAAGGATTGGGGAAATGAAAGGAGAGACAGACTGGGAGTGGAAAAGACAGAAAGCATCTGACAAGTTGTCTTGGACAACGTTGGCATATTCTTTGGAGCATTAGCCCTGAGAATTGCCCCTTGGAGGAAGAAAAGGTTCCATGCACACAAAAAAACAAAACCAGGAGATAACTGCATATCATGCTCCCATCCTGGAAAGTCACAGGTTCAAAGAAGTAAAACAAACAAGCAAATCAACAACAACAACAAAAACAAAAACTGTTTAACTTTGTCTCACCCAGAATTTTCCAAACACATTTGAGAGCAAAGCCCTTTTTCTCAAAACACCTTATGTCTGGGTCTGTCTACTGCTCTCTGGAACACAGTCTGCTCTCGGCTCTGACAGCTCCACAAAGACAACTTTCTCCTACCTAGACATGGCCTCAAAGACCGAGCTCAAACCTGTTCTCTTCCATGTTGATCTCTTCAGTGTGAGCTGTGGAACAATCTCATGCACAGCCATCTAAGAAATACAAAATTGGAATCACAGCAGGTTGAGGAATTGGGGGGCCCAGGGTAGATACAGTATGGGTATTCACCTAAGTGATGCTGCCTGCTTAACACTGCTCAACACATTCATCAGAGAAACAACCAGTTCAAAGATGTAAGGAAATGCAGGCACCTTTTAGCCCAACAGTCTACATAATGCTAAAATCTTTCCACAAAGCCCGTGATGGGCTCATCCAGTGCCTGAACATTTATGACAGGGAACTTGCTGCTCCCTGGATATCCCTCTTGTCTCTAGACAGTTCTGACCCCATATGTAGATATAAGGCTGCCTCTTTAGAAAACCCCCCACTAGCCTGGAGTACAGCTTGTCCAGGACCTTGCCAGGTGGGCTCCAAATAGGCTGGCCATGGGACCCCATTCCCAGTCACCCCTAGGACTTCCCCATCTATGCCTACGTTTCTGAATCAAAGCAACCCTCTTCCCAGCTATTAGCTATTGCCACATTCCATGGCCAAACCCCTTTCCTTAGGCCACTGTTTTCTAAACTTTCTTGGGACCACGGATGCCACTGAGTTTTCTAATGAAATTGATGGGTCTCCCCAGAATTGTCCAATATTAGAAGCTTCACAAACACCTTGAAGTTTATTTCATTCTTGCCTGTGTGGCATCCTAGTGGAGGTATCTTGACCTGATTGCTGGCGTTGACTAAAGCTAACCAACTCCAATAGACTTTCAAGAGTTTTCCAACTATCTGCTTGCAGACCTTCCTCTTGTGTCCTTTGCTATTCAGGACACCCTGTCTGCAAACTGCCTAGTATTCTATTCAAGATATAATTCACCTTTGAAAAGTAATAATAAAAATGATAATAATAATAATTCCACCTTACTTTTGCAGTTTACAGAGTGCTGTCATGAACTTTACTTAATTTGACCCTCACTGGGCCCGTCATAGAAGTTATCCTTTGCTTTTTTTTGCGGGGGTGGGGTGGCGGGGAGAGTTTCACTCTTGTTCCCCAAGCTGGAGTGCAACAGCACGATCTCAGCTCACTCACTGCAACCTCCACTTCCCGGATTCAAGCAATTCTCCTGCCTCAGTCTCCTGAGTGGCTGGGATTACAGGTGCACACCACTACGCCTGGCTAATTTTTTGTATTTTTAGTAGAAATGAGGTTTCACCATGTTAGCCGGGCTGGTCTCGAACTCCTGACCTCAGGTGATCCGCCTGCTTCGGCCTCCCAAAGTGCTGAGATTACAGGTGTGAGCCACCGTGCCCAGCCTATCCTTTGCTTTTAACAAAGAAAAAAACAGCCTCAGAAAGGTTAGGTGACTTGCCCAGTACTAGAGCCAGAAGACAGGCTTCCTGTGTTCTCGTTCAGTATTCTTCTACAGTATCACGCTGCCTCCAAACTAGAAATCGCAAATTCTACATTTTCACATAGTACCCATGGTCCTTGGTGGCCAGAGGGTGACAGAAGGGAGAGGAGGGTATGTATTCTTTACATAGCAAGTGAAAGGATCAACAGATTATTTTGTATATGACAGGATTAAGAACAATACTTGGGATTTCAAAGCGCCAGGGTTCACTACTGACTCCGCTACTTGCCAGCTATGTAACTTTGAACAAGGTACTTCACCTTTGGAATTAATAGCAGAGCTGAAGTACTCGAGCTACAGAGAGGGCTAAATGAGATAACACACATAAAGTGCTTGGCACATGGTACACACTCACCAGATGTTAGCCCAAAAAGGAATGTGGGCCAGGGAAGCCACAAAAAAAAAAAAAAAAAAAAAAAAAAAAAAGTCTTCCTAAATTGGGCTCAGGGAGTGGCTGTAGGTGTTCGTATGCAAAAACAGGATGAGGCCTCTGAAAAGGTGTCCAGGCAGGAAATTGTAAAGTACATTAAGTTGGGGGAAGGTTATAAATAAGCTACAGTCTTGAACAGCAAATGTTGCATGGGTGGAGGGAGCAGAGAGTGGAAAATTGAGTCAACTAGGGCTTTGGAGTCTGGGCTTTTCTCTGAGGCCATGGGAAGTCATTGAAGGATTTTGAAATGGAGAGGGATACAGAGTGATGGTCAACTGGCTGATAACTGGAAGCAGGGACAGGCTAAAGCAGGGGACCCCAACCCCTGGGGGACCAGTATCAGTCTATGGTCTGTTAGGAACCAAGCCACACAACAGGAGGTGAGCGGCGGGTGAGCAAACAAAGCTTCATCTGTATTTACAGCCACTCCCCATTGCTTGCATTACCACCTGAGCTCCTCCTCCTGTGAGATCAGTGGCGGCATTACATGCTCATAGGAGTGCAAACGCTATTGTGAACTGCACATGTGAGGGATCTGGGTTGTGAGCTCCTTATGAGAATCTAATGCCTGATGATCTGTCACTGTCTCCCATCACCCCCAGATGGGACCATCTAGTTGCTGGAAAACAAGCTCAGGGCTCCCACTGATTCTACATTATGGTGAGTTGTATAATTATTTCATTATGTATTGCAATATAATAATAAGAGAAATAAAGTGCACAATAAATGTAATGCACTCTGGTGCGTGGGAAAAACTGTCTTCCACTGGCCATGGTCTGTAGAAAAACTGTCTTCCACGAGACCAGTCCCTGGTGCCAAAAAGTTGGGGACCACTGGACTGAAGAGTAGATACAACTTTGGAGGTTATTGCAGTGACCTGGGTGATAGAGATGGAAAGTAATCTCTTACCTCTTTCTTGGCTCTAGCAAGGTGCCTCTGCCTTCTGCCCAATCTCCAGGTCCCTCTCCCATCCTCACCCTGAGTGCCCCAGGTAGAATCCCTGGGTCTCTGTGGTGAACCCTATTCCAAGATTCCCATTTTGATGGGCTGGCTTGCAACACAGTTTGAATCTCTGGTTGAGATCATTCTTAAGTGTTGCCTTTCTGGGGACTGGAGCCTGAACTTGGGACCCACCCACCCCTGATCCAACACACCATGTTGAAAATAGCAGTATGACAGCAGCAAAGCCTTCAGGGAGCTTGCAGCCCAGTACAGAGAGCAAGCCATGTGCAAGAATGACTATAACATAAGGCCAAGCATGAGTCACAGAGCTTTTTAGAATAGCTCTAGCTAAACAGCTATGGTTGTTCTAAAAAGAACGGATCAGGGAAGCCTTCGTGGGTCTCCATTTATTTGGGCCACCTGACTATTTCCATCAGAGCTACATGCCACCTATCACAAAGGCACGGCCACAGTGGAAAATGGCCAAAATCCCTCCTCACTTGGCCCGACAGGCCCTGCTCTCACCTCTCTGCATGTTCCAGATACCTGCTTTTAGCTCTTCTTGACTGAGACTGTGGCTGCTACCCCAGCCAGCCACGGAGGCATAGCTCTCCCTCTTAGATCTGCAAATATGCCCAAAATGGGATTGAAGAGGGGTGAAGAAAACAAACTTTGCAAGGAAAACAAGAGAAAAATACCAAGAATTATAAAAAGAAATATGTTTGCAGAGTGATTGTTTCTGGTTGCAAACTGAGCACTTAGCAAAATATTGACTTGCTGGGCACAGCCTTTGAGGGCCCCAGGCGGTGGTCTCTTGCCATTTCAAGATTTTCTTTGCTGAATACTTAAGAGATATTTGAATTTCTCTCCAAGCAGATAAAGGCTGGCCCTCTCCCAGGTGCCATGGGATCCTCAGTGCCTTCTTGAATCTGTCTGGTCTCCCATTTGGGTCCCTAGTTACCTCCATTAGACTGAAGCTGCTGCTCTGACACTGCCAGCTCTGTCCAGCAGGGCACATTTTGCCTGGGACGCTGCCCTCTGCTTGTGCCCCTGCCTGTGCCTCCTGTGTTAACCCAGCAGAGGCTTTCCTTCTTCCAACTCAAGACCCTCCTGACTTGAACCTGGAATAGTCCTCTCACCTGCCTGCCTCCCTGGCTATGCATGCTTGGTTTGCTGACCACTAAATGTCAGTTAAAACTTATTCTCTTCTCAGATAAACTTGCTCTGCACCCCTTGTGCATCCACATCTCACTCATCTACTTCCAGGCAGTCTTGAGAGCTGACACCCTCTTTCCCTGGCTGGGTCACACTGTTTCCTTCCCAGGATCAGAAATAGACACGACCTCCATTTTTACCTGTAAATCCCATTCTTCCTTTTACACTCACCCTCTGGTCTCCTGGATGGAGAGTGGAGTCATCCTGTTTACAGCAACAAGTTGGCAATTGCAGCAATGCCCTAAGCATCCTCCGTGCCTCAGGCCTCCCAGGCCCTCATCTGTATTCCACAGTTCAGCAGGGAAAGAGCTTTCCATAGTGCATGTCTTGTGCAACTTCCCCAGCCTCACATTCCTGGCCTCCCATTGTTCTCACAGAATACCTATGTCTGATTCACAGTCAACAGCACCCTGTGTGAGGCATTCCCCACCTGCCTTCCCAGTCTCAATCCTGGGCACTCCCCGTCATTCACCTTCCCTCCAGCCATTCTAGTTAGAGGGTCCCAAATGCACCCTGCTTTTCACCGGCCCTTCTGCTTCCTGCCTGCCCTACTCCATACACTGAAGGAATGTTTACTCAACCTCCACCAGGAAACCCTCTTTGACCTCCCTCAACAGAGACAGCCACATCATTCTCTGTGGATCCCACAGTGCTGTATTTGGACCTGTGTTACAAGATAATATTATTTCTGTAATTATGGATGTTCTGTCTCCCCAAGACATCAAACTGTGGCCAAAAGCCCAGACTCAGAGTCCAACAGAGCAAAGATCAAATTCCAGCTCCATCGTTTTCTAGCTGGGTGCCCTTCAGCAAGAGCAGACCTTAGTCTCAGCTTTCTCCTGTGTAAAACGGTAATAAAGATAATGAGACCTACCTTATAAGGTTATTGTAAGGATTAAATAAGTTAATGCGTATAAATCACATTGCCTGATACAAGGTAAGCTGCTATTCAATATTGGCTCATTCTATTTTAGAAACTGGAACCCGGCCGGGCGCAGTGGCTCATGCCTATAATCCCAGCACTTTGGGAGGCCAAGGCACGTGGATCATCTGAGGTCAGGAGTTTGAGACCAGCCTGACCAACATGGTGAAACCCCGTCTCTACTAAAAATACAAAAATTAGCCTGGCCTGGTGGTACACACCTGTAATCCCAGCTACTCAGGAGGCTGAGGCAGGAGAATCACTTGAACCCAGGAGGCGGAGGTTGCAGTGAGCCAAGATCATACCATTGCACTCCAGCCTGTGCAACCAGAGTGAAACTCCATCTCAAAAAGAAAAAAAAAAAAAAAAACAGAAAAGAAACTGGAACCCTAAGTTCTTACCACATAGGAACAATAACTAAATTTATTTAGTATTTGCTAGCTTTACTTGTATCAACCCATTTAATGTTCATAACAACTGCATGAAAATGTTGTTTTGTTATCTGTATTTTGCAGATGAGAAAATAGAGGCAAAGAGGCTAAAAAACTTGCCTAAGTTAATGCAACCAGTGAGCAGCAGATCCAAACCTAAGAAGTCTTGTTCCAGAGCCTTCTACTCTAACAACCATACCCCACTGCCTCTTTACATATTCACTAAACATTTATTATAAAACATGAACCAATCAACCCATTCAACTTTGTATCCTTAGTGCCTAGCATGGACCCAACACATAATGAGTTCTCAGAAACGGTTGTTGGTTAATGAGGAGCAGCAATTCCAAGTGCAAGGAATCAGGCTCTCCCTGTTATCAGTTCTCCTCACTTCTCCGTGTGTTCCCATGATTTTGACTCAGGGAACCCCAGCAGGAGTGGGCTTCCATCATCCTAGCACTTTGATCTTCACGATAAACAAGTGCAGTAAAGAGAGCAGGTTTCCTGTTCACTAAAGAAGGGGAGGAAGGCCCCTCTGCGGCCCAGGCAGCCATAGCTCTGCTCCAACCCACATGACCCCTGGCATCTGCAATGATTTGCAGAGAGAGAAAAGGGAAAGAGAGTGAGCCCCAGACAGGGAGAGATAGAGAGAGCATTTGACTCATTAGCTTCATATTAAATTCTGACGTTTGAACCTGACGGAATCCGAGTAGGGCTGGAGTAATGAATTAATCCCAGGGAAGAAGACAGGTCTACAGCTCCTCAGCTATTAGCAGCCCACTGTGCAGGGGAGCCCTGCTGAGCTGACATGTGTCACAGAGTTTGTTCCCCACCACCCGGCTCCTTGTGGAACCTCCCTGGTCTGGCCCAGTCAACCTCAGGAAGATTAGCACATGATAGGGATTCAACATGTGTTTGCCCATTGAGGCACGAATTGAGGAGTAGGTCACTCCCCCTGCAGTTTGATGGGATGAGACCAAGCCTCCTGTGAGTGACTGCCCCAGCTAGCAGTCTCCACATCTCCTAGGGGTCATTTGGTCTAGACCCTCACCTTCGGACCCCTTTCCAGGGTCACAGATTGGAGTATCTCCTAGCAATGGATCATAAAGGAAAATGATGACCACAGTGGTTATCAGCTTCCCCAGATTTGTATTCATTCATTCATTCATTCATTCATTGTCTGTCTGACACACACACACACACACACACACACACACACACACACACACACTCCCCAAATCTATCACTCTCCCCTTCAGTCTTCCTGGCTACCCGCATTTTTATTGATGGCAGTTCAGGGGCAGTCACAGGATGATGCTGGCACAAATCCTCAAAAGAGAAAGACAAGAGAGAGGGAGCCACAGAAAGGCATCTCCACATCCCCCCAGCTCTCTTCTCCAGGCTGGGCTGTCTCTAACCCCAGGCCACAGAATTCATCGCTCACTCTGATTCAGTGGGACAGTTATTTTATATTATTAAAATAAGAGATTATCATCACCACCAATCTCCATCTCCTTTCCAATCTCATCTGAAAAGCAGGCATTGCCTCCTGCTCCCGGACCCCTAATTCTCTCTGCCTCGGCTGTTAAATCATTTAACCTGGTAAAGTGTCGGGAGATGCATTTTACATGAGAGACACGAGGCGGGATAAATCTGGGCTGACTGCAGGGTCGGGAAAGAAATATCTGAGGTGCGGCCAAGAGTCAAAGAAAGCTTGGATGGCAAGCAAAGTCCGGAAGGGTGGGACTTCCCTCCTCTGCCCTCCTGCTTAGGGAACTAGAGAGCCAAGCCTGGTCCTTGTTTACAGAGTGGCAACTGAAACCAAAAACAGACAACGGCAAGAGTGGACCAGCAGACATCATGCAATCAATTGAGCCTTCTCCTGGACTTCTAAGATGGGACATTACCATGCATAGCCTTACCAGGCAATGGGACTCAGATTAGATCCAAGATGCAGCATTCAACTTGATCCACTCAAAGCTGGGCTGCAGAGCTTGGCACAGATGGAATTGTCTCAGAATGTCTAGGCTGTAGACCTCCAAGCATGAGTCTCTCAATTTATAGACAAGGAAACCAAAGCCCAGAGAGGTGTAGGGACTTAGCTGAGAGTACCTAATACTAGCAAAAAAAACCTGAATTTACCTCCAGATTTGAGCCTCCAGATCCTGGCCCATGGTCCAATGCCTGGTCCAGTGGGTTTAAGATTGATTCTAACCCGGGCCATTTTCTGTACATTTAACACTTTGTGGTTTATAAATGACAACTCTGGTTACTCAGGGGCCTTGGTCAGAATACAAGGAAAGTTCATTTATTCATGAATTTATTTTATCAACTCATATTGAGGTGTCTGCCATGTGCCAGCTCTGGGCTGGGTGCTGAAGACACAAATTTGGCCCACACACAACCTTGCCATCAAGGAGCTCACGGGTAGATAACCACAACAAGGATAAATGGAAGGTGCTATGGGCACCCTGACTGCAAGGCAAAGTAACTACCTGATAAAAACAATGCCAGGTATATGCTCTTGGGATTATAGGTTGAGAATATAATTTTCCCATATGATTTATCCATCAAATGGAGATTTTGCAAGCCACTGTGTGAGAGTTCCACAAATGCTTAATTGCCCCAGAATTCAAGGTTGCTAATTTCTCACTTGACCTGAAAAAGAGGAGCAACCCTTCCTGGGACATCTGATATATGGATAGCAGGTCCAAGGGTCCTGCCCCAATTAGGAGGTCATGCCTCTCGATTCAGCCTCTTACACTTAGAATGTACCAAGCACTTAAAACAGGGTGGGGGTGTACGGTTGCCAGATTTTGCAAATAAAAATACAGAATACCCAGTTAAATGTGAACCTCAGACATACTTACACTAAAAAAACCAAAACAACAACAACAACAAAAAAACACTATTGTCTGAAATTCAAATTTAGCTGGGTATTGTGTATTTTATCTGGGCATGGGAGAGAAAACCATTTAAAAATTGGACACACATGATTTGGGTGGGAGAAGCCTGGCTCGGGAGCCAGGGGAAGTGCCTGGAGCCCAGTGGGTGTCGTTGGCTCCCAGGGGAGGCAAAGCCCTCCCTCAGCACAGCCTCTCCCAACCCAACAGCAACTTGAATGACCTCTTGCAGCTGTGCTAACCAGAATGCTCTTTCCCAAACAACAGATTAATTGATTTAAAACTTTTAATGCCAGATGCTTGCTGGAAGCATTTTAATAATCCTCGAGTCAGAATTAATCATGTCTCCTGATCTTTAAGGAGGGCAGTTATTAAATCCCACAGAGGCAGGGGATGGGGGCAGGGAGGAGGAAGAAGCTGTTTTACCTGGGTCCTCTTCATTGCTCTGCTCTAATTAAGAGCCCTGGGGCACCTGTGGGGTGCAGGCGGTGAGCAGAAGCAGGGATTGCTCTGAGTGTGGTCTGACTGGAATAGCCCCTGAGAGGCATGGATTCGGTTAGTTTAGCTCTGGTTCCTGACAGAGTGAAAGGGAGGCCCATCCTGGAAGATGCCCCGTAGGCCAGACGAGAGGACTAGCTGATTCAGACTCAGCATGGCCCTGCCCAGCCCTGGGACAGGACCACCTTTCTCCCTAGAGATGAGGAACATGCTGGTGAATTCCTCTCACTCCCTTTTTACTTCCAAGGAACTTTAGATAAATCTACTAAAAGTAAAAGGAAAAAAGTCTCCCCTCATGATATTGGGGATCTGTCTGCCTCTCCATGCTTCAAACTGTCCTTCTGCCTCTCTGCTCCCTCCTCCTCTATCCCCCTCATGGCTGCCAGCAGTCTTCTCTACCTCTCACTATGACCATGTGCTCTCTAGTCCCCAACTAGAGACCTCCTCTATCCAGAAGCTGCCTCACTTCCCCCTTGTGTCTCCAAACCCTCTTCCCCATACTTGTCCAACTGCCCATTCTCTCTCCCCAGGTCTTCTCAACTCAGCTCCCTACACTTAGAATGTACCAAGCACTTCACCAGTGTACGCTCCAATCTTTATAACCCTCTGATATGGTTTAGCTGTGTCCCCACCCAAATATCGCCTTGAATTGTAGCTCCCATAATCCCCACATGTCAAGGGTGAGACCAGATAGAGATAACTGAATCATGGGGGGCAGTTTCTGCCATGCTGTTCTCATGATAGTGAGTCTCATGAGATCTGACGGCTTTATAAGCGGAGCTTTCCCTCTTTCACTCAGCACTTCTCCTTCCTGCCATCGTGTGAAGACAGACATGTTTGCTTCCCTTTCCATCCTGATTGTAAGTTTCTTGAGGCCTCCCTAGCCATGCTGAGCTGTGAGTCAATTAAGCCTCTTTCCTTTCTAAATTACCCAGTCTCGGGCAGTTCTTTATAGCAGTGTGAGAACAGACTAATACACCCTCCTATTCAGTGTATCATTAGCCTTTGTTTACAGAGGGGTAAACAGGCTCAGTGATGTTCCCTGACTTGTCCACAGCCACACAGCTGCATTAGTTCAGCCTCAAGCCCCATCTCCCCCTCTAAGGCTTCCTGGCCCCTGCGTGTCCTCTTAGCTTCAGGCTTCATAATCATCTGAGGATCCTGATTTTGCATGTGATGGTACCATGTGTTTTGCCCCATTCAAAGCTCCTGACAGTCAAGGTCCATGTTGTGCACTCCTCTCTAGTTTCTACACCCCCAGTGCAGGGCAGTGCATCAGACCACCTGGAAATGTTTAATTGACAGGAAACTCACAGCTGGGGTGAACCTGTCTGGGCACCTAAGCTTCCCACTAACTGAGCCAAGGAATTCCATTTCCCTTAAGGATCAGTCACTCCTACTACTGGGAATGGGACCACTCCCACCCCACTCCAGATACCCCCACCCACCTCTCAGCACTGTTGCATAAGCTCCAATCAGGCAGAGGCCTCCACTACATATGTTGTCCAACCCACAAGCAACACAACCCCAGGACAGCCTTGAGAGTGACACACTCTGCCCCCTATTAATGCTGAAAACCCTGGCCTCCCCTGGTCCCCAGATGCCCCACTGTCAAAGCTAAATCGATACTCCCTTTTTTCTCTGCTAGAACATCTCAGTAATCCTAATTGGTCACCATGGCAACCCCAGCTGCAGCTCCTCGTGGCCTCAATGAAGAGACAGAAGGATGAGAGGGGGTGAGATGGAGGTTAAGCCTACTTATTGTATAATGCTCTGCCTTTGATATCACCTACATCCACATGCTAAGTACCTGGAAAGAAACAAAATCCCGTGTAAATTAGAATGATACCATCCAATCCCCTGCTTATACCCTCACTAGCAGCAGCCGATAAGGCCATTGTCTGCAGCCACTGGGCCTGACCTCCTCTGTCTTGGCGGCTGAAGGGGTTTCGGTGGTGGGTCACATTCATCAGGGAGGATGGGCTGGGCTGTGAATCTCGAAGGGCAAGGTGGCTGTGCGGTGGCTGCTGCCTGCAACACCCCACCTCCAGGAGGGCCTCCAAGGGAAGCAGCAAGGCAGGAAGAGCCCTGCATGGAGCTTTGCCCTGTGTCTCCTCCTTGGCGGAACCATGGGGCTGGTACACCATGTTCTCGGCAGATGAGTCACTCTGCACTTAGCTGAGGCACCCTCAATGCTTCATTCCTGCAGTAGACTCAGGAAGGAAGTCTCTCCATCTCTCACACACAGAGTACCTGCCAGAAAATTTATCTTCTCATTCAGCCAACTCAGAAAACTCTCTACTCTCTTCATTATTCAAAGGCTTCTGTATTCATCAGGGTTCTCCAGACAAACAGAACCAATAGGATCTACATAGATATACAGAATGAGATTTATTATTAGGGCTTGGTTCATGTGGTTATGGAAGCTGAGAAGTCCCACGATCTGCCATTGGCAAACTCAGGAAAGCCAGTGGTGTCATTCTGGTCCAAACCTGAAGGTCTGAGAACTGGGGGGCTTATGGTATATTCACCCTTTCTCCACTTTTTTGCTTTTCAGGCTCCCAGTGGATTAAGTGGTACCCACCCACATCAGTAGAGCAATCTTCTTTACTCAACCTGCCAATTCAAATGCTAATCTCTTCCAGAAACACTCTTACAGACACCCTCAGAAATGTTTTACCAGCCACCTGGGCATCCCCTAGCTCAGTCAAGTTAACCCATGAAATTAACCATCACAGCTCCCTCCTCCCTTCCCCTCAGTGCCGCTGCCTGCATGGGCTGGGTCTTTGTGCTGTGACTCTACCATCCTTCTATCACCAGGGGGGATGTTGGCCCTGTAGTTGCTGCCTACATGTGCAATGACCTCAGACCCCCAGCTCTGCCCCTACATTGTATTCTCAGAGCCAGACTTCCTCCCCATCCCAGGAGAAGTGGGTCTGAGCTTTCTCTCCCGATTCACTACCCTGCTGATGCTCCACATGCCCCACATGGAACTTCTAACCTGTGTCCCACTTGCTGCAACAGAAGACCCCTGGGCTCCCATCCTGCCCTGGCTGAAGCCAGAGTCTAATCAGCCTTTCTGTACAGGGTAGGAACCAGCTGCCCCAGACCCATTTGAGTGAAGCTTTAATCCTACCCTGTGGCCCTCAGAGAGTTTGCTTTACTAGGAGCTCCTCTAAATTCCTCTATGGCCCATTTGGGTACTCTGCCCTTCAGAAAAGGAAGGCCCATGTTTAACATTTCACTTTTCTGAATGTTAAACAGAATGTGAGAGAGCCTTGTCCATTTGGGCTCTGTCTCCCTTTTTTTTTTTTTTTTTTTTTGAGACAGTCCTACTCTGTCACTCCAGCTAGAATGCAGTGGCATGACCTCAACTCACTGCAGTCTTTACCTCCCCGGCTCAAGCAATGCTCCCACCTCCTAAATAGCTGGGAATACAGGTGCACGCCATTGCACCTGGCTAATTTTTGTAATTTTTTGGTATGGTCTTTGTTTGGTTGGTTGGTTTTTGTTTGCTTGCTTGCTTGCTTGTTTTTTTTTTTTGGAGAGATGGGGTTTCACCATGTTGCCTAGGCTTGTCACGAACTCCTGGGCTCAAGCGATCCACCCACCCCAGCCTCCCAAAGTACTGGGTTTACAGACATAAGCCACCATACCTGGCCTTTGTCTCCCACTTTCATAATTCATCCTCCTTCAGCTCACACAGCACCATACCAGTGGTCATCCATTTCTGAACTTTTGTCAACACCCAAGGCTTTCTCTGCTTCCTGCCCATTTGCTCTCTCAACCTTCCATCTTATAACCATTAGAGGGCACTTTACCATGTACCAGGCACAGTTAGGAATACAGAGAATCAGAGAGGTATTCCTATTTTCTCAACCAAAAAGGATCTGAGAGTTTACATCTATCCATGTCCAGTCTGTAGAAGAAAAACTTTACGCTTAGGTGTGCCTGGGAATAAAGAGGCAAAACAGCACAAGAATGGGTGGGAAGAACTACAACTTTAGAATCACATTTATCTTTTTTTCTTTCTTTTTTTTTTTTTTTTTTTGAGACAGAGTTGCTCTATTGCCCAGGCTGGAGGGCAGTGGAATGATTTCGGCTTACTGCAACCTCTGCCTCCTGGGTTCAAGTGATTCTCCTGCCTCAGCCTCCAGAGTAGCTGAGACTATAGGCACATACCACAATGCCCGGCTAATTTTTGTATTTTTGTAGAGACAGGATTTCACCATGTTGGTCAGGCTGGCCTAGAACTCCTGACCTCAAGTGATCCACCCACCTCAGCCTCCCAAAGAGCTGGGATTACAGACGTGAGCTACCACGCCTGGCCTAGAATCACACAGATCTTGTTCTGAAATCTTGGGCAAATTACTCAACATCTCTGAACCTCATTTTTATGAAGATTATTGTGTGCAGTGAATGTGATATGATGTTGCCTGGAAGAAGGCTTTGTAAATGATAAAATGTGGTACAAATGTCAAGAACTGTCATCCTAGTGATCCCGATGATATGGGATTGAGGTCTCTTGGCCTCAATGGGTGATCCTCCCATTTCTCCCTCATGAATCCTGTTCTGGAAAAGGAGGAATCACTAGTCCCTACCAGGTTATGGCCCTGTGCATTCCTGCCTTCTCCCACAAAGGTCAATCCAGGTTATCCCTGGATTAACCTGGATAAGACTAGAGAACTTAGAGATAAGGTCTTTCTTGTCACCTCTTGCCCATAAATGGGAGAGAGACCAGATCCTTTCAGCCTAAGATGTGATGATTGTCTTTTCACTTCTGTATCCCAACCCACTTGTGTGGAAACATGATACTCCCTCCCCTTGTTAGGTAATTTATATCAGCAGTGTGGATATATTTCAGGTACATATTTCAAGCCCCAATACCTCCTGTGACATAGATAAAGAAGGGATGGGCTCATGCTCATTACACCAAGGAGGAATTGTGGCAAGAAAGGTAAAGTGACTTTTCTAAGGCCACACAGCTAGTGAGTTGCAGATCTGAGTCTTCCAATTTCCAAAGGCAAAATCAGTGATGTCTTCCACTGTGCTGCAGCTGCCCACCTCCTGGAAGCCTGCTCTGTGTGCCCCACTTATCTGCTATTCTGGCAATGTAAACATGTGAGGAAGGCTCTTTGTTCAGAGGGCATGTTGAGTGGAATATGAGGTCAGGGTTCATCTGCATTTTTGGCTACAGAAGGCTATGGAGATAATAGGAGCCCCTTTGTGTTCAGTGGGGCTGGGTGGGAGCAAGTGGATGTCTGAAGGAGATTACAAGCAGTTCTAGATATTGCTTGTCATGCTACCATCAGCAGACGCCTTTTCCAATTGACTAGTTGCTTGTATTTCCAGAATAGGGAATGCCAGATGTATTTACTGCAGTGAAGGAGAGTGCTGAAGGCCCTTGGAAAGATATCCAGCTGTTGAGTATCTGAGGAGAGCAGGATAGTTTAACCCCTCATGGCCTAGTAATCAGAATTCCTGGGGAGCCAAGGACAGAAAAGGCAGCACACGCCAAACGAATGACTTGAGATTTGAAAGTCCTTTCTAAAGCTGCTTGTTTGAAATGCAATACTCACATTCCTGTGTAAACAATGCTGCTAGGACTAACATTTATTGAGTCCTGCGATATGCTTGATGGAATCAAGATACACCCTCTGTATTTATTATTATTATTATTACAACCTCACCTGATTACAACCTCACCATGTAGAAGTGGCAGACACTGGTTTGCTGTTCACCAAGTCAGTAACCTTTTCCTCTTAGGTACACAGTCATTTCTCAGCCTTCCTAATATTAGGTGCATCCATGTGAGCATGGAAGATAGATGGGAATCATATGTACCACCTCCTAATGTAGCCCGTAAAAATGCCTACTGCTCAATCCTTCATGCCCTCTCTCCTCCATCTGCCTGCCCGATGCAGAGGCTCTAGTTGAAGGCTCCCAAGCTCCAGAAAATTACATCCACTAAATAGAAGGATACAGGGTCCCTGAGTGCCTGCATAGAGCCAGGCCAGACCCCTCTACTGACCTGCATTGGACTGTGACATGAGTAAGAAATAAAATTTTATTGTGTTAAGCCACTGAGATTTGCTGGGTTTTGTTACTGAAGTTCCCCTATTTTAACAAACGTATTAAGTATCAGTACATATCAACTGCCCCATTTTACAAGTGAGGAAACTGAGGCTCAGTGAGGTAGCAGGACATGCCCAAGGTTACATAGCAAGTAAGAGGTAGAGCCAAGATTCAAACTCAGGTATGTCTGACTCCAAAGCCAGTAATTTTTCCGTGCTGCCTACCAAAATTGGTTGCTAGCTTTCTAAGCCAGTGACAAAAATCTATTTGATCAATAAAATACCCCATGCATTTTTCAACTACCCTTAGCCATTGCTCATAGTGGTTTCTATAGGACAATGATTGAGATTCCACAACTGACTTTGAGAACATCTCACTACCACTGCCTCACCCCCAGCGGTTTTGCACCACATTTCCAGACCCAAGTAAAAGAAGATGCTTCTGTAGATGTGGAGGCTTCTTGGTCAGTTGCTCCCTAAGGACTCCGAATTGGGATAAAAAAGCAGTTTTCTCCATGGGAATGGGGAACTCCACACTCAGACATCCCTGCGCATCCCATGTTTCCCTTGCTAGGTCAAATTGTTTGTAGGTTGAGAGTTTGCTTGTGACCTAGCACAAGCAGGTCAGTTCTGGGTATTAGTGTGTATCTATATTGATCCTATAAGCATTGTAACCACTGTGTCTGAGCCTGAAATTCAAATCCATGGTCTGACCAGTTGAGGTGCACTTATGATAACAATGGGAAAGATTACTTAAAATTGCCAATGACGGCCAGGTGCGGTGGCTCACGCCTGTAATCCCAACACTTTGGGAGGCCAAGGCAGGTGGATCACAAGGTCAGGAGATTGAGACCATCCTGGACAACATGGTGAAATGCCATCTCTACTCAAAGTACAAAAATTAGCCTGGTGTGGTGGCATGCACCTGTAGTCCCAGCTACTCAGGAGGCTGAGGCAAAAGAAACGCTTGAACCCAAGAGGCAGAGGTTGCAGTGAGCCAAGATCTTGCCACTGCACTCCAGCCTGGGTGACAGAGCGAGACTTCATCTCAAAAAAAAAAAAAAAAAAAAAATGCCGATGACTTGGAAACTCTGGGAACTCTGACTGCTATAAGCAAAGGAAAACCCATGGTTCTTTTCTGAATGGGACTCAGCCAGAGGAAATAAACTCTTCAGTATGTCCTGGGTAGTAATGTGTGCCCATCAATGTTCCAGTCCATGGAAGGGAGGAAGGTAGAAGAGGCAGCATTCCTGCCCTCCAAAAGATAAGGTGACTAGGGAGACCAAGCTGAAACACAGGAACTGAAACTCTAGAAGGTCTTCACTACCACACCCAGTGGAAAAACTCTCCAGCCAGTCAATCTTAATTTGCATGCGTTCACATGTGGGACACAGATCTTACTGTCCTTTTCAGGATCTGCTTCAAGCTCCCAAATAAATCCAGTTGCATGTAAGTCAATGGTATGGGGTTTACTGAACATTTGGTAAAGAAGATGAAGATTTGCTTTACGTGCCCCATCGGACTCCTCTTTTAACATTTCCCTAGTTCTCTCTCTTTTTAGCCCGAGTCCCCTCTATTCCTTGTCCCCTCTTGGGACTACTCCTTCCTAACTATCCACATATTCCCTGGGAGTTTCTCACTCCCTTATCCAATGTTGCTTCCAAATCTCTCACTGCTGCTTTATTATGCAGAAGAACATGGCTCTTTCCCAGATCCTGTCTTCAAATTTTCGCATCCCAAACTGCCCCCTCCCCAGTCCCCACACAACAAACACTATCAAGTCCTTAGCAAAAAAGTGGTTCCTAGTTATCAAAGCTCATTCTAGGGAAAAGGGTGGGTATGTTATAAATAATCTGCTCTAAAACATTTCTATTATTCTGCTTATGGAAATTCACCCTGCAGAAATCTTACCCCCGAGTTCTCGGGCAGGGGAGTCTGCTGTCCATGGTGCTGACCTGGGAAGCTATGGCTTCATCGTTTTTCTACTCCCCATTCAGCCAGGAAATTGGATCACTTTGCTCTACTCTGAGACCCCACTCCACTCATCTTTAAAATAGGATTATTAATACTACTTACCTCATGCAAAGCACTTAGCATCATACCTGGCACAAAGAGCTCAATATGTGGTAGTATTTATTATTATGCTATTATTCTACAGGTCCCAGGACCTGTCCCACATCTCCTTTTTATTCACTGCCGCTTCCCAGACACATTCTTTCCTCTCACATTCATTGCTAAATGTACTTGAATAAATGATGCCACGCATCTTCCTCCCCACATTTTGCTTTAAAATTGATCATGTGTTCCAGGAGGGATTTTTGTTGTTGTTTGTCTGTTTTTTTGTCTTTTGTTTTTTTGTTTTGTTTTGTTTTTTGCTATAATATTGAAAGGGAAACAGGAGTTAACAAAACAACTAGCAGGGGGATGTTGCAACCTAGAAACAAGCTTAAATGTCTGCCATAACTGGATTCACTGGTTAAAATATAAGTGAAATTAACCCCAAAATTTTTTCAGCTTTGATTTTGTTCCTTCATTGATTCATCTCTTGGCTCCCTATTTTTAAAAAAATTATGGGCCTTGAAAGTATCTGCTGTCAAGATTTTCTGTGATTGCCTCTCTCATAGTACATCTCACGCTCTGCCGAAACTGTCTGCTAATAAACATTTTATACTTACCTTTGTGTCCTCAACAACTTACAGAATGCCAGGCACATTGTTTGGAACTGAGTGGAAAAATAGTGAACAAAAGAACAAATTAAATTGGGTGGGTTGCAATTTTTACCTCAATCTTTCACCCCCTCTCTGTATCCACACACCTTTCTCCATGTGTCTCTGCAATTCTTCCCACTGAAGGAGTGGAGTATATTCTTCCTCCCCTTGACTTTGGGTTTACTACACTGAAGGAGTGGAGTATATTCTTCCTCCCCTTGACTTTGGGTTTACTATGTGAGTTTCTTTGGGCATATAATGAAGCAGAAGTGACAGCGTCCCAGCTCTAAGCCTAAGAGGCATTGACCCTCTGGCTTCATTATGCAAAGAATACACCCTGGACTGACCATGATCCTAAAAGGAGGATGAGAGTCACATGAGCAGAGCCATCCCAGCTACTTGCAGATCTGAAATGAGAAGCAAAGCCAACCAGCTGAACCCAATCTAGGTGGGCTGTGTCTCAGCTGAACTTCAGAACCTTGAGTGATAATAAATAGTTATTGTTTTAAGCCACTGAATCTGAGAGTTGATTTGCTACACAGCATTATTTTCACAATAGCTAACCATATACATAGATAAAAACACACAGGGATTTTTTTTTTTAATCAGAAGACATGGTTTATGAAAGTCAGCATCTCTCTCTGTGCCTTAATTTCTCCCACATATTAAAGTTCAGATAAAAATTTCTGGGCCACCTAGTTCAAAAAGGTCATTATTAGTCTCAACTGAAATAATGATAGGAAAGCACAGCAGTGAATTAACCAGCAGCACAGAGATAACAGGGTATTATTATTAGGGACTGGTATTCATAAGTCTCTCCACCATCCTGGTACACCCACAGTCCCTTGCCACGGACCATGTACACTCAATTGAAATGAGACACCAGATAGCAAAGGATGCTTATTTTGGTCCACAAAAATACTGGTAGAATTAATTCACTTCCAAGAGAGAATTTAAAACTGACTTGTTCATATTTGACCAGGAAATTCAACTGAATTCCTTTATTTTCTTAATACAAAGCTCCCCCTCTACTCCACCCAATGCTTGCTTAATGCACTCTACAACATCTCCATCAAGAGTCTCCCAGACTCCACTTAAACCCTCTAGTCAAAGGAAACTCAGCTGTAAAGCAGCCTGTTTTCCATTTTGGACAGCTCTGACTCTGAGAAAGCTCTTGCTTATCTTCCCTAACCCCCAGACTAGGTCGGTTTCCCTAGTTGCCAGCTTCTCATAGCACTCTATCCTTTTCCTTCAGAGGATGTATTATAGATTACAATTTAGAAGCTATTTGTGGAATAAGTTGTCGAATGTCAGTCCCCTACACCACACTGTGAACATCATAAGAGCAGAGGTTGCACCCTTCACCCTTTTTGTTCACTATTGTATCTTCAGCACATAGTATACTAGTAAATGAATAAGTATTCAATAAATATGTATTGACTGGATAGATGAACAACTTATTTTTAACAGTCTTATATAGCACTTAACAAAGATTATCTCCCTTAACAATAAATAAAAGAACAGAGGACAGCATTTGTCTTTCTGAACTTTCGCTCTCCCAAATGATACTGATTCTATCTCTTGGGGAGGGTCCCACTGAGCAAGTCTCCTCCCTGGACCATCTCCTCATATTTGTTACTAGAACTAACTCCTGGGAGATTTCTGATTGAAGGAGTTAAAGGATGGAGAGATAAAGGACGGAGAGTGAAGAATTTATAATTTATACAACTATTATTTATTGAGCACATGTTATATAGCAAACACATTTGTAGATATTGAGAATACAGCCGGAGGTGTAAGAGACACCCAAAAAAATCCCTTTATTTACGGAGTTTATGCTGTCACAGGAGAATAGAGATAACAAGCAAAATATATAGTGCATCAGAGAGGAATAAATGCATTGGAGAAAAATAAAGCAGGAAGAGAGAATGAGGAACCTGAAAGGAAGGTTGCTATTTTAAATAGGGTGGTCAGGGCAGGACTTTTTGAAATGACATTTTCACATAGACCTGAAGATGGTGAGACAGTGAGCCATGCAGGTATTTGCAGGGGAAGAATGATCCCCGCAGAAAACGTAGCAAATGGAAAAGTCCTGATTAGGAAGCATGTCCGGCAGAATATTGAGAAGTGTGGAGGCCAGCATGCCTAAGTCAGGGAGAGCAAGAGACAGCAGTAAAGAGAGAGTCAGATAGTCGGGGGAGCCTTGTAGTCATTGGAAGGACTTTGATTCTTACTCTGAATAAAATTTAGAGCACACACACACGCACACACACACACACACAAACACACACCTAAATGTTTTTGAGCAGTGTAGAGACGAGGACCAATCACCTGGCTGGCAGGGTGAGTCTAGACGGCAGAAGGGCAAGGGCAGAGCAGATCAGCAAGAAAGACATGGCAATAATCTGAGAGATGAGAGCCAGGTGTGGTGGCATGTGCCTGCGGTCTCTGCTACTAAGAAGGCTGAGGCAGGAGGATCGCTTGAGCCTGGGAGTTTGAGGCTACAATAAGCTAGGATCACACCACTGCGCTTCAGCCCGGGCAACAGACCAAGACCTTGTCTCTTAAAAATGTCAATAATAATAATAATTTTAAAAAATAATCTGAGAGAAGGTGATAGTTTGGCCTAGGATTGGAGTTTATTATATTATATATTAGGGATATCTCTGTGTCCCCAGAATCTATCACCTGGAGGACACTGGGTGAATGCCGAATGAAAGAATGCTTCGATAGATGGATAACAGAAAAATGCTTCGGTCTTAGGGTCAAAACAACTGGATTTGGTCTCAGTATTCCACGGTTAAGTAGTGCCTATGTCCCTGGAATGTGTTTTCTGTAGAAGCCTGTCTTCACTCTAAGGACAAGAATGAAAGTTATTAAAGCATGTGTAAGAGTGGCTGGCTCAGCCAGACGCAAGAGACCACATCTTGTATGATTCCATTTATATGAAATGTCCAGGAAAGGCAAATCCATAGAGACAGAAAGTAGATTAGTGGTTGCCAGGGGCTAGGGGGAGAGAGGAATGAGACATGACTGCTAATGGGTACAAAGTTGCTTTTTGGGGTGTTGACAACGTTCTGGAATCAGACAGTGGGGACAGTTGCACAACTTTGTGACTGCTAAAAACCACTGAACTGCACACTCTAAAAGGGTGCATTTTATAATATGTAAACTATATCTTAATTTAAAAAAAAAAAATCGTAAGTGACAAACTCTCACAGCCAAGAGGAACCTAAGAAGAAAGACAGGCCAGGGCATGGTGGCTCATGCCTGTAATCCCAGCACTTTGCGAGGCTGAGGCAGGCAAATCACTTGAGGTCAGGAGTTCGAGACCAGCCTGGCCAACACAGTGAAACCCCATCTCTACTAAAAATACAAAAGTTAGCCAGGTGTGGTGGTGGGCGCCTGTAATCCCAGTTACTCAGGAGGCTGAGGTAGGAGAATCACTTGAACCTGGGAGGCAGAGGTTGCAGTGAGCCAAGATCGCCCCACTGCATCCAGCCTGGGCACCAGCGAAAGACACTGTCTCAAAAAACAAAAGGAGACGAGATAACTAAATGTCATGTGCTATCCTGGACAGAAAATGGAGGTTGGGTAAAAACTAAGGAAATCTGAGTAAAGTATGGACTTTAGTTAATAATAATGTGTCAACATTAGTTCATTAATTATGACAAACCTACCCTACTCTGGTAGGAGGTTAACCACAGAGGAACCTGGAGATGGGGATATGTGGGGACTCTCTGTACTATCCTCACAATGTTTTGTAAAACTAAAGCTATTTTAAAATTAAAAGTTTCTTAAACAAAAAAAAGAGGGGTGATTCAGGCCTGGGAAGTGGAAGAAACGAGCTCAGTGTTTTACCAGCCAGGAAGCATGGGGTGCTCCCTCCACTGCAAAGCCAAGCCCCCCAACTCCAGGAGACTCAGGGCTTCAGGGAGTTAACCTGCCCTGGCCATTCTTCCATAATCCATTCTTAGAGCTGCTCCTTTCCATGTGTGCCCTGGGCAGGAAACTGATTGTTTAAAATAATAATAATAAGGTAAGAAAAGCTTGATGCAAAAAATTATTTCTAAATGACTTTCACTAATGTCCTCTGGGCTTCTGGGTGGGTAATCTGCGCCCCTTCTGTGTACAGGCAAATGTGATTACAACAGGGCCTGCACTGGCCGGTCTCTGAGCTCCCAGCCCCCCAGGCTGTTGCCCGCCCTAACCACATTAGCAGCACAAGGGCCATCCATCAGACTAATAGGGGGCCTGGGACAGCCCAGCCCTGCTGTAAGCAGCTGGACCCTATGGTCAGGAGATGCCTGGCTCTCACTTCTCACAATCACAGGACCGAGGATGAGCCTGTGGAACTGGCCTCCCTGGTCTTAACCCCTTTCTCCTGCCAGCCTCAGCCGTCCCCATTGCATCCTCAGAGCGGCTTGGTTGAGGGTGGTGAGGGGTCTCCCTGGTTCCTGCAGACAGACCAAATCTGGCTGGGGTGAGAGGCTATGTTTCTAGCCACCATCTGCCTCTCCCCTCCAATTCAGCAGGTGCCCACTCTTCTGGCCCCACCATCAACTCTCCCAGTCTCCCTGGCCCAAACCTGTCAAAAATAGAACTCCTTGGCAGCAGGAGCAGGAGAGTATAAGGGGCAGGGGGTCTTGTTTACCTAACACCATGCTAGTTGCTACAAAGGTCAAGGCCCATCTGCCAGGCAGCAGGTGCCAGGAAACCAGCTGCCTTCATGGCAAGAGCACCAAACATTAGTGAGGGACAGGTGGACAGACCAAGAAATCACCCCGATGTCCCGGCCTGCGACACACCCATGCACATGCAGGCACACACCTTAGGCCCAGGATTGACCAGGGAGGCTGTGTGTAACTCCCTCACTGCCACGACCCATGGCAAATGTGGGTCCCCGTGTTGGCTTCACATCCACAAACACCATCCCTGCCCCCGGGTAAGTTCAGGAAAACTATTTGAATTTTAGACTAAATTCAAGGCAATTAAGAAGCCTAACTGGGCCGGGCGCGGTGGCTCACGCCTGTAATCCCAGCACTTTGGGAGTTCGAGGCGGGCGGATCACGAGGTCAGGAGATCGAGACCATCCTGGCTAACATGGTGAAACCCCGTCTCTACTAAAAATATTTAAAAAAAATTAGCCGGCGGTGGTGGCGGGCGCCTGTAGCCCCAGCTACTCTGGAGGCTGAGGCAGGAGAATCGCTTGAACCCGGGAGGCAGAGCTTGCAGTGAGCCAAGATCGCGCCATTGCACTCCAGCCTGGGAGACAGAGCGAGACTCCGTCTCAAAAAAAAATAAAAATAAAAAAAATAACCCTAACTGGCTTATGGTTTGGGGGAAAAAATACCTAACAACACCATAACTCAATTTAAATCTGAACAGAATCAATTTGGGGGCACTTTTGGCTTTGGGGATGAATCTCAGACAATCAAGAGTTGCTTCTCCAGGGACCCATGCATCCCCACTCCCACTCCTGCCCCCGGCCCTCTGCTGTCCAGCTTCAGCCCTGTGGAACGCCTGCTGAGACAGGGGCTATTGGACACAAGTCAAGCCACAACGGGGCCCATCTCAGAGCATCCTGAAGGCAGGTGAGGCAGAGACAGCTGAGCATAGTGAGCCTCTCCCCGCCTCACAGCTTTCATCAGAGAAATGGGGAGGATGTCCCAGCCTAAACCTAAGAGGACGCACTGGCTTTAAAGAACTTAGGAATGATCACCAATGTGTCTCCCCTGAAAGTTCCCACTTCCCAGGATCTCACCTGTGGGTGCAGGGAAGCCGGGAAAAGAAATGATGTCCCAGAAGGGATAATCCCCTTCTGGAGGGTGTGCTCTACAGATAGGTGGGCAGAGCTGAAGAGCGCAGAGTCCAGAAAACAGGTCCTGTGTTGTCGGCAAGGTTAGGCCCCGCCTGACGGAGCACGCAGGTGGGGGCCCAGTGCTCTGAGGCATAGTTCAGGGTAGAACAAAGGCCTGCGCAGGAGCCACAGAGCCCACACATGCCCAGAAACATGGCAACTTCAGGGCAAGGGAACCAGGAGCTCCAGTAGGCTGCAGCAGCTCTGCGGCCCTGGCAAGCCAGTTTCCTTCTCAGAACCTGTTTGGAACCTGCAAGCTGTTAGGCTAGATGCCTGCGTTTGAATATTCATTGTGCATCAGAATCACTTGGAAAGCTGTTTAAAAGTATACTTGCCCAAACAAGCCCAGAGATACTTAGTTAACTGGTGGTAGGTGAGGCCACCAGTATTTTTTAGAACAGAGATTCTGAAGTTTAGCCATGTCTGAAGAATACTACTACTAGCTCAATGGGTTGGCAATCACTTAGCTTATATGAGAACAACCTGGAGGGCTTGGAAAAGCAGATTTCTGACTCTGCCTTTAGGATTTCTGACTCAGTAGGTCTGGGGAACCTGAGAATTTGAATTTTTTTGTTTTTATTTTTTTTGAGACAAAGTCTCACTCTGTTGCCCAGGCTGGAGTGCAGTGGTGCAATCTTGGCTCATTGCAACCTCTGCCTTCCAGGTTCAAGTGCTTCTCCTGCCTCAGCCTCCCAAGTAGCTGGGATTACAGGCATGTGCCACTATGGCTGGCTAATTTTTGTATTTTTAGTGGAGATGAGATTTCACCATGTTGGCCAGGCTGGTCTCAAACCCCTGACCTCAAGTGATCTGCCCACATAGGCCTCCCAAAGTGCTGGAATTACAGCATGAGCCACTGCACCCGGCCTGAGAATTTGCATTTTTAACAAGTTCTCCAATGATGCTTATGCTACTGGTCTAAGGACCATGCTTGGAGAACTTGGACCACACTACCCTAGACCAAGGCCACTTCAAGCATGATCCTCAATGTGGCAGCAACAGATCACCTGGAAGCTTGTTGGAAATGCAAATTAAGGTGCCTTATTACAGACTTTAAGATATGTCCTTATATGATGGAGAAAAGGATGATGAGGACAAGGAAAGGAGCTGCAGGGAGATAAAGGAGAGGAAGCTCAAGTGAGAGAAGATAGAAGCCAGCCAGTTACCACTGCATTGGTGTATGATTGAGATGGGAGCAGGAGAGGCTCTCAAGCCCAATCACAGTTGCCCCTCTCAGAGATCTGTTCTCTCCCCTTGCCTTTCCAGACTATTGTGAAAAGTTTTCATGAGCGCTCCTCCAGCCATTTTGGCATAAATTACTGGCTCAGCCTCTAATCCCCCAACCATAATCCATCATTGCCAAGTTCATCACCTACCTGAATTATAACTGAAAAAGAATATATGATTTGAGTGACTTCCTGGAGACCTCAGGACAAGGGTTGATTCACCTTTGATCCTGGATCTGTGCTCCATACTGGAGCTGTAGACAGGCTTAATCACATGGACAGACTAGCAGGCTGAGCGTGCTGTGTAAGCCCTGGCCTCAAGTGCTCTAGGCTTGGAAGACCGACCCCTTCCTTGGCCTCCTGCCTAATTTATGGCCACAGCATCCCCTCAAACCCTGAGCTGCATAAATGCTATGAGGCATTAAGAAGAGAGGAGATAGCACAGGCCAGCTGGGAAGCAAGAGCCTCAGTGCTGCCTTGGGCTCAAATCCAACTTACTATGACCCTGGCCCAGCCACCTACTCTCTCTGGATCTTAATTTCTCTCTCTGCAAAACAAAAAAAGGAAGGCTCTCTGGCTTTCCTCAGATGGGCTTGCAAACTATCTCATATACATTAGATTGTCCTTTATTTGAGGTTTTTCCCCTCCAGTCTCTACTGGGTCTCCTATATTTGAAGAAGAACCAGTAAGGAGGGGCGGGCATCATACCTGTCTCATTTACAGTGTGCCCCCCTGGTGCCCTAGCAGCTTTCCTCTGGGGAATAAAGCTCAGCCATGTGACTGATCATGATGTAACATAACATAAACATCAAAGTGAGAATATGGGCTGATTCCAAAAGCAGCTTCATTACTTACCCCCTCCTCAGCTCCCACTCTGGTAACTGCCAGCAGAACTGTTGCACATGACTTTAAATAGCCTCATTGGTGGCAAATCTTCAACCTTGGAGGGTGGTTTTGATTGTTGGAAACAATTCAAAGCTATCCAGAGCCAAGAATGGTGAATAGAGTAAGAGATTAAAGCTGGGAAATACCACTTTTAGTCTAAAACAAGGTGTAACTATAATTAAATCGATCCGGGGGTTGGTCTGGATGGTCTATAATGTGTCCTCCAGCTCCAAAATGCTATGATTTTCTTGTATAAATAGAAAATGGATTCTGAAGGCAAAGGCAAAACAATCTACAGGTGTTTCCAATGAAGTAACTTCAAGGGAATCTTTGTACAATTACTCCTTCTGGGATGACTACTTTAAAGGGTAATCCTCCTTCAGATATATACCTTATTTTATTTATTTATTTATTTATTTTTTATTTTTTATTTTTTTTATTTTTTTGAGATGGAGTTTCACTCTTGTTGCCCAGGCTGGAGTGCAATGGCGCGATCTCGGCTCACCGCAACCTCCGCCTCCCAGGTTCAAGCAATTCTCCTGCCTCAGCCTACCGAGTAGCTGGGATTAGAGGCATGTACCACCAGGCCTGGCTAATTTTGTGTTTTTAGTAGAGACGGGGTTTCTACATGTTGAGGCTGGTCTCGAACTCCTGACCTCAGGTGATCCACCCGCCTTGGCCTCCCAAAGTGCTGGGATTACAGCCATGAGCCACCGCACCCGGCCCAATATATACCTTATTTCATGGATTCAGCGACCACACTTTTTTTCATATTTTTATCTCTGAAATCAGGATGCAGGAAACAACTGGTAGAGGATTGTAGTTTAATAAACATTTTTTCTTTTTTAGTGGTACATAAAGTAATGATGCATCTTTCAATCATAAAGTCAATGGCATCTTAGACTTGATAAAATATGGTAGATCCTAAACTCTTTTAATTTTACCTTTCAGTACCAGTTGCTTTAGAATAACACTTCTTATACTTTTTCACTTCTCAAGATTAGTATTTCAATTAATTAGTATTTTCACTAATCAAGGTTAGTATTGATTTTCAACGTTGGCTGCACACCCCAGAATCTCTGGGGATAGGATTCAGCCATCAGTAGTTTTTCAAGCTCTCCAGGCACAGGCCTGAAACCCCTTAAGATAACTATAGCTGTCTTGTATCCCAGGAATCCAGGCTTCTGGGAAAGCCAACACAATGGCCAGTGGTTCAGAGAAAGGGAGAGGATTTTCTGGATTGAGCCATATGTGATATCCTCCATTATCTCTGGACTTTAGTTTCGTAAGCAATACATCTTCTTTACTGATTGAGCTGGTTCAGCTTGAGTTTTCTGTTACCCAAAACCCACATAGAATGTAATCTCATCAATTGATGGAGCTAAGGAGGTAAAGGGGAAGGCAATGAAGATTTCACTAAAATGCCAGTCTCTTTGCTAAAGCATAGCAAGAGTGACCTTTGCTCCAATTCCCAGTAAGTTCCTCATCTCCATCTGAGACCACCTCAGCCTGGACTTCATTGTTCATATCACTGTCAGCATTTTGGTCAAAAACATTCAGCAAGGCTCTAGGAAGTTCCAAAGTTTCCCGCATCTTCCTGTATTCTTTTGAGCCCTCCAAACAGTTCCAGCCTCTGCCCGTTACCCAGTTCCAAAGGTGCTTCCACATTTTCAGGCATCCTTATAGCAGCACCCCCTCACTGCAGTACCAATTTACTGTATTAATCCATTCTCACACTGCTATAATGATGCTACCCGAGACTGGGTAATTTATTAACAAAGAAGATTCAATTGACTCACAGTTCCACATGACAGGGAAGGCCTCAGGAAACTTACAATCATGGTAGAAGGGGAAGCGGACACCTTCTTCACAAGGTGGCAGGAGGGAGTGTGCAGGAGAAACTACCATTTATAAAGCCATCAGATCTTGTGAGAATTCACTCACTATCACGAGAACAGCATGGGAGAAACTGCCCCCATAATCCAATCACTTTCCTTCCTTGACATGTGGGGACTACAGTTTCCTCCCTCAACACATGGGGATTACAATTCAAAATGAGATTTGGGTGGGGACACACAGCCAAACCATATCAACTATCCTGGGCCAGGAGGTTGGTCACTCTTGTTCTGAGGTAGCAAAACAGCTGATTAAACTATATAGCCTTTCTGTTTGTTTGTTTTTTTAGTGGCAGGGTCTCAACATGGTCTCAAACTCCTGGGCTCAAGCAATCCTCCCACCTCAGCCTCTTAAGTAGCTGGGACTATAGGTGCACACCACTGCACCTGGCTCCTACTATAGACTTTTTTATCTCAAGAGTCATATTGCGTATTTGCCAAGACTTCAGCATGCCAGAATTTGTTAGCAAAAATTCAAGGTGTCTGAGGGTGAAGGCTACTTTTTGAAGCTTTTAGTAAGGTTTAAAACTGCCTCACCTGAACACAGCTGGAGAAGAAAATGAGAATTTGCTAAAAGGTGACCCTTTTAGCTTGTTGTCTGCAATATAATTGCCAGGGGTCTGGCTATACATAATTAGGCTTGCAGAGTTGGAAAAGCCACATTCTCCACCTCCAGCTCAATTTTCTGCAAGTGGAGGCAAGAGGTAAGAAACCCAGCAGAGGACAGATCAGGACCCAGGAAAAGCCTAATTCTCCAGGTATTTCTCAAGTACATCTGTTAATTATCATCTGCCTAAGACAAGGATGTGTCCTCTGACAAAAATGTAGCTGTGAGCAAGAAGATTTAGAGATGCATCCTGATATGGTTTGGCTGTGTTCCCACCCAAATCTCATCTTAAATTGTAGTCCCATAATTCCCATGTGTTGTGGGAGGGACCTGGTGGGAGGTAATTGAATCATGGGGGCAGGTCTTTCCTGTGCTGTTCTCATGATAGTGAATAAGTTTCGTGAGATCTGATGATTTTATAAAGGGAAGTTTCCCTGCATGTGCTCTCTTGCCTGCTGCCACGTAAGACATGGCTTTGCTCCTGCTTCATCTTCTGCCGTGATTGTGAGTACATTAAACCTCTTTTTCTTTATAAATTGCCCAGTCTTGGGTATATCTTTATTAGCAGTGTGAGAATGGACTAATACACATCCTCACCCAGTCTGAGGTTTCCAATTGCCCCAAAGTATAGTCCATTGAGAGCCAGAGGAAAGGTAGTACATTGAGGTCTGACTCGTTGCCTGGAGATAGAATTATCCAGACCCTGTTTTAGCTTAAAAAACGAATTATCTAGCTTTGTCCAATAGCCAAAGGCCTAAAGCAACTAGACCCATAGGCTACTGGACCTGTTAGAATTGAGTTTGGTTGCTTCTACAGGAGCCTAAATATAGTGGCTTCTCCATAATATGTGTTTCCTTTTCCTCCCACTCCCAAAATAAAAGATGTATCTTAGGCATTGAGGAAATGTCTGGCACATGATGGACAAATGAGTGAATGAAGCCAGCCCCAATCATGATCAATGATATAGCTCAAAGTAAAGCAAAGGGATAGACAGTGAGAGCACAGTTTCTCAGTTTGGGCTGGGAAAGAGGGATCTATGGTGAGAGATCTGAGCCTTAAGCCTAGACCTGAGCTGCCTCTTCTTCATATCTTAGACAGATCTCTACTTTGCCCAGCAACAAACATAGTACTGAGGGTCCTCAGTGTCCTCCCTGGAGGTTTATAGACTCTTCTGTCTACTAGACTACTATTCCCTGGGAACCTTTAATGTGTTGGGTAATGGACAAGATGGATACATCCAAAATTGTTCTCTATGATAAAGATGTAATAGACAAGGGAACCAGGGACACAGTGTATCTAATTCATTTGGAAATGTAAAGAATCCAGAATAGCTATGCCATTCTTGAAAAATAAGAACAAAGTTGGAGGATTTGTACTACCAATTTCAGAACTTACTGTATACTACACTAATCAAAACAGTGTGGGGCCAGGTGCAGTGGCTCACGCCTGTAATCCCAGCACTTTGAGGGGCAGGAGGACTGCTTGAGCCCAGGAGTTCAAGATCAGCCTGGAAAACATGGCAAAACCTCATCTCTACCAAAAATACAAAAATTAGCCAGCATGGTGGCATGCGCCTATAATCCCAGCTACTCAGGAGGCTGAGATGGGAGGATGGTTTGAGCCAGAGAGGCAGAAGTTGCAGTAATCTGAGATTGCGTCCTTGCACTCCAGCCTGGGCAACAATTCCAGACCCTGTGTCAAAACAACCAAACAAAACTAGTGTGGTACAGGCATAAAGACAGACATATAGATCTATGGAATAGAATCGAGAGTCCAGAAATAAACCCGACATTTATGGCCAATTGATTTTGGCAAAGGTGCCGAGACAATTTAATGAGGGAGAGAATAGTCTTTTCAGCAAATGCTGGGATAGTTGGACATTCACGTATAAAAGGATGGCGCTCTACCCTTAACTCACACCATACACAAAAATTAACTCAAAAGCAATCATAGGTCTAAACATAAGAACTAAAACTACAAAATTCTAACAAGAAAACATAGAAATAAGTCTTTGTGACCTAGAATTAAGCAATGATTTCCTAATTACAACGCCAAAAGTGCAAATGATAAAAGAAAAAAATGGATAAATTAGACTTCATCGAAGTTGATACCTTTCTCTCTTCAAAAGACACCAAGGAAATGAAAAGACAAGCCACAGATGGGGAGAAAATATGTAAATATATTTACAAATCATACATCTGACAAGGGACTTTTAATCATATGTGTTAGACAGAATATGAGCCCCCAAAGATGCCCATGTTGTTAAGTCCTAGAACCTGGCCAATATTACCTTACATGGCAAAAGAAACTTTGCAGATGTGGCCAGACATGGTAGCTCACACCCGTAATCCTAGCACTTTAGGAGGCCAAGGCAGGTGGATCACTTGAAGTCAGGAGTTCAAGACCAGCCTGGCCAATATGGTGAAACCCCATCCCTACTAAAAATACAAAAATTAGCCAGGGTGTGGTGGCACGCACCTGTAATCCCAGCTACTTGGGAGGCCGATGCAGGAGAATCACTCGAACCTGGGAGGCAGAGGTTGCAGTGAGCTGAGATTGCACGCCACTGCACTCCAGCCTGGGCAACAGAGCGAGACTCTGTCTCAAAAAGAGCAAAAGGAAAAAGAAACTTTGCAGATGTGATTAAATGACCTTGAGATATGGAGATTATCCTGGTTTATCCAGGTGGGCTCATTCTAATCAACTGAGTCCTTACAGTTGGAGAACCTTTCCAGGTTATGGCCAGAAAAAGATATGACCCCAGAAGCAGCATCAGGGAGATGCTACATTGCTAGCTTTGAAGCTGGAGGAAGGGGCCACAAGCCAAGGAATGCAGATGATGTCTAGAAGCTGGAGCAGGCAAAGCGACAGATTCTCCCTTACAGCCTGACAACACTTTACTTTTTAGCTCAGTGAGACCCATGTCGAACTTCTAACCTATGGAACTGTCAGATAATAAATTTATGTTGTTTTAAGCCAAGAAATTTGTAGCAATTTGTCACAGCAGCAATAAAAACTAATACCCCGAATAAAGAATTCTTATTATTCAATAAAAAGACAAATAACCCAATATAAAAATGGGAAAAAGGTTTAAATAGCCATTTCACAAGACACGTGAATAGCCAAAAAGCCCAGGAAAAGATGTTCAACATCATTGGCCACTAGGGAAATGCAAATCAAAACCACAATGAGATACCACTTTATACCTGTGCCCTAATCCCTGGAACCTGTGTCCATGTTACCTTACATGGCAACAGGAACCTTGCAGATGTGATTAAAGTTAAAGACCTTGAGATGAGAAGCGTGTCTGGCTTGCCTGCACGTACACCCAGGCAATCTAGCAGGAGCCCCCAGGCCATAAGCCAGCCATTTGATCACAGGCCAGACACTTTGATCTTTAGATCCAGCCATTAGATGTCCAGTTCAGGACAAAACGTGGGTAACAGAGCAAGGAAAAAGATCCCCTTTTCACCTCTGCTACCAAGCTCAAAGAGGTTGCTATCAGATAGGATTTGAATGAAAAATCATGTGATGGTCCTGGGTTTAGTTAGGCTTTTACTGACTCCATTCATCCCGCAACACCCCGTGACCCCTCTCTGCATTTTCCTAGAGCTAGAGCTGGACATCAAAGATAAATACCATGAAAAGAAATGGCTGTGACACCCGAAGTCCCATGTACTTCTGAGACCTCACAGTAGACCACAGGGACAAAACGCTCTGTAGGGTCTCATTCTTTTAGGATCCTTGCTCAGCAGAAACAATGCACCATGGCCTGTCACTGTGGAGTGTTTCACACATACAGACTCTAGGAAAGACACACCTAAAAACAACTATACACATGAAGAAAGGTGTTTATTTCTAAATATTTCAAGTTCAACACACGTCTCACTGAGCTAATACCAAAGTGCTGGCAGCCTCTAGGGGAGGAGCTGTTTCCTTGCCTTTTCCAGTTTCTAGAAGCCATCTGCATTGCTTTGCTTCTGGCCTCTTCCTCCAGCTTTTTGACTATCATCAAAAAGATATACAGGCTGGGTGTGGTAGCCCACACCAGTAATCCCAGTACTTTGAGAGACCAAGGAGGCAGGATCACTTGAGCCCAGCAGTTCCAGGGCAGCCTGGGCAACAAAGAGTGACCCCCATCTCTACAAAAGAAAAAAAAAAGATAGGGTGTGGTGGCATGCACACCTGTAATCCCAGCTACTTGGTAGGCTGAGATGGGAAGCACTTGAGCCCAGGAGGTTGAGGCTGCAGTGAGCCATGATGGCACCACAGTACTCCTGCCTCAAAAAGGAAAGACATACAGTAACAAGTGTTGGTGAGGATGTGAAGAAACTGGAAAAACACATACATTTCTAGTGAGACTTAAAATAGTGCAGCCATTTTGGAAAATAGCTTGGCACCTTCTTAAAATGTTAAATATAGAGCCTATAATAAACATAGAGTATGTAGACATGTGATCTATTAGTTCCACTCCTAGGTATCTGCCCATAAGAAACAAAAGCATATGTCTATATGGACATGAAGACCTGAATGGGAATTTTTTTTTTTTTTTTTTGAGACAGGGTCTTGCTCTGTTACCCAGGCTGGAGTGCAGTGACATGATCATGGGTCACTGCAGCCTTGACCTCCTGGGCTCATGTGATCCTGCCGCCTCAGCCTCCCAAGTAGCTGGGACCACAGGTGTGAGCCACTACACCCAGCTAATTTTTTATGAATTTTTGTAGACACAGGGTCTCACTATGTTGCCCAGGCTGGTCACAAACTCCTGGGCTCAAGTGATCTGCCCACTCCCAAAGTGCTGGGATCACAGGAATGAGCCCCATGCCCAGCCTGTATGGGAATATTTATAGCAGCACCCAGCTTGGGCAACATAGGGAGATCCCATCTCTATAAAAAATTTTTTTAAAAATTCAGCTGAGGGCTGGGCGTGGTGGCTCATGCCTGTAATCCCAGAACTTTGGGAGGCCAAGGTAGGCAGATCACAAGGTCAAGAGTTTGAGACCCCCCTGGCCAACATGGTGAAACGCCGTCTCCACTAAGAATACAAAAATTAGCCGGGCATGGTTGTGGGTGCCTGTAATCCCAGCTACTCGGGAGGCTGTGGCAGGAGAATCACTTGAACCTGGGAGGCAGGGGTTACAGTGAGCCAAGATCATGCCACTGCACTCCAGCCTAGGTGACAGAGCGAGACTCTGTCTCGAAAAAAAAAACAAAAAAAAAAAAATTTAACCAAGTGTGGTGGCACACGCCTGTAGTCCCAAACACTGTGAAGGTTAATGTGGGGGTATCAGTTGAACCCAGGGGATTCAGGCTGCTGTAAGCCTTGATCACACCACTGCACTCCTGTCTGGGTGATAGAGACCCTGTCTAAAACTAATAATAATAAAAAATTTATAGCATCATTATTCATTATAGTCCAAAGTGGAAATAACTCATTAGTTCATCAATCGGTGAATGGATAAACAAAATAGTAAATAATAATATATAAATAATAAGAAATAAAGTACCAATACATGCTACAACACAAATGAACCTCAAAAACATTACTCTAAGTGAAAGAAGCCAGTCATAAGGACCACATATTGTATGATTCCATTCAAATAAAATGTCCTGAATCAGGAAGTCTATGGAGACAGAGAGCAGACTGGTGGTTTCCTAGAGCTGGAGTGGGGGAAGTGCTGGGGGGTGACTGATGGCTAAGAATACAGAGTTTCTTTATGGTGCAATAAAATGTTCTAACTTAAATCGTGGTGATAGTGGCAAAACCCTGTAAATATACTAAAAATCATTGCATTGTACACTCAAGATGAGTGAACTTTATGGTATGTAAATTATACCTCAATAAAGCTAAGGAAGAAGAGAAGAACGAGCAGAACTCTGCATTGTGGAATTATCAAACCCTTCAAGTGCAGCCTTCCTGGAGGCAGGAGGTAAACCTTCAGCCTCAGGAGCCCAGGGATTGAAAACTCCCATTTGCACAGACCTAGCTGGGTTCCTAGTTGTACTGATTAAATATAGAATTTGATTTGATTCCAGTAGCCTATAACACTGGGCAAGATTAGTCAGAGCTTCCCAGAGAGAAAAGGAAGTCTTTTTGGGGGACAGCTCACTAAGACCGATGAGATTAAGGAATGAATTTGGCAAGAGGAAAGGATACGGCTACAGTATCCATGATTGCCAACCAGAAAATAGGGCACATGCAAACATACTTGGAGAACAAAGGGACAAATTACATGAAACCAGGTCTGGCCAAATGGGTATAGCCATATTAACCTCTGTCTGTACTCTGTTCCCAGAGGGTTCAAAGAAGAAAATCTAGGTCTTGTGGCTGACCTGGTTCTAAAAGAGCTTGGCTCCCAGGCCAGGATGTGGGGGTGCAGTCACTTTATAATAAATGGCAACATACAAGCAGGCAGGAAACTCATGTGGGAATCAGTCTGTTGTTAAAGCAAGGCCCCAGGTTGCCTGTGTTCTGAATACACGAAACTCATCCTCATCCATCTATCTTCACACCTGAGAGAGAGAAGGTGCTGTAACAAGCATCTTGATATATATGCATCTACAATCTGGTTATGAGGTTATCAAGCAAGAAAGACGCCCCGAGGGAATGCAGATGCTTTTTTCATAGAGGAAACGGTGAGTAAATAGCTGGAATTTATCTTAAGGGAGATAATAGAAGCACTTCTTTAAAAAGTGGAAAAAACAATATTTTCCCCCAGAGTGTTAAAGCCTTTCCAGGTTTAGATCATGTTTCTCATTAATGGGTTTCCTAGCCAGATTCATCTTAGGTCCATGAGACAAGGAGAGAAGTGGATCTGCCTGGTCAGTGGTTTTAAAACAAGCCAAGTTGAGGAGGGAGGGAGGGAGGGAGAAAGACATCAGCACCCCCCAAACTTGGCCTTCGTTTCTGCCCAACCTCAGAGCTTCTTGGAGGACAGCCCAAGAGCATACACAGCTCATGGCCTCAGGGATACTGGAAATTTCTGGAAGAAGCTTCTGCTTCTAAGTCTGCTGGGATCACTATATGTCATCGCTGTCTCAGTGAGGGCCTTTGGCCTTGTTGCCTACATAAATGTAAACACTAAATGTATTTGCTTTACTGACCTATTTGTGTAAGAACTAGCTTTGCTGGCTGAGACAGTCAATGAGATCACGAATATGGAAGCCTTTGAGAATCGGGGAGCACAGGGTGGGGAGATGCAGGAGAAGTGGCCAGGAAAAGTATTTATTGAAAACATTTAAAGGCTAAGCACTTTCCTTTAGATTATTTCATTACTTTCTATTTTTAAAATCATAAGGTAGGCATTTCCACTAACAGAGAGAGAAACTGAGGCTCAGGAGTTATATGGCACATCTGACCCAAGCTGTAAGTGGCAGGGCAGGAATGGAACTTTGGAAGGCCGAGGCGAGCAGATCACTTGAGGCAAGGAGTGTGAGCCACTGCGCAGGGCCGATCTTTTTTTTTTTTTTTTACTTTATTTTTTACTTTTAAATTAATTAATTTTTTCTTAGAGATTGGGTCTTGCTATGTTGCCTAGGCTGGTCTCAAACTACTGGACTCAAGCAAACCTCTCACCTCCACCTCTGAAAGAGCTAGGATTACAGGCATGAGCCACTGCACTTGACCCTGAAAGGCCCCATCATAGATGTTCTTTAATGACCATTCCAGCTATGACACATGGTGGATTTTTCCCCAGCCTTCTCCTCCTGCAGAGGGTTCCCTCAGAGCTGGTGAGCTCCTGCGTGCCTGCCACTGCTCTGTTCCCTCCGCATCCCCAGAATGCATCTCCTGGCAGCCTGTTTCACAGGTGTGCACACTTACCTTCATGAAAGCCCTGAGGTTAAATGACTTGCTCAAAGTCACACAACTGGCTGCCAGAGCAAGGACTTTAGCCTGCACAACCTGGCTGCAAGTCCAGAGTTTTCCACACCACCATCTGCCTCCTCAGACAGTGCTCAAGCAGCACCCAGGCCTCCCAGGGAGAATGCCCTCCACCCCACTGGCCTGCAGGCCATTAGGCTCCCTGCAGGAGCAGAGCTCTTCCTCTTGTCTTCTGCATCCAGCACCCCTCACCTTTGTGCTGGCCTTCAGCACAACCACACCTTCCCAAGCCTGTCCCTGATGTCCCTTGGGTACACCTGGGTCATGTGTGTTTGGGAATGAGAAACAGGTTCATCAGTTCTATTTTGAGCTGTCTTGTCCATAGGACAAGATCAAGATCCATGGGCATCTTCCTGAATTCTTCTTCCCGTGGGAGCAGACATTCTACCTCATGCAACTTTTAACTGGACAAACCAACTATGTGTCATTAACGCTGTGTTTCTCTTCCAGTCCCAAGTGTGGAACTTTAATTCTTTCTGTCAAAGCTCCCTCTAGATCTGTGATGTGGTAGCCAGGAGTCTTATGAACGCATGAGCCGGGGACACTGGGCAGGGTAGCGAGGGTTCTAGCTGTGAATGCAGGAAGCCACCATGGGTAGTGCCACTCAAAACTTTTGGTGGCAGAAATGAGGCTCTTGTCCTAGAGGGACATCTGTAAGCAAAGTCCTGGCTTGAGATTTCTAATATCTATTAATTATTGTGCGCGAGCTTAGGTAGAGAGGAAAGATGGAGAATGATGGCTAGATGGCAGTTGATGGGTGTTAAATAATAGATAGTAGCTGGTAGATAGTAGGTAACTATAGACAGTAGAGAATAAAAAGTAGCTGACCGATTGTTGCACATGGCAGGTAATAGATAGTAGCCGATAGTAGATCACAGATAACAAATGGAAGATACCAGATAATGGTTAAGGATAATAGAAGCTGATAGTAGATAATAGTAGATCGTTGATAAGAGTGGCTAATAATGGATAATAGGAGCTAGGTGATAATAGTAGCTAATGGTGGCTAATAGTTGGTATTGATAATAGTTGCTAATAGAGGGCAGTGCTATAGCAGGTAATAGTGCTGGCTGTAGATCATAGCTGATAGCTCATAGGTAGTGGCCTAAAAGACCACTAAATACAGAGTCTCCTAGTTCCATCTATTATTCTAAATGGCTGAAAGACACACTTGGACAATCTTGTGTGAGCCTGTCCTGAAGTTTCTGGAACCCAAAGTGACTGGGGTGGGGGACACTCAACCCAGTAGTGATAAAACTTTGTTTCCAGTTTAATGTCCTTCTTTAACTAGGTGTAGGATCTCAGGTCCACCATGAAACCCTAGGATGCCTCATTGCTAAGGAAGGGGATGGATCATAATCCCAGCTCTACCCACGCCAGAAGGCAAAATGAGGATCTACAATAGCGTAAACACTCTTTGACATTTCACAGGTTGATGCAGGAGTCAAAAGGCCAGCAAAGCTGGCGAAAGCCCAGCTGCAGGAGGCTGACCATTGGCCCTGGTTCGTAGGCAGAGGGGATAACTGTGTTTTGCAACCTCACAGTCAGCAGGGCACCCCCACAGTCAGCAGGGCACTGCAGGGGGCAGGGACAGCATGTGGCTGACAGGCTAGCCCAACTGCTGATAGGCCAAGGATATCTTTTCTGGCTGTTCGCAAATGCTCACAATCATAATGTTCTCCTCACACTGTCCAACAGTTTCTGTTGTTTTGCTGATGGCTTCCTCCACTGTACTTGCAGTAAAATCTAAACACCTCATCAGGATCCACAAGGTTCTCCCTGATCAGGTACTTACAAGCTTTCTGACCTCAGCCCTGTCCTCTCCCCACCATCCACACGGTTGCAGGGACTTCTGCTTGCTCCTCAGACAAGCCACACTCATTCCTTCACACAGGGCCTTCCCACTTGATGTTCCCTTCTCCTAGAACAGTCCCCCAGCATCCACACCCTGAGCTGTGTGCATGGCTGGTTCCTTCTCACCATTCAGGCCTCCGCTCATCTGTCACCTCCTCAGAGAATGCTCCCCACTCCAGTCACTCTCCAACACATCACTCTGTTGTATTTCCTTCATAGCATTTAATCCCTATCTCAAGTGATCTGTTTTATTTACATGTTAAGTTGTTCAATGTCTCTCTCTCTCTTGCACTCAGATGTGACTTCCATGCAGCCAGGGCCCTTGCTATCTTTTCAGTGAAGTTTCCCCAGCACCAAGAACAGTTCTCAGCATGTAGTCGCATCTCAATGAACGATGAATGAATCAATGAATGCAAATGAACAAATGAATGCAATGTTGAATGAATCAATGAATGCAAAAAAAAAAAATGCCATTGCATCTGCAACAAGATGGAAGCTCTGGGGCCACACAGGCTGGGGTTCTGAGATAGCTCCCCTTCAAACTGGCCATGGGATGTTGGACAAGTTACTTAACCTCTCTTCTTATCTTTAGTCAGTTCAGTTACAAACCTCAGAATGATATCAACGACATTGAACTTGATCTAGGCCCTGCGTTCCCGAAGGTTGACAAACCCCTCCAACCCTCTTGTGTTCCCCAAAATGGCTAAGCTGCGCTCCAATATTCCCAGAAAACACCCACCTCACCAGTCCTCAGCGACTCAGATAGGACCCTCCGCTACCTTTCTCATGACTCCCATAAGACTCACTGATGGGTCCCTTGCTTACCTGCCCCTATAAAATCCTGGGCCCCCTTCCTTCTCTTTTAGACACTCCTCATTAATGAGCACTCTCCCCATTGCAAATAGCCTTAATAAAATCATCTTCTTAATTAACCGGTGCATTCTGTTTTTCACAATATTTTTCCCCTTGCAGACTTAATGTGAGGATTAAGTGAAATAACATGTGTGAAAATTGTATTGCAAAACACCTTCAATGTAATTTTCCCTCGATGGGATTTGAATGATCTCCAATGATTCTCTAGATTGAGGCAGAATATTGGTCCACTCACAGGTCACAGAAAAATTAACCACAAAACATAATCATGGTTACTCAGGACTCCAAACCCCATTACCTCTGCTCCCATGAAAAAGAGGAGAGGGGCCAGGTACAGTGGCTCACGCCTGTCATCCCAGCACTTTGGGAGGCCGAGGCGGGTGGATCATTTGAGGTCAGGAGTTCAAGACCAGCCTGGCCAACATAGTGAAACTCCATCTCTACTGAAAATACAAAAATTAGCTGGGTGTGGTGGCAGGTGCCTGTAGTTCCAGCTACTCAGGAGGCTGAGGCACAAGAATTGCTGGAACCTGGGAGGTAGAGGTTGCAGTGAGCCGAGATCATGCCACTGCACTCCAGCCTGGACAACAAGAAGGAAACTCCATCTCAAAAAAAAAAAAAAAAAAGGAAAAAAAAAAGAAAAAGAGGAGAGGAAAATGCCTACCCTATTTTTATTACATATATATCCATATATATCTCTCTATGCATATATATATTTCCATGCATATGCTTCGTATATATCCATATGATATGCATTAATATGTAAATAAAATACACAGTACCTACTATAATATTAGAAACTATTTTGGTGTCTCCCGCATATTGTGTGACAAGCACTATGTACTAGCTATTATTATTCCCATTTTTCGGGTGAGGAAACAGTCTTAGAGAAGGTAAGTGATTCATTTGTCCAATGTCACACCACTTATTAATGACAAAGCTGGAATTTGAACCCAGGTCTAACTAACCCCAAAGCTCATGCCCTTTTCCTCTACTATCTTGCTAACTATCATTCATTTAACATGTATGTTAAGTGCTTTCTCCGGGCTTATCACAAAGAGGAAAAGGTTGTTTAGACAAATGTTGCCCTCAAAAAGCTGCCAGTCCACTTTCTGAGGCAAGACTGAGATCCTGGGGCCAATGAAGAGATCATACAAAACAGAGTTGACAAATAAGATCTTGAGGGAGAGGTTCATAGAAGGAAAAAATCAATGTGCACCAAGGAGGCTGGAGGTGCATGCACTGTTTTATGAGTGTGCTCAATAAACAGACTGGATGAATAAATGATTTAATTAACACCTAGGGATGAGATGAGATTTCATTTGGGCTTTAATTATGACTTGCCCCAACACCTCTAGTCCTTCCATTGTCATAGGAAGGTTGTGAAGGCTCATTCTGACCCCAGTGGGCTTCTCCCCTGCATAGCTCCCTCCTGCCACCACTCCCCAGAGGGCTGGGTTTGCATTCCTAGAGAAAAGACCTTCAGCTGGGAACCCTAATTCTTTCGCAGGTGGCACGGTGCCTTCCAGCTCCCCACGTGACTGTCTCCTAAGATCCTCCCTAAAAGCTGACGATGTTTAAGTTATGGAAATTAAGGAGCAGGCACATTCCTCAATTCCCGGCATGGCACAATGGCCATTAACCAATTAATAACTGGGCATGTGCCAGCCAGTATCAGGGTAATTATTACATGGTAATTGCCATATCATTAGAGGGTAAATATAGGGTCGGACTGTCATCCACCCCGAAGAGGGCAACTGGGAATTCATTTTATTCCTATTAAGCATAATTACTCCCCAGTCTCTGGGAACCTGTGATTTCCAATATAATTATATAGTGTTTGCCAACTCCATCCACAAGGGATGGGGTTCAAAAACAGACAGTGAGGGGCAGACTAGGGAGGTGTGGGGCAGGAGCTCAAAACTCACAGCAGCTTCGGGGTTTAGAAGCTAAATCTATTGGGCATATCCAAAGATAAAAGGGCCAAGTAAGGGAAAGAAAGAGAGAAGGTAGTTTCATCGAGATTTCATAGAATCCTCTTTTATGAACATCTAGAAAGGAAATTATACAGGCCTTCATTATCCAAAATCTCCCATAGATGGTATCATTCACTCGTTCATTTCATCCAAGGCAATGGCATGAGTATTACCACATACCAGGCATTCTGCATAGCACTGGAGACAGAAAGGAAAATCAAACAGGGTGCCTGGTTTTTAAGAGTCCAGGTGGTTGCATGGAGCATGCCATCTTCATCCCTCATTTTACAGATCGGGAAATTGAGGTTCCCTGGTTGGCTACCCTTGCTCATCTCTCTCCAAGAAATAGAACAAACAACCTAAAAAGCAGAAGGTCACCTACAACGCCAAAAGGCACCTTCTCACTTGTAGACCAAGAACCTTTAATGCTTGACAGGAAGCCTGCAGGTGTGACAATTGAGACATAAAGGTGATAAAGAACCCTAAGAGCTGCCAGATGAGAGCAATAGGAAGCAATGTTCCCAGCCATGGAAGATGTGAAGCTCTGACCCTGTGCAATCTGGGCCCTCCAGAGACACCACTTTTCAAGCTAATGTGTAACAATGCCATATATCACCTTTAAAGAGAACTTGCCTCTAATAAACATTTACATCAAAAGTATTTTTCTATAAATCAAGTAACAAATCCCCGGCCTATCTGAGACATGCTCTGTATCTGGGAGCCTCACTATTAAATCAAGTATTGTAATTTGCTTCAGAATTGTTCTGCCAAAAGGTTGAAATACACAGACTCATAGCTCGTCAATCTCATGGGTTGGTGGGAAAGCCCTTTTGGTTTTCTCTTTATTATTCAAGCCTTCTTTCAGTTTCCCATCTGGCTACCCTGTAGTGCTCTCAGGCTCGAGGGCACTGGATTGGGGAGGATGGGTTGCTGGTTCAGCTAGCAGAAGAGGCAGGGGATTAACTAGATCAGAAGCCTTTGATTATCTTCCAGTGATGTAAAAAAAAGAAAGCATAACAACAACAAAAATAGTACACTAATAGCTACATTAATAAACCTATTACATGCTAGGCACTGAGGTGGTGCTAGGAAGAAAGAGGAGAACCAGATGGACAGGGGCCCTGCCTCCATGGAATTTACAATTCAGCGATTTACAAGAACATTTACATCTAGTGTCACATTTAATCCTCACAACCTGGTAGGATTAGCCCCATTCTGCTGATGAGGCTAAGTGAACCACTCAGCTTCCTACAGCTAGAAACAGGCAAGGCAAGGCTTTCTACCCAGATCTGTCTGGTTTCAAGCTCGTTCTATGCCCCAAATACCTTCCTGTGTACAAGAAAGCGTAGTTCTCAGAACACTAAAAAATCCTCTACTTCAATTCCCACGTGGCCCTGAGGTGTGACGTGTTGTCTCCTGTCCACCCAGCTTGCCAATAACTGCTCTTCAATTGTGTGTTTATTGTCTCTGTGGCACACTGTTACCATTGCAGTAAAATGTATACTCAATAATACAGTACTACTATGATTTTCAACTACTAATGGAATCACTATCTTTTTTTTTTTAAAGCCATGGCAATAAAATTGGCTCCAAACAATACTCTTGCAGTTTTTTTATGTCTTTCAAATTTACTGGAAACTGTAATAACAGAATGCCTGTAAACATGCAAATGGCCTTCCTGGAAAAAGAGAGGCTTTGGTTTCTATCATAGGGGGGGCTCACAGATTGATAAGAGCTTAGAAAGAAGGGGCTGAGAACCCCTTGGAGGTCAAGAGGAGTCTGGGCCACATGAATCCAACCTTAGATGTTTGGTGATTCAAAGAGTGAAGAGCCATCCCTTCTCCATGCCAAGAGCACCCAAGAAGGACTGTGGTAAAGAGAAGAGAAGTTGAGGAAGAGCTGGATATACCAGGAGTTCTGGATGGCCCTCTTATGGGAAGAGGGTATGATCAATGTGTGCCACACTCTGGTTTCTAGTCCAGGGTTTAGGGCCAAATTGGAGGGCAAAGGTAGACAAAAGGAGAAACAGACACTAACCAAAAAGATAGTCCTAATCTTGAACCCTCTCTGAAATTAAGACCACCTGAAATATGAGTCTCAGAAGATGTCCTCCCCAGGGATCTCAATCTGTGGCTCTAAACTTTGGCCCAGAATGGTCACCATTTCCTTAGGTTAAGACACAACTCCAGAAGGGCCATGCCAAATTCCAAGTACATTATAGTTAGTATGACATAGTCCCATTCTGGTAGCGTTTAGTTTATAAATCTTTCTCCGAGAGCAGCACTCTCATGGAAGAAGACTCCAGATAAAGAAAATTTGATGGGGGTTTGGAGGGTGAGATAACCTAGAAGTTTCAGAGAACAAAGGAGAGAAGCAGGTCTGGCTGGACCCCCATAATGAGAGAGGAGAAAGCCTGGACAAAAGATCAGTGGGAGGAAAGAAAGAGGGATAAGTTCAAGAAAGCGGTGGAGGGAGGAGAAAGAAGGAATCTTATTTCACCAAAGACAAAGTCCCTAAACACAGGAGTGGGAGAGCAAGTAGAGGCAGGACCTGCTGGAGTATACTTGGTTGCGGGGGCCACGATAGGCCTTGATGCTTAACTGGAGAGCCTGGAATGGAAAGCAGGGAAGCATCAAAAGCCAAAGCTTCAGGGAGATACCCAAAGAAAAGAACCACAAGGAAGAGAGTGCTTTGAAAAGGAATTTGCCCAGGAGACCAGAAAGGCATGAGAACTAAGTAGCCCAAACATCAGGGCATAAGGAATAAGTCAGCCAGCCTGACTAATGTACTCGTCTGAGTCACATCAAATTAAGTGACCAGGCTGTGATTATGGAGCTTGCCAACAGGTACATATTCTACACTCAGAACTTCCTCACATGACAACTGATGGATCTGGCTCAGGAAGCATGGATGCCTTCCTAGGAGATGAGACTAAGTACTCATGAAAGTGGGCAGAAGTTTCCCCCATGGGGATCCTTAGCCTGTTTCATCACCTGAAGTGGCACAGAAATGAGTGCAAAGGAAGAAGCTGAAGGCCTGGAGATCTGTTTTCCCAAGCAGGCCCATGTGCAATGCATGCTCCCGACCCCTCCCCACTCCTGGCTACCCTCAGTTTGTCCACATTATCTGCACCCTCACCCCCATCCCAGCCCTCAAATTATCCAAATCTACTCTCATTTTACCAACAACACCCAAGCCTGACTCTGCTCATCCCCACCATGGGGCTTCAGATGTCAGGGAATAGTCCAGTCCCAGAGCCTGCTTCAAGGACCCTCAGGAGCCCGGCTGAGCTGGGCCAGGACCCAGCGGTGCACACACCATCTCCTGTGACCCCTACATTGGAGGATATCCAGTTTGATCAAGCAGCGACTGACATTTGAAGAGCAAGAGGGCCAGGCTGGAAGCCACTGGATAGGCAACTTCAGAGAAAAGAAGCAGACACAGCAGGAGCTGAGTGATAGACAGAAATGATTTGGTGCCCACTCTGCTGCAGGCTTCCAGTGAAAAGAAGGTGAGGCCGCCTGGGAGGCAGGCAGGTGCTATGGGGGACAGGTCTGGGTACACACTTGCATCTGCTACAGATTGATTCATGTAAGCGATCGCCGAGTCTCTGCAACTCCATGTGGAAAATAATCTATGGCCAGTTTCTAAGAGCACCTCCCTTTCCCCACCATTCAGCACATTTCTAGGGCTCTCTCCAGACGATCCAAGTCCCCACCAGGATTGCCGACCCAACTTCTCTGCCTCTTCAAATTCTTTCCACTCTTAAAAGCCTAGCCCAAGTCCCCACCTACCATGAAGCCTTCTCTAAAGACCCCAGCCCAGGAGGAGCAGCCCCTCCTGACCTGTAAGACTCATGTTGCCTGTCTCCATCCATGGCTTTGTCATGGGCCCCCCTGTCTAAAGCTGGTTCACTTTTCCTGTATCACAAATAGAGTGTAAGCTCTTTACAGTCAAGGAAGACCCTGTCATATACTGTTCTAGTGTCCTTTACAGCCTCCTGTAAGCAAGTGCTTATAGTAGTTTTATATGTCAACTTGACTGGGTTAGGGGATGCCCAGAGAGCTGGCAAAACATTATTTCTGGGTGTGTCTGTGTGGGTGTTTCTGGAAGAGATGAACATTGAATGGGTAGACTGAGTAAAGAAGGCCTACCCTCTCCAACATAGGCAGGCACCATCCAATCCGTTGTGGGCTTGAATAGAACAAAAAGGCCCTGGAAAGGCTAATTTGTACTTTCTTTTTTCTTTCTCTTTTTTCTTTTTCTTTTTTTTTTTTTTTTTCTGAGACAGAGTTTCACTCTTGTTGCCCAGGCTGGAGTGTAGTGGTGCGATCTCGGCTCACTGCAACCTCCGCCTCCCGGGTTCAAGTGATTCTCCTGCCTCAGCCTCGCGAGTAGGTGGGATTACAGGCACCCGCCACCACACCTGGATAATTTTTTGTATTTTCAGTAGAGATGGGGTTTTACCATCTTAGCCAGGCTGGTCTCAAACTCCTGACCTCAGATGATCCTCCGGCCTCAGCCTCCCATAGTGCTAGGATTACAGGCATGAGCCACCCCACCTGGCCTAATTTGTACTTTCTTCTTGAACCTATGATAATCATCTTCCCCTACCCTTAAATATGAGAGCTCCTGGTTTTTGAGCCCCCAGACTCAGACTAAATGACACCAGCTTTTCCAGGTCACCAGCTTGCAGAAGGCAGATTTCAGGATTTCTCAGCCTCTATAATCATGTGAGCCAGTTCCCATAATAAATCTCTTCATAGATATACAAATATATCCTATTGGTTTTGTTTCTCTGGAGAGCCCTGACTAACACAATGCTCAATAAAAACTTCTTTATGAATCAGTATCAATAAGAACAGTGATCTCTTACAGGCTTTTATTGAGAAAGAGCTGATAACAGTTCAAGTTCTGGCTCTTTTCTTCTTTGTGAGCTCAGGCAATTTATTTAGTTTTTCTATGCCTCTTTTCTCACAGGTACAGTGCAGAAATTGAGCCCTACCTCATGGTGTTTTAAACCCAACGAAATAATGTATGTTAAAGGTTTCACATGACCATGGGCACAGAACAGGTGCTCAGGCAGTGCCAGCCTCATCCTACCCACCAAGTTTATTCAGTGCTTTCTGTTTGACAAAACTCTTCCCCGTATGTCATCTTAGATGAGCCTTGCGACAACCCGCTGGGGTATATTCTATTAGTATGCCCGTTTTACAGGTGAAGAAACTGAGGTCTGGGAGTTCATGTAACTCTAGCCCAAAACGACCCCATTAGTGAATCCCAGAAACAGCCTTCCTCCCCCCACCTCCCCCGCCCAACAGGGAGATCTAGGGTTTCACTCTGTCACCCAGGCTGGAGTCCAGTGGCATAATTATGGCTCACTGCAGCCTTGAACTCCTGAACTCAAATGACCCTCCTGAGTAGCTGGGACAATAGACATGCACCACCACACCTGGCTAAGTTTCTTTGGGGTTTTGTTTGTTTGTTTGTTTTTTGTAGGGATGAGATCTCGTTATGTTGCCCAGGCTGGTCTTGAACTTCTGGCCTCAAGTGATCCTCCCACCTTGGCATCCCAAAGTGCTGGGATTACGGGCATGGACCACCTTGCCCAACCCAGAAGCAGCCTTCTAATGTAGTCCATATGACTTCAAAGTTCAGGCTGCCTGGCCAGGACCATGTGGCATCAAAGCAGTGCCCAGAAGTGATGCCTGTGAAGATGCTGTCTTAAGTCTTAGGTAGAATAACAGGAACTTGCTAGGGGCAAGCCCCAAAATTCAACTAACGGGGTTATAATAAATAGATGAGCACAGAGACGCAGGGGCTGTGGGTGGGAGCAGCCTTCTCACACTGACCACCACCCTGGTGCAACAAGGGTACACAGCTAGCAGGACCAAGCTGTGGCCAGCATCCTGCATGAGGGAGCACAGTTGATTGTGCCTTAGTCAGGATGCTGAGGAAGAGGAATTCAGCTGCAGGCAGTCTCCATGGCAATGGTAATGGAGAAGGGATGCAGCCAGCTCTTCCTGGCCCAGCCCTTCTGCTAGGGACAGAAAAACAAGCTCTCCCAGGTGCTTCCTGACCAGTAACATCTAAAGTCTAAGCCCTCCTTATAGCTGCTCCATCACAAGACTGGGGTGGGGGGCGTGGCGGGAGGACAAAGTAACTGAGGGAATTTCAGGAGAGCCGAGAAAGCCTCCATGGCCCCAAATGTCTCCCCCACCATTATGAATGCCATCTGGAGATATTCAACCTAAGGCTTCAAGGAGCTGGGGGAGGGAGGGGGCATGGAGGGAAAGGTTCCTTGATGGTCACCAGCTGTGTGTCAAGCATTGCATTACATCCTTCAGGTCCACCTCCTTTGATCCACACGATATCCTTCATGAGGAAGATATCAGCATCCGCATTATATGGACAAAGACAGCAGAGACTCAGAGAAATGAAGCACGCACCAGTGCTTAGTCAAGTCAAAATGTGAGCACAGACCTGTCTGATTCAAAATATGTGACTTTGAAGGGGTAACATATCCACATTTTATCACGAAAACCTTTGGGGGTTGGGGCTCATAACTGCTAGTTGAGAGAAAGGCTGAGGACATGGAATAAAACCTGGGGCAGGGCCAGGCCACAGGGAGAGTCTTGGGAATTTTTAGGGATGAGCCCCAAATTTCAACGAAGGGGGTCAGAATTTAACGTGTCCTCCTCCTCCCTCACACCCTTTCTGTCAGGAATACGACAGGCTGGAGGAGGAAGGTGAAAGGTGTGGTTTAGAAAGACTGTGGTATACATGTTTGGCACCCACTTCGAGAGGGCAGATGGGTGGGGTGGGTGAGAGAGGGCCTGTCCTCCTTCCCTGCCACAGCCAGAGAGAGACCGTTCCCCACGACTGCACACTTGTATTAAAAAGAATCCGGGAAATAATTACTGGATGGAGAGGATTTATTAAATTGGATAAGTCCTGGATACAGCCTTCTTTTTAGGGTTTGAGTGGTTTGTGTATTTTTTTCACTAAGGCTGCATAATAAAATAATGGCATAATTAGTGAGGAATTTGTTACCTTTCAAGGAAGAGTCTTTAATTCCTCTGAAGAACAGCTCTCCTCCCCCAGGCTCCATCTCTGCGATGGTACGAGGAGGAAATAAGGGGAGAAAGGAGGGCTGCCCTACCCATCAACAGTTCCTAGAGGTGGGAATTACAGGTCGCCACCCCACAGGCTGGAGTGCAGTGGTGTGCTCTTGGCTCACTGCAACCTCCACCTCCTGAGTTCAAGCAATTCTCCTGCCTCGGCCTCCTGAGTAGCTGGGACTACAGGCACATGCCACCACACCCTGGCTAATTTTTGCATTTTTAGTAGAGATGGGGTTTCACCGCGTTGGCCAGGCTGGTCTTGAACTGCTGACCTCAGGTGATCCTCCCGCCTCGGCCTCCCAAAGTGCTGGGATTACAGACATGAGCCACCACACCTGGCCCGTCCACCTTTCTTGGACTCACATTGGCCTCTGCCAGTGTTTCCAAAATGTGTGGTTCTCAAACAGCCTCATCAGAATCTAGGTAAAATGCAGATAACTGGGATCCATTCCTACATAATCCAGGAGGACAGTGGATATGCAGGCATCCACATCCGGCACACTGAGCGATTGTTACTCCTGCTAAAGCTTGATAACCACTGGTTCACCCAGGAACTCTGTGGGGGTAGGCGGGGTGTCAGGAAAGGGAGGACTTGGTGCTCATGGGAGAGGAGGAGAGTCGTGTGCCCCCTTTGTTCCCTCTATAACATGAACAGTTAGGAAGATCCTTGTTTAGTATCAAGCCTGGCTACCATCCCTTCTCCTATTTGTTCCTCACTTTTCCCATCTGCATAATAGGAGATTGTGCTAGATATTCTAAGTTCCCTCCCGTTCAGCCCTGAGATTCTTTGCTTCAATGACCCATTATCAACCAACTCCTTATCATCTATTATCCCTCCCAAGTTCAGGCAGAAGTGACCCTGTGATGGTGATGAAAGAAACGGAAAGTCAGGACAGGTTAATTCTGAAAAGGACTCTCCTTCTCAATTCTAAAAGTTAAAGCTCTGGTCCCTAGTCAAACACAAATATCCCTGGGCAGGGTGACAGTTTAGGCTGCTGACAGGTTCTTTATTCTTGACAGCAGATTTTAATAGGAGGAAAAGAATGGAGAGAAAGATGTTAAGACTGTTTAGATATGAAAGAGGTAAGAGGATGAAGAACTATATAAGTGCTCTGGGAGCCCAGAGTCTGAATTCCAGGCCGAATGTAACAGTGAGAGAACTCTAACATAGTTGACTCCATCTTGCTTCTAACCTCACGGGTTGTCTTCGCTCCTTTCTGCTGGTAGTCAGAAATGGGAGGAATTTACTCTATAGTTTAACTTTAAAGCAAGGATGATAATAGTTCTTTCCTAAAACTAACCCCCAAAGAGATAAGAAGTGCATACACGCAAGTAATAATGTTATGCTAAAGATTTACAGGCGAGGCCGGGCAGGTGCAGTGGCTCACGCCTGTAATCCTAGCACTTTGGGAGGCTGAAGTACGAGGATTGCTTGAATCCAGGAGTTAAGACCAGCCTGGACAACATGGTAAGACCCCATCTCTACATAAAAATACAAAAAATTAACCAGGCATGGTGGCGCACACCTGTAGTGCCAGCTACTCAGGAGGCTGAGATGGGAGAATTGCTTGAGACCAGGAGGTGGAAGTTGCAGTGAGCCTGGGTGACAGAGTGAGACCCTGTCTCAAAAATAAATAAATAAATAAAAAGATTTATAGGAGCACTGTGACCTGACCAAGGACAAAGAAGTGATGCAACCCCCTTGGACTCCTGTTGATGCCCAGATGTCTGTGGTCACCTGTCACCTCCTGACCTCTAACCCTCCTTGCTCCCCCTTCCCAATATGAAAAAAAGCTCAATATCTATGCCTTTCAAGATGGTTCTTCAGGGCATTATTCCACCATCTTCTTGGCTTGCTGGCTCTCTGAGATAAAGTCACTTTCTTGCCCCAGCACCTTGTCTCGTGACTTACTGACCGCCATGAGGTGAGCTTTGGACTCAGCTACCCTAACACTGCCATGTGTAACTGCATGATGACAATGTTGACTTTTATCTGAGCCCTGTAATCCTAGAAAACAGTGAAGGTTAAGAAATCCACTCAACTTTTTATTCTGGAAAACAGTGTACCTATAAAAACAAAAACACTTTCCATATGACTTAGATAGGACTCACAGATGCGTGCCCCACCTCCCACCACCGTCTTGTTTACTTATGTCAAGGCCAGACACAGACCCTCCCCAGTCTCTTTCTTTGCCGCATAAATGATTAATTGAATGCTTGTCCCCACTGACTAATAAGAACAAAATGCTTGTTAACCAAACTCTGGTTAAACTTCTCTCCTTCCTCCAGGTTCTGAACTCTGGCTCGCCCTCAGCCTGAGCCGCAAAATAGTCTGGCCTCGGAGAAACAGTCTTCAGTTTCCTATAGGATCGTGCCACCCATTCATCCCCCTTCTCATTCATTCTTGCCTGTTTACTCCTCTCTATGAAAGAAAACCCCTGTTTGCCTAACTCTTGGGGATGCCTGCAGATCTTGGGGTCAGAGAAGCTCCCTGCTGCAATAATCGCTTTCCCCACTCTGCAATAATCCTTTTAAATAAAATCTTTCCTTACTAAGTCCAGATTTCTTTTTTATTTGACAATGACCACAGGCAAGTGATTTCACTGCAGTTTCCTCCATCTGTAAAGTAAGAAAAATATGTTGCAAAATTCTAAAATCAAAGACACGAAAGTGCTCTTTCAGCCACAAGAAAATAAAATATAGTTCTAGAGGGTGCTCAAGTCTTCAGCCTTCAATTTCCCTCTATAAATGTATTTCAGGGCCCACCATTGCCTGACCATTCTCTGTCCTCAGGCCCCAAACCCTCCCAGGCCCACAGGCCATCCCAGGCTCCCACCCAAGCCTCCTGGGCCACTTCAGCTTCAAACAGTCTCAATCCAGAAAGCCACCACTCCCTTCCCCAGGCACATCCACCCTTCATTCATCACTGTCACATCCCACAGAGGGCTTTTATTTAACAACCAATTTATTTCCAGTTTAACTAATCTGGGGATGGGGCATCTCTCTCTCTCACGCAAACCAACAACACCTGGGTTGTAAATAGACTTACAAACCAGTGTGTGCTGGATAATATAAACTCTCATCACAGCAACATCAGGAGAGAGGGGAGGGGAGGGAAGAGGGGTCATGAGACTGCAGGGTGATAAAATATGCAAGCCCCCAAGAAAAACAACCCCTGCAGCCCTCCCTTCTGCCCCTACGCTCAGCTCTGCTTAAAATTATTTATTTATTTATCTCTCTGATTCCCTGGCTCACCTTGAGCCCAAGACAAAAGCTTCATAAACAATGTATGACATGCTAACCCCTGGTTGGGTAGGAACCTGCAGGTGGTTGGGGAGGTGGCCATCATCTGGCCCCAGGCCAGGTTCCCCTCCCTCATCCTGCCTGGGGAAGAGTCTGGTTGCAAAGCCAGCTTGTGCTTGGGTGGAACAATGGCCCCCAGAAGGGAAATCTTGCTCTGTGAAAGGGAAAGCTAATCAGCAGTCTACAAGGCCCAGCCTACCCAAGGAGAACCTATGGATCCACTGGAGATAACAGAGACAGGAAGGGCTTTGTTTACATGGCTAGTAGGGCTCAAGGCACCAGTCAGGCTGGGTGGGCTGAAGTGTGTACCCAACAGGCCTGGAGTCTCCCTGAGTATCTTTGCTCCCCAGCCCTCCACCTTCCTCCAGATTCTCAAGCTGTACACATACCCAATAGTCTCCTCCAGGGCTGGGGCCCTATACAGAGGAATAGGGGAATAATCATTGGTTTAGGAAATTGAGTTTTAGACAGAAAGGAGCTTACTTACTGGCTGGGTGACCTTTTCAGGAAGTCCTCCTACCTCCCACTCAGCTCCCTTTCTTGCAAAGGAAGGTCTTGAACTAGGTGACTCTTGCAATCCCTTCCAGCTACAACCTCTTAGAAGTGAAGTCACAGAAAGGGCGACTTGGCTACTCAGAGAGATTTATCCTCTCCCTGGCTGTACACCGAGGCCTGCCAACACGACTTTAAATTACACCTCCTAAACTCTGCCTCACTTGGCACTTTCTCGGGCTACCTTAGAGGGTAGAGCAAGCTTATGTTAAACAAACACACTTGGTTATTAGAAACATATTTATAGTGGTTGCGTAGCTCTGGATGGAGGCAGAGCCATTCCCAGGCGGGGCTCCAGGGAGGATCATGCCTGCTGTGCGCTCTTCCCAGCCCCCAGGACCAGGACAGGAGCCCCCGCACCCAAATCAATCACACTGCTGTTTCTCCTCTCTGCGACTACCATAATTCCAGGCCTATATCATGCTCCTGGTGTCAGGGGGGAAACCAACTTTCAGGTCTGCTAATTCCACTTGGAAGGATGATGTATGTGGGAATGCTCTTTAGTTGGATATTCAACTCAATCCTAAACCAATTTCAAGAGGGAGTGTTTATGAGAGCCAAGGGCATCTCTTTTAGAGCTGGCTTCAGGATCCTTGTTTCTGTTAGAGATACGGGATGTAGGGGGAACCCTCCATCACAAGAGCAGGGAAAGGCCCCCAGAATAAGAGAGGAGGGAGACAGGGCCCGCCCAGCAGAGCCATAATTATCTGAGGAGGAAGCTGAGAAAAGAAAGGAGAAAGAAGGAATAATCCCTTCATGCTGCGCCTCCTCTCCCCACATCCCAGCGTTACATGGCTGGATTCCTCTAGTGGCCAGAAATATTTAATCGAATACTTTTGTTTGGATCTTGCATCCCTGGTAACCTGAAGATGTTACCATGGCAATCCCTGAGTAATACATCTCGATTATTTATGGCCTTGCAAATAGGGTGGGGAACCATTCCAGGCCCCATGGAAACAGCAGGGAGGTAGAAGCCTCATTTCCTTCGCTCACTGTTTCCAGGCAGCCCCAGAGGAAGGGGAGAAGGGAGCTGCCAGTTTGGTTGGGTAGAAATAGTTCAAAGCCTTTTAGCACGGAGAATCTCACCTCATCATTCCCCTTTTGTGTCCCTTAGAGTTTCCCTGTTCCCTACCCCTCCTATTCCGGGTCCCCACAGGTCACCCTCTATTCTCTAGGGCATAGGTCAGGGTTGGGTGGGTGGAGGGGTCAGGGCTATCTAAGGACTTGGGCCCCCAGTTCTCTGCTGAGCTGGTCTAAAATCCCATTCACACCACATGCTGCATCGATGACCTCAGGCACATGACTTGGCCTTCCAAAGGCTTTGTTTCTTCAAGTGCCAAATGAGGATAAGAACAGGTCTTATTTCACAGACTGATTACGAGCGTTAAATGAAATATGCATGTAAAGCTCTTTGTACAGCACCTGGCACATAGTAAGTGCTCAATTAATCAGAGTTGTTCCATAATAATTACATTATCAACCATCCTAACACATCCTTGTTTGTGGATGCAAGTCAGGATTGTTGAGGGAGGGGCAGGAAAACAGAACCGGGGCTGGACAAGGTGTGTACAAGAGTGAGGGGGTAGGTTTCCAGTTTCCTTCTCTTGTCCTGTGCTCCTGAGAACAGCATGAGCCTCTGTGGTGAAGTTAACCCTGGGTCCCTGCAGTCCCACTCTTCTCTGGCGTGCCACCACCCTGCACCTAAATGGCCAGATCTCCATCCCCACAAAGTCTGCCCTGATTAGCCCTGTACTGGGTTGAAAGTCTCCTAAAATTTATATCTACCTTGTGAATATGACCTTGCTCGGAAATAGGATGTTTACAGATACACATCAAGTTAAAATGAGGTCACACTGGGCTACGTAGACCCACTCCAATCCAATGACTGGTATCCTTGTAACAAGAGGGAAATCTGGACACAGACACACACTAGGAGAATGCTACCTGATGATGGAGGCAGAGATGGAGTGATCCTGCCACAGCCAAGGCAACAAGATGGCAGCAATCACCAGAAGCCGGGACAGGCATACCCCCAAGGGGAACCATCCCCACCGAAGCCCAGATCTCCGTTTTCTGCTCTCCAGAATGGTGAGTGAATAGATTTCTGTTTTAAGCCTCCCAGTTTATGGTAATTTGTTACAGCAGCCCCATGAAACGAACACGAGCCCTCAGACATTGATTGTTGGTAATGTGTGTCTCCTCAGGTCTCAGAAACAGCCTCTGCCTCACATCAACTGGCATGACCAGGTCCCAGCTTCCTCGCTGAACTCACTGGCTGTGTGCCTTTTAGTGAGTTGCTTACCTTCTTTGAGCCACATCTGTCAAATGGGAACATTGATGCCTGTTCAGTCTGCTTCATGGACTTGCAGACTTGCAGAGAAATTTGCATTTCATCCTGTCTATGTAATACCTTATCATCTTTACAGCAGACTACACATGTAGCCAATGGTGCTTATTTTCATTATGATGACACAGAAAAAGGACTTGTGCTTGTCATTTCCCTTGTGCCTGGAGATCTGGACCCCCACCCACAGTTAAGAGCAGGTGGAGGACTTCTCCCACCCAAACTGGGCCCCTGGCTCACAGCCTCTGGCCTCCCCTGTCCTGTTGGCATCCCTCATAGGGCCCTTCCACCCACACCCCTAGGCAACTGTTGCCCAGTGCATAGATGCTTGTGGTGGTCATTTACCTGGGAACACCAGGTGAGAACCATCTAATGAAACCCCTGGAATTCTGGCTAACTGGGGAGGCTCAGAGGATGAAAAGGGGAGGAACCCAGGGCCATAGCCTGAAAGGTCTGCATGAAGCCCATGGAGACCTCGGCCCAGCCACCAAGGTATTTCTGCTCTCCTGCCTCAATGATGCTGATGCTCACCTGGAGGCCCAGGGTGCCTCCTTCCTTCCTGCATGGCATGAGGCTCTCCTCCCTTCCTGCATGGCATGAGGCTCTCCTCCCCTCAGCTGTTGCTTCCTGTGGCTCAGCTTGACTTCTGTGCATCTGGGAGGCCGCCTGTCTTCACTGCCTGAGCTGGCCTGTCCACTGTCCTAGCCACAGTCCTGCCTGGACCATCCTCCCGGCTTCTTCAAGCTCATATGGTTCTCTCCAAGGTGCAGGAGGACTCTTTCCCACCAGGGGCACGTTCTGTTGTGGAGCCACCAGAAGGCACACCCCACCCACAGAGAGACTCCTGTCATTTTCCACAACCACTTCTGGCTCAGAATATGATACTAGCTCCCTGTGGCGGATGGGAAAGAATGGAAGAAGGGTGATCATGTGCATTGGCAAGCTACAAGATTGACCCCTAACAAGGGACCCCTCCCTGCCAGCCCTAAGCAGTGCCCCATGTTGGTGCTGCCTGGAACCCTGATCCTCAAGCAGGGCTCATCTTTCAGACACAATGCTACTGCAGGGTCTCAGTCAGTCACACTGTTCCTCCCACAAAGCCTCAATGCCTCCAGCCTCGGCTCCTTCCCACCTTGGGGTCCCCTACCTTGCACAATCCGCCATCCATTCTCCCCACCTGACTTCTCCTACACTAAGGTCTCAGCTCCAGGCAATCTTCCCTAGACCACCTACAGGCTATAGTCCTCCAGCCTGCATGCCCCCAGAATCTGCACCTCTCTAGAAAGCTTCATTGCACTTAACTATAACTGCTTAATGCAGCTTCCTCCTAGACTGTGAGCTCCATGAGAACAGAGGCCTTGTCTCCCTTGTTTGCACTAAATCCCAGTACCTAACAATGCCTGGCACATCCTAGGTGTTAAACAAATATATTTTGAGTGAATGAATGACACTTAATGGCTCACTGTGCTAGACTCATGGTATGAGAAACAACTCAGACTATATCTAGTCAGGATGTAAGGAACAACCCTCCTCTCTTACTTATGTTCATGTCTCTGTACATCTAGGATGAGGTGAGATTAGAAAGCTCGATATTCTAGACTAAGACTGAACTACACTATTAGAAGAGAGAATGATGTCCATGGCTGTGTGTGTGTGTGTGTGTGTGTGTGTGTGTGTGTTTGCATAAGGGCATGCGTGCATGTGTGTGTGTATGTGCCTGTGTGCATGGGAGGAGGGCTGGGGGGTAGTATCGCACTATCTACTCTGCTTCTGGCAGTGGTGGTGGTTTGGGGGAAGGGGTATTAAGCAGCCATCTCTTTGAGGAGTAATAGTAGCTGGGCAGGTCACAGGGACGCAGAGGCCTGAGCAGAGCAGATAACGAGGGTCCAGTTGATCTAGACCAGTGGTCCCAATCTTCAGTCCTCAGACCCCTACAGGTTCCCACAAGTAGTAATGTGGCCTTGCGAGCTATTTTAATATTTCTGTATGCCTAGCAGAAATGACACATTTACCAAAGATAAGGCTGCACAGACTACTAACTGAGACATCATTTCCCTGCTTTTGGCTGGAATTATATCAACTCAGTGTGATAACACCACTAATCTCACTCTGATCTGAACCCCTGATTGGCAGTCATACATGGCTTTGATTAATAAAAAATGGGAAAACAAATTATTTCCTGATAAATGCAGTTTGTTTGGCAGACAAAATCTTTAAAAATATAGGGCACATGGTACAGAGAGAGATTACGTGTCTGCTAAGACCACAGGCTCTGGCACCAAATCTCAAATCCTGGCTCAACCACCTACTCACAATAAGTGACACAAGTCTCTTAACTCTCTAAGCCTCAGTTTCTTCATCTACAAAATGGAGTCATAATAATATCCATCTCATGGGGTCACTGTGAGATTAAATGACTTAAGATAGAGAAACCACCTAGCTCATTGTCTGGTACATAGGATGCATGCATTACATATCTGCTCTTACCATCCTAATCACTATCACCACTCTTATCATTAGTTGGGGGTGAAAAAGTTGAGAACCACTACACTAGATCATTCTGGAAGTTCAAGTCATCACTGCGTTTTTATTTTTTTAAGACAGAGTCTTGCTTCATCACCCACACTTGAGTGCAGTGGCGCAATCTCAACTCACTGCAACCTCTGCCTCTGGGGTTCAAGCAATTCTCCTGCCTCAGCCTTCCGAGTAGCTGGGATTACAGGCGTGCACCACCATGCCTGGCTAATTGTTGTATTTTTAGTAGAGACGGCGTTTCATCATTTTAGCCAGGCTGGTCTCAAATTCCTGACCTCAAGTGATCCGTCCACCTTGACTTTTTTTATTTATTTATTTTTTTTTTTTTTTGAGACAGGATTTTGCTCCGCAGCCCAGGCTGGAGTGCAGAGGCATGATCATAGCTCACTGCAGCCTCGATCTCCTGGGCTCAAGCAATCCTCCTGTCTCCGCCTCCCAAGTACCTGGAACTACAGGTGCACACCATCATAGATGACTGCTTTTTTCTGTTTTTAGTAGAGATGAGGTCTATGTTGCCCAGGATGGTCTCAAACACCTGAGTTCAAGTGATCCTCCCACCTCGGTCTCCCAAAGTACTGGGATTATGGGTGCGAGCCACAGCGCCTGACCTGTCATCACTGCTCTTGCAGTTACATGAGAACTAGAGGTAGCGGACCCTCAGCCCACAGGTGGGATCTCACTCGGGGTGTAGGAAGTCTCTGAGAGCCTGAAAGATTTGAAAAGAAAAGAGGATGAGCACTTAGCTGACTTGCTCCCCAGTGATAAGAAAGGAGATTGTGTCTGCCAAGTAAAGCCAGAAATTAAGGATGAATTCCAAGCCAGGAGACTGGATGTTAGATTTAGTGTGTTCATTTTTTATTGCTGCATAACAAATTGCCACACATTTAGAGGCTTAAAACAACACCCATTTTTAATCTCACAGTTCATGAGTCAGAGCTGGGGCATGTTCCAGTGAATTCTCTGCTTAGGGTCTCAGAGGGTGAAATCCAGGTGTCAGCCAGGCTGAGCCCTTCCCTGGAGGCCCTGGGGAAGAGTCCCCCTCCAGGGTCATTCAGAACTCAGCTCCTGTGCTTGTAGGACTGAGATCTCAATTCCCTTGCTGCTGTCAGTGGAGGCTGCCCTCACCCCATGTCAAGGGGTTCCCTCCATCTGCGGGCCAGCAAGGGCTCATCAGTTCTGCTCATGCCTCTCTCTCACGTCCCCTCCAGCCACCAGCAGGAGAAAACTCCGCTTTGATTCAGCTCATGTAATTAGATGAGGCCCATCCCAATGATTTTTCTGTCTTAAGGTCATCTGTGCCATAACATATTCATAAGTGAAATCACATTCATGGGTTCCATCCCTACTCAAAGGCAAAAGGATTTTACCAGGGTGAGTGTTGTTGGGGGGAGGGTTGTTGCCATCTATAATGAAATAATTACACAACTCACCATGAAGTAGAATCAGTGGGAGTCCTGAGCTTGTTTTCCTGCAACTAGACGGTCCCATCTCAGGGTGATGGGAGACAGTGACAGATCATCAGGCATTAGATTCTCATAAGGAGCTCGCAACCTAGATCCCTGGCATGCGCAGTTCACAATAGGGTTTGTGCTCCTACGATGATCTAATGCCTCTGATGCCACAGCTGATCTGACAGAAGGCGGGGCTCAGGCAGTAACATGACTAATAAGGAGTGGCTGTCAATACAGATGAAGCTTTCTCTTATTCTCTTGCTCACCCGCCACTCCCCTCCTGGTGTGCTCAGCTCCTGCTGTGCAGCCCGGGTTTCTTACAGGCCACTATTGGTTGGTCTGTGGCCCAGGGGTTGGGGAGCCCTGACCTATGGATTTGTTCAGATGCAGGCTTTTGGGTCTCACCCACAGAGAAGTGATTGGAGCTCTGAGCTCAGGCTCTGTGTTATTAGCAAGCCCATAGGGAATTCTGTGTGTGGCCAGCTCAGGAGTCCTGGCCCTTCCAGATCTAACTTCGATCTTTCTAAAAACCCCTGAGCCACAGGTGAGCCTGACCACTCCCAGCCCTTTATCAATGAGGCCCAGCTGGATACAAACACCTCTTGAGGGAGAGGCGGAGGGCATTCTGCCACCAGGCTCTCTGGAGCATTTTAAGTCATTTCCAATGTCTGTTCTGTCTCAGCAACAAGATTGCCTGAGTGTAATGGCATCCTCCTTGTTCTCTGGGATAAAGGAAAGTGGTCTTACTGTCATGCACTCTTGTTGGGAAGGGGAAGGGGGCCATACCACCGAGCCACCCACCGGGACCTGGCCCGTTTCCATCCCTGGGGTTTGCTAGGAAGTCGCTTCCAGCCAAATCGCTCTGAGGACTCAGATTGTCTCGTTTGCCTGGTTGTTATGGAGAGATTCGACACACAGGCAATCAAACCCCTTAGCTCACCTGCGAGAGGAAGAGAGTGAGCGACAAGTGTAATAGTGGGGAGAGAACAGATATTCCCTGTCACTCCGCTTGCATTATCCCCCATAATGAGCTCTGCCCGACAGCTGCTCTCAGGGCTCAGACTGTTGCAGGGAGCCCAGAGGAGGCTGCTTGGGGTTTCAGTCCTCTACCCACTGCAAGTCTGAGGCTGCACCGGTGTCTCCTCCCCCAATCACCAGCTTGATGAACAGGCAGGAAACAAAACCACCCACAAGGTAGGAGGCCAACCTCGCTGTGGAAATGGACAGAGCCACAGAGCCTTGTGTCTCACACCTGCTGGTCTCACACATGTAGAAACTGGGGCACCCTGGTCCGTCAGCCAGGAGCTGTAAAGGATTGGCTCCTGCATGTGAGACACGTGTGTGTGTGCACGTATACATGTGCACATGAGAGAGAGAGTCTATAGAACTTTGATCTCCATGAGCTTGTGGTCAGATAAAAGCCTGCTAATCATATGATGCCTGATGAACAACACACTGTATTTTAGGAAGTGTGCCTTAAAGTGCCAAATTGTCAGGGAGGACTAAGACCTCAGTGGAGGCTTCAGGGAGGAGAGGAGTTACACTGGACTTTGGAGGAGAGATAGGACTTGGCCAGCAGGTGTTAGGTGATATCAGGAGGTGCAGAAGAGCATCTGAACAGTTGGTACCTGCTCCAGTTGTCAGGAGGGCCAGCAGGAGTCAACCATATCATCTCTTTTAACTGACTTCTGCTCCATTTAGAAGAGGCAAGACAAGAGGAGCAGTCAGATGGGGAACAAGGTTTCTAAATTCTTGGAGACTTTCTACAAGCTTTGGGGTAGAGTCAGGAGCTGTGGGTTCCAGTCCCAGCTGTGTGGCCTTGAGCAAGCCCCTTAACCTCATCTGCAGCAGCTCCTGGTACACAGAGGGGTCTCAGCCAGAGCCATTTTGTATGGCTCTGGGCATAAGGCTTCTCTTTGAACTCAGGAGACAGCAGTTGCAACAGTGCAGTTCAGGCCTGTCTACAGTCTTGTCTTCCATGGCACTGGCTTCTAGCCCAGCCAGGGATGAGGAATGGGGGTGGAGGGAGCTTCCCTCTCACATTAATACAATGTTGATTCTCCCAGCAGCTCCTACAGTGCTTTGGAGTTCCCTGGAAGAGAAGATCTCTCCCCAGCTCCCACACAAGGATTTCCCCAGCAGACCTCCATAGGAGCCCCACAGTTTGCAAAATAAAACAAAACTATCAATTCTTTAATTGTTTGCTTTTTTCTCCCTGGGGCATAATGAACCCATTCTCAGTTAACACATACTGCCTGCTCTCCTTCTCTCTGTCTCTCTCCCTCTCTCTCTGTTGCTGCAAGCAGCTATAGTCTCAGGCGTCTAAGGGAAAGCTCTAGAGAGCCCAAGGCCTGGGAAGGGTCCTGGAGGCGCAGGGGAAGGCTGACCCCTCCTGGCAACAGCTGGACATCTGCCACCGTGAGGTACCCATTGGCTCTTCTCCCTCCCACAGCCAATGGGTGGGCTCCTTGGACAAGGCTGGACCCAGTGAGGCCCAGTCCATGAGGACCAGGCCTGCCCAGCTAGACCAGCTGCAGGATGCAGGCGGGGAGGGAGATGGGGAGAGACAACCTGGGGAAAACAAGAAGCAGGGGCTTGGAAGAAATCTCAGTGGTTGCTGAACATTAAATGAGTTAGTGTTCAAATGAGATGCAAATGACATGCAAATGAGCCTCTTGGACTTTTGAAAAGGGGCACCCAGCGTTTTGACTAAGAGAATAGCAGTTAATCTCAGCTGCCAGGGACATCAGAGTGACCTCTCCTCAGAGACACTCCGCTGCATTGAGGAGCTGCCCAAGCTACTCAAAACCAGGTCCCTGACCCACTAGGGCCACATGGGCACCTGGCACCACCGGCCCCCAGAGACTCCTCTTTCCTTGTTCTACACAAGCCAGTTGGGTAAGGGGCAAAGGCGCACCGAGACTGGTAATTCACAGCACCATAGAAGTCTAGTGAAGGGGGGACCCTGGTATCATCGTCTTTCCCATTTCACCGTAGAGGATCTGGCCAAGGACACACAGCAGTTTTGTGCCAGAACCAGGCCTAGACCTCAGGGATCTGAGACTCACCCACTGCCCTCTCTCCAGCTCAATGTCTGCCCCTGATCTCCCTTGCTGTCCTTTAGTGAAGGCAGAATTTCCCTCTGAGGCCACCCAGGAGGTGGGTCCTCACGGGGCGGCTCAACCTGCAGGCTCCTCACAGTCCCCGAAATTCCTCAGGTCTGTGTGGCATCCCACCAATAAGGTCCCCTTTCCCCTACCTGTTCCTCAGACATTCCTAGATCAGGATCTTCACCCGCTGGGACCCCGGGAGTCCCTAGCTGGGGCCTGGGAATATCAGAAGGGAGGAAGCGACAAAATGGGAGGGAAGAGTGTCACTCATCAAAGGGAATTGGCCCTTCCCAGAGCTTCCACAGGCTTGAGATGCCAGAAAGGACTTCCAGAGGGCAAAGGGGAGTCGGCTGAGCCTCCTTAAAAGCTGGCAGCTGGGGAGGAGGAGAGGCAGGTAGGGAGGGCAAGGCACAGTTAGGTGGAAACATGGACTACCTTCTGTAGCTACTCCTCGAGAGATACCAACCACAAAGCACTAGGCTCTCAGAGGAAGAGTTAGCTTCCACCCGTGTCTCCCAGCCCCTGGCAGGCACTGGAGCCCACTTTTCCCCTTCCTGCTCTCAGCACTCCTGGCTCTGCCCTTCCCTGCTGTCAGCCCCAACCCCAAGACCAAGGTCCCCCAGCTGGGCACAGCAGGGAGACGGGGCAGGGGATACATTAGGCATGGAGTCCTGATGCTCACGTACTCGGACACACTCTCTGACAGGGACCCCTTGAGTTCAAAGCTGGGCCCCCCAGTTTACTTAATAAAATCATGATAAATGAATACATGAATTGATTGGCTCATTAATTCCTTCATTATTGTTGGAGACCTCACAGCCAGTGAATTCTTCCCCCTCCCCAGGCCTGTAATCATCTCCCCACAGAGCCACTCAGGTGGTCCAGAAGCCACCTGGATAGAGAGGGTGCAGGGGCTCCCCTGATGGGCACATTTTCCCAGCTCTGCAGAGCCTGCCTATCCAGGAGCCCCAATCCTGGCCTCTGCTCCCTGCAGGCTCTGAGAACTTGGGCAGCAAATGCCACCTTCTTGATCATCCAGACATCTGATTCTCTAGCATGGTGTTTCACATATTATTTTTGTTCCTCCCCATGGGGACGGACACAGGAGGTTGCACAGAGTACGTGCAGAAAACCACCAAACTCCAGTCCTCTTATCTTCACATTCAGAGAGAGATTCCGGACCCCAGAGTACAGAAGTGAATTGCCCAAGGTCACAGGGCTGGCCAGTAGCCAGGTCTTCTGACTAAGCCACCTGCCTTCCATCAGCAGGAAGTGCTCATCCCATCCCAAGGAGGGCCAGCCTGAGGGGAGAAGGTGGAGGGTTTGGGGAAATAGAGACTACCGCTGGAATTTTCTTTGTGTTCCTACCCACCAGGCTTCATTTGGGATCTGCTCTTCCCCCAGCAGACTTTCATAGTGCTGGCAACACAGCAACCTCTATGTGGGCAGTCACTGGCCTAGGGTCTTCATACAATTTATCCTCCAAACTGGGGCTCTTTCAAGAGTGAAGGAGGCACTGTTAATTATTCGACAGGGTAACGGTGCACACTTTGGACTGTCCCAGGCAAACAGAGACATTGGTCAGCCTGGCTATAGCTATTCCACGCGGCCCTCCCCTCTTTCAGTAAGAGTCCCCCTTAATCATCTAATGGTGACCCCAGAGATGTCCTGTGTACTGATGTGGAGACCAGCCACTTAGGTGAGACCTGGGCTTAGCAAAATATAACATATACATTGGATAGGGGGAAAATGAAGTGTTAAATAGCTGTTCACAACACAATTTGCATTTTCTTTTTTTTTTTTTTTTTTTTTGAGACGGAGTCTCGCTCTGTCACCCAGGCTGGAGTGCAGTGGCGCAATCTTGGCTCACTGCAAGCTCTGCCTCCCGGGTTCATGCCATTCTCCTGCCTCAGCCTCCCAAGTAGCTGGGACTACAAGTGCCCGCCACCACTCCCGGCTAATTTTTTTGTATTTTGTATTTTGTATTTTTTTGTAACACGGAGACTGGGTTTCTCCGTGTTAGCCAGGATGATCTCGATCTCCTGACCTCGTGATCCACCCGCCTCGGCCTCCCAAACTGCTGGGATTACAGACATGAGCCACAGCGCCCGGCCTCAATTTGCATTTTCTATTCATTGATTTCATAAATATTTTCAAGTCTACAGTGTGCCTAGCATAATGCTGGGTATTGGAGAAACACTGGCAAATGACATAGACACCGACCCTGTCCTCATGGAATTCATAGACCACTAGAAAAATTGAACACCACTTAAAAATCAAATCATGTTCTCCACAAGGAAACACGAGTGATGGAACACTCAGAAAACACAGGGGTTGGGCCTTGTCAAAGGAAATCTTTATTGGTTCCATCTTCAAATCAAATCAATTCTATATGGAAGATGATCACCTAGTTGCTCAGGCTAAAGTACAGTGGTGTGATCACAGCTCACTGCAGCCTTGGCCTCCTGGGCTCAAGTGATCCTCCCACCTCAGCTTCCCAAGTAGCTGGGACCACAGGCACATGCCACCATGCCAGGCTAATTTTTTATTTTTCTAGAGAGGCGGGTCTTGCTATGTTGCCCAAGCTGATTTCAAACTCCTGGGCTCAAGTGATCCTCCCACCTCAGCCTCCCAAAGTGCTGGGATTACAGGTGTGAGCTACCACGCCTGGTCGTTATGTGACTTTGAGCAATTTATTCAACCTCTCTGAGCCTCAACTCCCTTACTCGTAAAAAAGGAAAATGATATTATTTACTTCATAAGCCTAATCTGAAAATGAAACAATAAACCTGTAAACTGCTTTGCACAGTGCCTGAATCAAGGTAGGTACTCAACAGAAATCAGTTCTCTTTTCTTCTATTTCCAAACTGGTTTTTATATCTTTTTGCCGTTACTCCTGCTCTTCTGCCAGCAAGATACTCTCTCCTTTTCATTGCCTACCCAGGCAACTCCTATTCATCCTTGAATGCCCAGCATAACATAGCAAAAGCCAGCACAGAGTAGCAGTTAAGAATACAAGCTTTTGGTCCAGTGTTCCTGGGTCTGAATTCTGATTCTGCCAATTGCTGTGTGATCTTAGGTAAATGACTTAACCTCTCTGTACCTCAATTTCCTCTCGTTTCATTCAATTGTCATGAGGATAAAATGAGTTAATAAGCATGCATTTGGACCAGTAGCTACTTCACAGTGGGTGCTATGTGAATTTTTGAAAAAAATAAGGCCAGGCATGGTGGCTCACACACCTGTAATCTCAGCACTTTGGGAGGCTGAGGCAGGCAGATCCCTTGAGCTCAGGAGTTTGAGACCAGCCTGGGCAACATGATGAAACCCTGTCTCTATAAAAAATACAAAAAGTAGCCAGGCATTGCGGTACACACCTGTAGTCCCAGCTACTCGGGAGGCTGAGGTGGGAGAATCACTTGAGCCTGGGAGGCGGAGGTTGCAGTGAGCCAAGATCATGCCACTGTACTCCAGTCTGGGTGACAGAGTGAGACTCTGTCTCAAAAAAATAAAATAAATAAAAAATAAAAATAAAATGGCCAGCTCAGAAATCATCTCCTCCAGCTTTAAAAATCTGAAATGTTCCTGAATTAAGCTGAGCTTACAGTGCTGTAAATGGTCTTTGGTGGTGTTGGCATTACAAGGAAGAATGACAGCAGAGTGATATGAACTAAGTGGAGGGATCAGGGCATGGCCTCTGAAGGAGAAAGATCTCACCTTGAGCTAATGTGAGGGCCCAGGGATCTAGAATCCTATCTAAACCCCAGGCCTAACTATCCCTCAATTCTACAATGTCATAGCTTGGGAGCCTAAAAGCTGGACAGAGTCGTCTCCTCTGAAATGGCCTAGCCCCTGTCCTTTCAGAGAGAGCTTCTCAAGGTCATTGCAAAACCAGGCTCTCAAGGCCCCTCCCTACAGCCTCGGCTTTCCTCTCTAGGAGCAAAGTCCCACCAAGACCTGAACTCTAGCTGCAAGAATTCAAGACGTGTTCAATTCACTTCCAGGTTCTCCTCCCACCCACCACCAGCCCTCTATCCCCCAGAGCTAGGCAGCAGCTGCTGTTAGGAGATCCTATCCAGCCCTGGCTTGACATTTCAACAGCCCGAGACCCAGAGATAAAAGTTGTCACTGAACAAAGTTCATCCCCCTCTCCCGCTCCCTTCCTGGAGCCTCGATAGGCATCAGAATGGGCACTGAGATGGTCTCTCTTGCTTTCTACTGCTGCTGCCGCTGCTGCAATTCCTGCTTTTTATTTAGAGGGGTGGGGGGAGATTTCACAACTGATGATTACGAAGAAGCGGTTTATCACCTGTGCTTTTATGATTGTAGCGACTAAGGGGAAAAAGATGTCTTTTCAGATAAGCATTTGAAGGACGGGGAGAAAGATTTTCAAAGCTCCCTTTGTTCTCCTGGAGGGCCACGCCATTGAGTTCTGGCAGGCAGCCCGGGAGAAAGGAGGATTTTAAAAACACAATCTGAGCTGGCTTCCAAACCCCTGCTCACCATCCCTGTCATCAATTAGGGATGTTACTTAACAAGGGGTTTGGGCCATTGTCTCATCCAGCCTGCTTTCCCTAATTGGATGCAGAGTGGTGATGAATTATTTGGAAAAGGGCTCCACACTGCAGAGGTCATTGCTTTGGCCCCCTGACACTCAAGGCCAGCTCAGGCTGGGCTGGTGTGGGCCTCTGGGGCATGTTGCTGGCAGGGAGATAAGAGAAGGACCTTTCTGAGGCCCCTCAGTGCAGGCGGAGAGCACAGACCCAGAACCCAGAGAAGGGCAGGCTGCCAGTCCATGCGGGGAACTGAAGGTGAGTGGCCAGGGAGAAGATGGGGGCCGCTCCTGTGGCCTCTGCCACCCCCAGCCCCCACTCCAGTTTCTGAAGATGGAGCTCGGTGAGCACAGAGAGCTTTAAGGCCTCAGTCCACAAAGGGACGGGTCTGAATTCGTTAGGTCAAACTGCCATAGACTCATAAATATTGTGCCCAGAATCCCCCAGACCCTGAGTTACGGACTGAGTCCACCAAAGGTTAAGAAATGGCCATCATCCTCAGCAAAGGAAAATGCATCCTCCACAGCTTCCAATGGAGAGAACTCTAGGTGAAAGAGAAGCTGGATCCCATGGCACACTGGGTTGCCCTTACCTTTGGAAATGACTGAGGCCCAGAGTTCAGGATGCTCCCCCACTTTACCCTGCTGTCCCAAGTGTGGGACCATTTTCTTTCTTCCTCACAGTGTAACTGAGATCAAACTGCAATGTTTCAATAAAACCTTACTAAATGCCCAGAAGAAACAAAAGAGAAAACAGAGTAATACAAAATCAGATCATCATCAGGTTTAAGACCTACAGTTGGCTCACGTTCAACTTGGAGCCCTCATAAGTTGCCTCCCCACCAGGGTGGATCCCCAGCTTGCCTCCCTTGCCAGAGGCAAGCTTTCCCCAGCTCATCCAGGATGCTGGAAGTTCATATCCAAGCAAGAGAGATGGAGTTACCCTCCAACCTACCTAAGACCTGCCTTCTAACTCCTGAGTTCTGTCTAGAACCTACCTCTTGGCTGTATAATTAAGGTAGGGAGGCCGGGCGCAGTGGCTCACGTCTGCAATCCAGCACTTTGGAAGGCTGAGGCGGGCAGATCACTTGAGGTCGGGCGTTCGAGACCAGCCTGGCCAACATGGTGAAACCCCATCTTTACTAAAAATACAAAAATTAGCCAGGCGTGGTGGTGTGTACCTGTAATCCCAGCTACTTGGAAGGCTGAGGCAGGAGAATCTCTTGAACCCGGGAGGCGGAGGTTGCAATGAGCCGAGATGGCACCACTGCTCTCCAGCCTAGGTGATAGAGCAAGAATCTGTCTCAAACAAACAAACAAACAAAAAACTGGTCTGGCACGGTGGCTCACGCCTGTAATCCCAGCACTTTGGGAGGCCGAGGCGGGTGGATCACCTGAGGTCAGGAGTTCGAGACTAGCCTGGACAACATGGTGAAACCCCATTTAACTAAAAATACAAAAATTAGCCAGACATGGTGGCAGGCACCTGTAATCCCAGCTACACAGGGGGCCAAGGCAGGAGAATCACTTGAACCCAGGAGGCGGAGGTTGCAGTGAGCTGAGATGGCGCCATCGCACTCCAGCCTGGGGGACAACAGCGAGACTTCATCTCAAAAAATAAAAATAAAAAAAATTCAGGTAGGGAGTATCTACCAGATATCCTTCAGAAGGAATCATATGACCATGCAGAGCTTCAAATCATGAGAATGTCGGAATGCAACCCCACAGACTCACACGTGTGCAAGAAATACACACGTTCAAATGCAACGAACTATTTTTCTGGTTCAAATGGGCCAAGCTCAGTTGAAGACTTGGTCCCCAGGCTAGGTTTCTTGCCTACCCCTCCAGTTCCCTTTGGTAATAGGGCCCTGCCCTGCTTGTCTGGAGCCCTAGTGTACCCCTGCCTAGCCCTTGCCAACTCCTGCTGATAGTGTCCAATAGTTTCGGTGCTCTTCCCTGGAACTCCTATCTCCTGGCAGCATCCCTAGATGGACCAACTTTACCCACAATGTGAATACCTACCTGACTTCCTGCGCTAATTCCTGACCCCCCGCCCCCGCCACTGCTGTGCCATGCCCAGCTCACTGTAGCTACTGACACCAACATGAATAAAGCCGACATCATCCCAGGTCTTTTTGAAACCTATAAATGAGGTATCTCACAGCCCTCACCAGGAGCCAGCCATGTGGCTGAGTCAGGTAATCATGAAATAGTCAGATGAGGAGCTCTTCATTCTCCAGAATTATCCTGAAGACAAACATCCTAAGAGTTGTTATGAAAGATTAGTCCCACAAGAATTCTAGAAGTGAATAGAACTATTCTATATAAGGCAAGGGCTAGCAACAGCTTGGTACTCTGAAGAGGGCAGAAAAGAGAGAAAAGAGAGAGAGAAAGAGCTGGCCAGATGGCCAGAGGTTGGGTTTCAATAACTGAATGGAACCATCTCTTTGATTCCTGCCACGCCTAAATCTTCAGTAAGTCTACAAAACCTGCAAAGGCCAGACATGATCAGATGGCATGGAGACCAGTGAAAGAGAAGATAGAGACAGGCCTGGGAGTGGGGCATCAGAAGCATGAAAGATAAGTGAAGGAGCTCAAAAAAAATCACAGCGGAGGTCCATGTCTCCAAACATCAAAGAATTGAGGTTTGATAGATCTTTGAAGGCAGAGGTCTCAGTTCATATCTTCAATTACAATCACTATGGCCACCGTCTTATGGAGCATCTCCTGTGTGGCAAACTATATTGTTTGTTTATTTAATGCTCATAATAACCCTGTGATCATTATCAATCTTAGTAATGCAGTCACTGAGGTTCAGAGTGATTAAGTAACTGCCTCCAAGATCACACAACACACAGCTGTTACATGGCAGATCTAGGTTCGAAGCCCTGGCCAGGTGAATCCAAAATTCATGCTCTTTCTACTGTGAGACGTTGGGCTTCAGATATCTCTGGGTTTCAGATATCCTCTTCTTGGTTTCTTCCCATTTTCCCTTAATCTGCTCCTGACAGCCCAAGGTGGGTCTATACTGAGGTGACCTGAATTAGGCCACAATTAGTCACTCAACAAACATTTCTTAAAATTATATTTGCCAGGAATTGTGCAAGAGATCATATTGCAATGCAAGTGTGATACAAACAAGACCAAGTCCTGGGTGCCAGGACAGACAAACATATATGCACAAGAAGGAGCCCAGGTTCTGCCTTGGAACAGGTAGCAGAGAATAGGGCATTGGATGTGCAGGGAGGTTTTTCAACCAAGATGGAGCACACACAGCTCCTGTTGCCAAACAGCTGGTCCTAGAGCACTGCCCCCATCCCACCCTACCCACCTTCTCCAGGCTCACTTTACCCCTTTGCCAATCAGGAAAGAACAGAAACTGTAGAGAGTGCAGACTCCCTGACACGTTCAGCCTTACCTAGAGGGAAAGAAAAATCCAACTGACATATTCTGAGTATCTCCTATGTGCCAGGCACCCCTTCACAACTCCATTTTGCTGAAGGAGTAACAGATTGGTTAGGGAGCTTGACCTCAGTCATTCTGCTGGGAAATGCAGAGCTGGGTTTTAAATCCAGCCCCACCCACTCCAAATCCCTTGAGAGGATGATCTTTGCCCCCATGCTGCCTCCCCTCTGCCAGCCAGAACCTGCTGGACGTGCACATGAATGACTGATTGAACTGCAGGCACAGCAGGTAGTGCATGCTGAAGGGACAGTGCCAACCCTGCTGCTGCCAGGACCCTCCCCAAGCAAAGGATGTGAGAGAATGAAATATCTGAAGGTTTGGGGTCCATGCTTGTCCACTCTCTTCAGCCTCCTCTGCACCCGAAGACCCACCTCCCAGGCCACATCGATTCCCTCGATCTCCACTTCCCAGCCAAGAAGTCTGAGCACCAGCCTCAGGAAAATGTCAGCCAGACCTGGCCAAGCATATGCCTGTGTCATTGGCACCCACAGGGAGTGCCAACAGTGAGGAGGTGGAAGAACCCAGTGCCAGGGGCGGGGCAGATGGCGTCTCATCAGCCCCATCACTGCTCTGAGAACTCTCAAACCTTCTCTTGGCTTCCTCTCTGAGACAAGGGCTGCCCATGAGTCTTCATCCCCCATGCCCATGGCAACCCACCCGGCCCGCAACAGCATGCCAACCCATGAGCTGGCAGCGACACTGTCACGGCTCAACTCCCTCTACCACCTGCCTGTTGTCGCTCTTCATTGAGCGTCATTGGCCCTCCACAGGGCTGTGCTCCCAGGCTCCGGGCTTCCAATCTGCTCTCCAGGAGGCTGACAGAGGACGGGTGGGCTGGGGGAGGCCTCCCTGCCTCGCTCCCACCAGCTCCTCGCCTAGGGCCTGGATGTTGGAACAAGTGCTAGGAACCCAGAGGGTAATTGCTGCCATCTAATTATGCATGCATATGATATTAGCCAAAAGCATTTGACTATCTCCTGCGGTCTCAGGCAGATCAAATGGAGAGGCCGCGAGGGTTGGAGGATTACTCCAGCAAGATAATGGCTGACAAGACTGCCTGCTGCCACTCAGGCAGCCTCTGGCAGGCTGTCTTCCCCCATCAGAACCCTCATTCCTCACCTGAGGGAAGACGATGAGGTGGGAGCTCAGTCCCTCTGGGGGCCAGCAGGAGCTGGAGTCCTCCAAGTCTCAGAGCTCTTGGCCTTTTCCTAACCCAGTCCTACCAGTCCCAATAGTGAAGACTTTGAGCTTCTCCAAGATGGAAGCAAAGGGTTTGTTGTTTCCAAAAATAGAATTATATGCTCATAGAGAATGGGCATATAATGTTCATGTCTTAGTGATCATTAAGAAACCCCATGTTCTTCTGAGACTACCATCTCTATCTCACTAGTTGATAAGCCTTCATCTAGAATGAAACTTCTACCCATGTGGCACCCATTTGCAATTAATTGGGAATACCCATTATTGCCTTCTCCTGGCCCAGTTTCCTGAAAGATACTTTGTTTGCTATTTTTTTTTCTGGAACTTAAGATACTTAGCACAGTGCTTCGCGCACCTTAGGAGCTCAAGAAATGTTTATTGAGTTCATTTTCACAATTTTAGTCAGCTATTTTCTAGTTATCTACTAGAAGGCACCATAGCAGGCACCATGCTAGATTCTAGGGACATAAACACAAACAAATCTCAGTTCCTGCCCTAGAGAAATAACCCACCTGACCCACTAACATTTCATTTTGGATAACTGGAGGGAAAGGAAGAAAAATCTCAAGACAGAAAAGGACAAGTGGCAGCTAAAGTAGAGAGTGGAGTGAGTCATTGTAACAGGAGGTCTTCAGGTGAAATAGCAGCAAGGACTTCTTGAGGATTTTAATATTTGCACTGTCAATAAGTATTCATTGTTCCCAACATGTATAAGCCAGGTAATTCACAGATAAATGAGAGGGTCTTCCTAAAATCATCACTTAAGATGCAAGAGAATGGTGCAGAGGAAGCCCTGTCAACTGCAGCATTCAGAGTGCCTCATGGGCTCTCAGGGTTTGGCAGAGCAGAGCAAGTCTCTGAGAGCTGGGTGGGGATGGTAGGAAGGGGCTGAGAGCTGGCATTTGCTGCTCCAGCAGTGGGCTAGGTGCTATGGAAGCTGACCTAGCTGAAGGCAATGACAGCGGAGGCTTAGTCTGGTGAACAAGCAGGTACCAGCGGGTACCAGTGGTATATAGCTGTCTCCAGTCTTAGTCCAGGTGACAGTTCCAAGAAGATGGAGAGGAAGTGGTCCTTGGGAGGCTCATGTTGAAGGACTGGGATGCATCCCTAGAATGGGGATTGGTGGAAGCAAGGGCCAAGGCTCTAAGCCCCCTTCCAGAACAGGAATTGAAGCACATAACCGAAGTCATCAGCACAGGCACATGCCATCAAGGGGGAATCAGCAAAGAGGACGCAGTGGCTCTCCTCGGGGTCCCTTGAAGGAGCACACCTCACTCATTGATTCGCTCTGGCTCTGCATGCAGGATGTGGCTCCCCATCCCACAAGGGGCAAGCAGTGGCCATGAGCAGGGCCAGTGGGAGGCTGAGCCCAGGAAGGGGCATCAGGGAGCAGGTGGAACTTGAGTTGAACTCTAAAGGCTGCAGTGGGAGGGGAGCATTGTTGGCAGGGGCATGAAATGAGAAAAGATACAGAGGCAGAATGTTCTATGGCATGTCTCTGGTCTGGTCAGAAAATATATTCTGCTGGAGTATGATATTCAGATTAAAGAATACCACTTATTACATTTGGGGATATGGATCAGGGCTAGATTTTAAGGGGAGTTGAATACCAGACTATGGAATTTGTGAATTCTTCTGGAGGAACTCTAGAGCCAATGATGGGCTAGAGATAAAATGGAGGTGAAGGAACGGATATGGATAAGGTAACCTCTTGAGGTGTCATATCATCTATGGGAAATCCGAGGAGAGAGTTGCAAATCTCATTATAGTTGCTGCTAACCAGGCAGAGAGTTCCCGCTAGGAAGGAAAGAGATTCACCCAAACACCCGTGTCTCTGTGTGTGTGTGTGTGTGTGTGTGTGTGTGTGTGTAGGACAAAATGCTGGAGACTGAGCAATGCTTTCATTGTGCTTGCTGGGGTCACCCTGTAACTAGCTTTGGGGTCAGGGGTTCAGCTCTGAAAATCAGACATGGGATAAAGATAAGTCAATGCCAACTTCTAGTTCCCACTTTCCCTCCAGCAGCCTCCTTCTCTTTTGCCTCCTCTTGATGTCTCTGTCTCCAGATAGGATGCCTTCCCTGCTTATAGATCATGCAGGCAAAGGGTTGACACCTCGTGGGTTGTGAAGAGAGAAAATGCATCAGAGGTGTTTAGAGGAGATGACAGCTGATCACAGAGGCCTCCTCCTACCCCAGATGTATTTTGTCAACTGATCACTCAAACCAGACCAGAAATGGAGCTCACGCAAGCCCCCTGGGTGCTCTGGAGAGAAGGGGGCTCTTTTGATCCCAGACATGCTCCACTCTAGTCTTAGCCACACTCCTGCTGCTCCCCTGGAGTGGGATTGAGTGAGGGAAGGACAGCTCCCTTTGAAGTTCATCCTGGGACAGGGTAGAGCTTCCTTTCCCTGTAGGAAAATGAGAACAGCCAGCTGTGGTGTGCTTGGGAAAGGAATCCCCTGAGAGCCTCACTGCCAGGGATACTGCAGCTTTGTGCATAGCCCTGACTTTTTCAGGGCTCCTCCGCCTGCACAGAAGACAACATAACCATATGACTTTAAAAAGCCACCAAATCGCTCTGAACTAAAGCTTCATCATCTGCAAAACAGGGATAGTTTTGTATTTTATTAAATCTAAGGCATGGATTGTAAGACCTACCATTCTTTTATTTAACACTAAGAAAGAAAATAAGGGCCACCAATTTCATTACAGCATGCCATCCCCTGCAAGACCCACCTGATGACAGAGATGTTAAAATGAGAAAAAAAATGTCATTGTGAGCATTTATGAAAGATGATAATAATAATTCTTACTGCCCACGGTTTTGGAGAGGATCAAGTAGGCTAATGAGCATCAACACACTCTGTAAACTCTGAAGCTCTGTGAACGTAGGAGTTGTGTTTATTATTAGAATGTCGATGGTGGTAAAGATCTTGACTGCACTGGAACGTGAGCATCAGGAGGAAGCCCAAAGACAGCTGGTCTGTCTCCTTCACTGCCACATCCCAGGTGCCTGGAAGAGTGCAGCACGTAATAGGTTTGCAATGAGTATTTCTGAATAAGTGAATAATGAGTGAGCTGTGAAGTTCCCAGGTATAACAGTCTCACCCCTGTAACAGGTATATTCCATGCTGCCAGGCGATGGGATGGTGTTGAGTCCAGGGTCTGAGGCCTCTGCTGCCCCTCTTCCTGACCGCTTGTATGAGTACAATGTGAGAACCTGGGCAGACGCAAGGTCAGGGCTTCCTGAGACTTGCAGGTACCATCTCCCACAGCTTGGCTAGATTTTCATGCAATAAGGCTGGAACACTACCCCAGTGGCCAGACGGGAACCATCCCCACCTCTGAACAATGCAGAAATTGGAAGCATATATTGAGCAACAACTGTATGAACAACCAGAGGCTGAGTCCTGCGTGGGAGAGATACAAATATGCATTTCTTTCCTCTAGAGTTGACGACCAATTAGGGAGAGAGATACTGGTAAGAAATAAATAGAAACAATCTAAGCAACATGAGGTTTGTGCATGACATTGGGGACCTGTTAGTTGGTTAGTTGGTTAGTCAGTTTGTTTGCTAGGGTTGCCACAACAAAATACCACCAGCTGAGTAGTTGAAACAACAGAAAGTTATTTTCTCACAGTTCTGGAGTCTAAAATTCCAGGTGTCAGCAGGGTCGATCTCTTTGGAGGCCTCTCTCCTTCGCTTCTAAGTGGCCATTGTTTCCCTACAGCTTTATATGGTCTTTCCTTTGTGTGTGTCTGTGTCCAAATCTCCGCCTTTTGTTTTTTTTGTTTGTTTGTTTGTTTGTTTTGAGACTGAGTCTCACCCTGTTATCCAGGCTGGAGTGCAATGGTGCGATCTCGGCTCACTACAACCTCTGCCTCCCTGCCTCAGCCTCCTGAGTAACTGGGACTAGTGCACCACCATGCCTGGCTAATTTTTGTATTTTTAGTAGAGACGAGGTTTCACCATGTTGGCCAGACTGGTCTCAAACTCCTTTTCTGCCCCACCTTGGACTCCCAAAGTACTGGGATTACAGGCGTGAGCCAATGCACCCTGCCTCTGCTTGTTATGAGGACACCAGTCGAACTGGATTAGGGCCACCCTAAAGCCCTCATTTTACCTCAGTCACTTCTTTCAAGGCCCTGTCTCCAAACACAGTCACATTCCAAGGTACTGGCAGTTGGGACTTCAACATGAGTTTGGTAGATACACAGTTCAGCCGGTAACAGTTAATTCTACAAAAAAATGTAATAATCATCTACTGTATAGCAAGCACTTGCTAACTGATGGGAACACATAGATAAATAAGACTGCCCTTAAGGATCATAGTCTGGTAGGGGAAACAGACACAGCAACAGATAACTGTCCTCTTTTGTGGATGTGCAATGACAGATACATAAACCTGATATTATAGGTGTGCTAAGCAAGGACACTCATCCTAGCCCAAGAGGTGGGAGGTGGTTAGGGAAGGAAGGCTTCCTCGAAGAGGTCATCTCTTAGCTGACTATGAAGGGTGAGCATGAGCTAAATTGAGGTTGAAAAGGGGGAAAGGAGAATACTCTCCTGAGAGGAGAAATAAGAGCCAAAGTGTGGAGAAGCCATGTGGCAGGGCTGGAAACTGAGGGAGGCAAGGAGATGCTCTCTTCCTCAGGGGCCAACCCTGATAAGTGAGTGCCTCCTTAAACGTTGTACTCTGGGGACCTCATCTGTCTCTTCCCAGTCCTAATCCTGCCCACAGTGTTTCTGCAGAATCAGTGGCTCAGTGTTGCTGGACCAAAAGATACAAAGCAAAGATGACTGAGCGATGAGTAGAGTTGGAGGCGGCCCTGGAGAGGCCTGTGTGCCAGGCCCAGGAGACTGGGCTTTGTCCTGTAAGTGATGGAAGCAAAGAGATCCAAGGGGGATTGTAGCCATGTGCCCTGGGAAGCATTTCTTAACCTCTCTAATGGAGGGGGCACATACCTAGCTGGGTGGTTATGAGGTTCATACATAAAGCACGTTGCCCAGTGCCTAGCTAGAAGCTCAATAGATCGTAACTGTCACTATTGTTATTCTGCCAGGATGGTTCCTTATCTGTGAAGAAGGGGTAATAAAACCACCTCATAGGGTTGTTGCAAGGACTAAATGAGACAATCTATGTAACGAGGATTAAATGAGACAACCTATGTAATAAATCTCTCTGAACTGCAGCTTCATTATCTGCAAAAAGGGATAATTTTATATTTTATTAAATCTAAGATACCATTGATTGTAATATCCACCATCTTCTTTATTCGCCACTAAGAAAGAAATGAGGATTAAATGAGATACCCTCTGTACATGTTCAGTATCATGCTTGACGTACAGTGGGTGAATGAAGAGGAAAGAGAGGAGCTGCCTCCTCCTGCTTTGGCTTCTGCCCAGTTGTCTAAGCTAGAAACCTGGGCACCCTTGACTTTTCTCCTCTCTTACCTCATCTAATTAACCACCAAATTCTGGGTACGCTACCTCCTTCGTGGTTTCAAACCTGTCCTCTTCCATTTCTCCCTACTGCCTCACTCTTATCCCTTAATCCAAGCCACCAGCATTTCTATATCTTTGCAGATATAGGAAGTTAAGATGTTGTCTTACTGGAGTAGAGTGGATCCCTAATCCAATATGATTGGTATGCTTATTAGAAGAGAGAAATTTGGGCACAGACTTGCACAGAGAAAAGACAATGCAAAGACGGACACCCACTCAAGCGCACACACACACCCAGGAGAAGGACGTGTGATGGTGGAGGCAGAGATTGCAGTGACAGAGCTGCCAGCTGGGGATTGCCAGCCACCACCAGGAGCTAAGAAGATGCAAGGAAAGATTCTACCCAGATCTCAGAGGCAGCATGGCCTTGCCAATGCCTTGATTTTGGACTTCTGCTCTCCAAAGCTGTGAGAGAATATATTTTTGCTGTTTTAAGCCACCTGGTTTGTGGTACTTTGTTATGGCAGTCTTAGGAAACTAATACAAGTACCAATTCCTACAACAGTATCGGAACCAAGTTGGAACTTTACCAATATTTTTTAAAGGAGGGGACGAAGGAAAAAAGGAAGAAAAAAAAGGAGAGAGGGGGGGAGGGAGGGTAGGAAGGAGGAAGGGAGGGTTGAAGAAGGAAAGACGAAAAGGAAGAAAATGAAATTGCCTTTTGCCACTGCTTGATCTCCTTCTAGACAGTTGCCAGGTTTTCTTTAGGCCCTGGGTATAAGAAGATATTTCTTCCAAAGAATATTGTAAACTTGTATTTGATGCATTCTTCTAAAAGAGGAAGTGGATAAAGCTGAGGAAACATTTTCCTCAGATAACCAATTGACAAAATAATAATATGAGGTTATAAAGCTAGGCTATCCCTATGGACTCATAAACTTGGAGAGAGAATGAAGCACTTTTAAAAAATTATAAAGGCAGCATTGTATAATTTCTCTAACTGTCTTGTGGGCATCAATAAACTATAAATAGACAGAGCATCTGGTGTGGAAACTGTCTTGTGGGGGAGGGTAAAGAACAGGGTGCCACTCACAGACAGGCTGCAGACTCTGGGTCTTTCCAGATTTGTCCAGACTCTGGGGGTGGGGTGGGGTGGGGCTGCATCAATTGCTGAGGGCTGCACTGAGCGCCCTGGGACCAAAGATGCTGGGGTGGGTGAGGCCAAGGTGGATGGCAGGCTTGCTGACCTGTGAGACAGCAAGGAAAGAACAAATCCCCTGTCTGCATGCTGGTGGCTGTATTAGTCCGTTTTCACGCTGCTGCTAAAGACCTACCCAAGTCTGGGCAATTTACAAAAGAAAGAAGTTTAATGGACTCACAGTTCCACGTGGCTGGGGAGGCCTCACAATCATGGCAGAAGGTAAAAGGCACATCTCACATGGTGGCAAACAAGAGAAGAGACTTACTACCACAAGAATAGCACAGGAAAGATGCACCCCCATGATTCAATTACCTCCCACCAGGTCCCTCCCACAACACGGGAATTGTGGGAGCTACAATTCAACATGAGATTTGGGTGGGGACACAGCAAAACCATATCAGTGGCTCAGCAATTGGTGACCCACTCCTAGAAGAGATGGAGACTAGGGGTTGTATTAGCTTTCTGTGGCTGCTCTGCAAATTACCACAAATTTGGTGGCTTAAAACAATGCAAATTTATTATCTTACAGTTCAAAATACATTTTACTGGACTAAAATGTGGGCTATGTTCCCTTCTGCAAGTTCTAGGGGAGAATTTGTCCCCTGGACTTTTGAAGCTCCCAAAAGCTGTCCACTTTCCTCAGCTCCTTTATCTTCAAAGCCAGCAGCAACATTGGACCGAGTCCTGCTCCCACTACCATCTCTCTGGTTCCCTCTCTTCTTGCCTCCTCCTTTTACCTCTAAGGGTCCTTGTGATTATATTGGGTCCATCTGAATAACCCAGGATAATCTCCCTATTTTAAGGCCAGCTGATTAGCAGCCTTAATTCAATGGCAAGCTTGATTCCCCTTTGCTATATAAGGTGACATATTCACAGGCCTCAGTGATTAGGACGTGGACATCCTTGAAAGGAGCATCACTCTGCCTACCAGTCTTCTCTCTGATCCCCAAAGACACATTCCAACCTACAAGCAAAATGAAAATGTATTCACCCCACTCTTGGTACCAAAATCTACATTTGTCACAGTTCAACTAAAGCAGCAGAGCCAGTAGGAGATATACATTAAAAGATATGTTGCAAGGAATTGTCCTATAATAATATATAAGTGATGTCTGGCTAGGCAAGTCTGAAATCTGTAGGACAGACTATCAGGAAGGGCAGCCCAGAACTCCTGGGTATGGGCTGAGGCTGCAGTTCACAGGCAGAATTTTTTCTTCTCTCAGAGAAGCTTCAGCCCAGCCTTTAAGGCCTTTCAACTAATTGAACCAGGCCTACTCAGATTATCTAAAATAATTTCCTTAATTTAAAGTTACCTAATTATGGATTTTACCCATACCTACAAAATACCTTCACAGCAACACCTAGATTAGTGTTTGAATAACTGAGAACTGTAGCCTAGTCAAGTTGACATATCAAAGAGGCCATCACAGGAATAAAGGCAACTCACTAAAGACCAGTTTCTCTGCCCATCTTGCTAACCATGAGCTCCCATAAACCTCAGAATGGATGGCAATTCCTGAGAATGGTCCTCTCTGTGGAGTTAAATGTGTCTGGGGAGCCATAAAAGCTCATTCTGATGCTCTGCTTCACTGTTCTCTGAGATTAGAAGCTCCTTAAGAATAAAGACCAGGATTTTATATTTGTATTTGTATCTATCAGAACCTAAGCTACTGTTCCTTATATAGGAGATGCTCAGGGAATGTTGGTTGGAAAAAAAATTGTCTTTGTCAAATAAGTAACCTCCCCTATTCTAACTTGCCCAACCAACTTAGGCAGCTACCAATTTGACTGCATTGCCAGGTACCAATTTAGACGGCAGTACAACTGCATCCTATCACAGTGTCATAAGACAGCCAGGTGGCATTGGTGGAATAATGGGAAATCATCTTTGAGATGGGAGTGAGGTGGGTGACAGTGGAGCACAAGAGTAGATAGGAGGAAAAGACTATGGCATCTTTTTTTGGAGAACTCATAAACAGAAGAGCCAAATCTGCCTGTGTTAGGATGAGTATTTACTTGTCTAGAGACAGGTGCTCTTCAGAATGTTCTGAAGTCCAGGGGATCACTTATTTCAGATCTTTGGAAAATCCAGGATGCCCTTGGTACCAAGGACATGGCAGAGCCCTTGGAGAACATTAGGTCTTCACTTCTTATTTTACAGAGATTCAGAGAGGGACAGTAATTTGTTCAAAGTCATACAGCCAGCCACAGGCAGATAGATCTAGAACTAGAAGCCAGGGCTTAAGGCTTGTGATTCTGATGTATTTTTCACTATGCTGTGTGTAAACCTTAGTAGTATCCTATACCAGAATGGCCAGAACTTAATCTATGCATCTAGAAAAGTTAGGCATATTTCCCCAAAGTTCAGCTGATACATGCACTGATAGGTAATCCAAAAGGTGACTTAGGGATGGCTTTAAAACCTGCCCCTACAATGACTTTCAAAGGCATGCCAAATAAGCATGAACTCCAAGTGATGCAGGCAAACCCAAAAATTGGGGCTTAGCCCAGAAGGGTTCTTGGCTTTGCTTAGGAAAGAATTCAAGAGCAAGCTGACAGTGAAACAAAGCAAGTTTATTTGAACAACAGTGTACAGCAAAATGTCTACTCCATAGACAGAGAAGGGCTATCCCATAGGCAGAGTGGACCAGAGTAGCACTGGTGGATTGCTGGCTAGCTATATTTATACCCACTCTTAATTATATGTTAATGAAGGCATGTGTTATTCACAAACTTTCTGGAAAATGGGTGGGGAGTTCCCAGAACCATATAAGGTAACTTATGGGTTGTTGCCATGGCATTTGTAAACTGTCATGGTGCTGATAGGAGTTTCTTATGCAAATGCATTAAAATTCCTAGTCCTAGCTGGTATCTTTGCTACATCTTGTTTTGATTAGCAGGGTCATGACTGCTGCTTGAAGAACAAGTCCTGCTGATCTCATACCTTGCAAGTGAAAACAGACTATGATTTAAGAAAAGTTCCCTGTCCATTCTCTCCAACAAAATTGCTTCCCTGCAGTCCATCCAGTAGAGAAATTCTGCAGCCCTCCCTGTTTTCATTGAATCACTGGATACTTACAATTCACTGGCTCCAGCAATCTCATGAAAATCAACCCCCCCAAGTGAAAACATTTAGTTTGCAAGTAACTGGATCACTGAACAAGAATAATTCATAGGATATAATCATAACATAACTTATTTTTGTTTCTCATTGTCTGTTTATAATTTATTTCACAGGGGCAGTTTTCCCTTTGCCCATGGATATAATCTTGGCCCTAAGCATGTCCCATAGCTTGGTGGTTGTGATAGGTAGAGTTCTAAGACAGCCCCCAAGATTCTGCCTCCTGCAGCACACCTTATATAATGGACAAGACCCGTAAATATGATGGGGTAGTCACTCCCTTGAGTATGATACATTACATAAGACTCTTTCGTGGCAAGCAGACTGAATATGGGTTCTGGTGCTTGTTTAGCTAGGAAATTACTGTGTGGTGAAAGGGCCACATAATTAAGACTTGAGGGTGGCCTCTAGGAACTAAGAAAGACCCTGGGCCAGCTATCAGCAAGAAAATGGGGATGTTAGTCCTACAACCACAAGGAACTAAATGCTGTTAACATCTTGGAAGGAGATGCCAAGCTCCAGACGAGAACACTGTGTGGCAGACATCTTAACCTCAGCCTTGTGAGACCCTGAGCAGAGAACCCAGTCAAAGGTCAAATGTTCATGCCAACTCCTATTCTATAGAAGGTGTAAGGGAAAAAAAAGAGGTATTGTTCTAAGTCCCTAAGTTTGTGGTAATTTGTTACACAGCAGTAGAAAACTACAGTAGTCCACCCTTATCCATGGTTTCACTTTCCATGGTTTCAATTACTCACCATCAACTGAGATCTGAAAATATTAAATGGAAAATTCCAGAAATAAAAAATTCATAAGTTTTAAATGGCATACACCATTCTGACTTGAGGAGCACAGTGAAATCTTGCACCATCCTGCCTAGGATGTGAATCATTCCTTTATCCAGTCTGGATACATATTGTGGATACAGTGGTGTATCCACATTGTCTACACTACCTGCCTGTTAGTCACTCAGCAGCCATCTCAGTTGTCAGATCAACTGTCATGGTATCACAGAGCTTGTGTTCAAGTCACCCTCATTTTACTTAATAGTGGCCCCACAGCATAAGAGTAGCGATGCTGGCCGTTTGGATGTGCCAAAGAGCAGCCATAAAGTGCTTCCTTTAAGTGAAAACCTGTGAGTTCTCAATCTAATAAGTAAAGAAAAAAAATGTATGCTGAGGTCGCCAAGATCTATGGCAAGAGTGAATCTGCTGTCCATGAAATTGTGAAGAATGAAAAAGAAATTCATGCTAGTTTTGATATCACACCTCAAATTGCAAAAGTTATGGCCATGGAGCATAAGTTCTTAGTTAAGATGGAAAAGGCATTAAGTTTGTAGGTGGAAGACATGAACAAAAACATGTTCCAATTGACACAATCAGGTTTGGTACTATCTGTGGTTTCAGGCTTGCAACTCGGGGGCTTGGACCTGATCCTCTGCAGAGAAGGAAGGACTACTGTAATCAAGTCACTTCCCCACATTCTTTCTATCAAAACACAAACAGAAAATATTTATATACTACACTGAGATAAACGGACAAAGCTACCCAAGGCTGGGGGCACTGCTATGGGGGCTCCAATGTCCCCCAGACCCCCTCTACCACCCCAAGGACTGAGGGGATCAATCTCTAGTCCCACCCGTCAAGAAGCTCTCTAAAAAGAGGCTGGGCACGGTGGCTCACACTTGTAATTCCAGCATGCTGGGAGGCCAAGGCAGGCAGATCACCTGAGGTCAGGAGCTCAAGACCAGCCTGACCAACATGGTGAAACCCCATCTCTACTAAAAATACAAGAATTAGCTAGGCGTGGTGGCTCACGCCTGTAATCCCAGCTACTGGGAAGGCTGAGGCATGAAAATCGCTTGAACCCTGGAGACAGGTTGCAGTGAGCTGAAATAGCACCACTGCACTCCAGCCTGGGCGACAGAGGGAGACTCGTCTCAAAAAATAAATAAATATATAGAAAATCCTACCGGCACTTTTTTGTTTTTTTGTTTTTTTTTTTTGTGATGGTGTCTCACTCTGTCACCCAGACTGGAGTATAGTGGAGCGATCTCGGCTCAATGCAACCTCTGCCTCCCAGGTTCAAGCGATTCGCCTGCCTCACAGCCTCCCAAGTAGCTGGCACCACCGGTGCCCACCACCACGCCAGGCTAATTTTTGTATTTTTAGTAGTGACGCGGTTTCACCGTGTTAGCCAGGTTGGTCTCGATCTCCTGACCTCATGATCTGCCCGCCTCAGCCTCCCAAAGTGCTGGGATTACAGGCGTGAATCACCCTGCCTGGCCTACTGGCATTTTAAGTTGTAAACACAGTCTTCCATCAGAACTGTGGAACATTCAGCAATAATCACAATTCTTCATTTTCTTTAGTATTGAAACTTTTCCTACCTTCAACAGGATCCTGCTACCTCTGGGCTGCTGGCACTGGGAGAAGGGGGCAAAGTTCTTCTCTCTTTCTTGTGTTTCAGCAATCACACCCTGCTGTCAGCTCTAGACTCTGCATCCTTGTCATCCCAATCAGAATGCCTTTTCCAGGTCACCAGCCCTCATGAACACCGCCAGACTCTTTTTGGGGAGTACAAGAATTCTTGGCTCTTTCCGAACCCCATACTAGGGTATAAGGATTCTAAGAGGCTGCCAAGGACTCATCAGGCCTAGATGCCTCCAACCTCTGTTTCCACACTGCTTAAGTGTGGTCCTTATATACACAAGGCTGTGCTCTGGGTGGTTAGACAATAGCTCTTCTCCTTGAGAACCCCCTTCCCCTCCAGCCTGTCTGGGCTGTTGTCTACGCTCCAGGCCACGGCCCAATGGGATGGAGCCCTAAGCCTCTTCCCAGGGACCCAGCAATTTAAACTTGAACCAAGCTCAATTCTCCCTCCTCTACCCCCACCTCACCCCTTAGTTGAAATCTTATCTCTTTTTGGGCAGGGAAAGAGACTGTTCTTCACAGTCTGGTTTATGACATAAAACCTATGCTCTGAGCCCTCTGGCTTTTGCTTTTGATATTTAAAGCCAAGCTTTTGAAATTCAAAAATACCCTTTTTTCTCTCAAGAACCTTGCCCTTAGAATTGAAATCCGTGGCTCTCAATACCATTGCCTCTACAATAGATTTACAAAAGGCTACTTAAGAGCTCAAAAGCCAGGAAAGGGACTCTTTGTTCTCTCTGCAGGGTCCCCTACCCTAAGGGCAATGCATAGAGAAAGCCCTAGCTATAATTCAAATAGTGAGGCGGAGAAGTGAGAGGGTTAAAGGAATTGGAAAGGTGCTGAGCCTAATATCAAAATTTTACTGTGCAGCATTTATAAAATGCTGAGGTATGTTTCGCCAAGGCTCAACTAGGTGTGGTTTTCATGACTCATTCCAGCCAAAGTATTAATAAAAGCAAAGCAATCGTGCCTTTATAAATATTGACACAAATAGTTGACAGGTAAGTTTATTATGTTTCTTTATGAGCATAACTTTTTAAAAATTATCTAAGAATTTCTTCAATGTGCAGTTTTAAATACATTACTTGTTTTATAATTGAAAGAGTACATAAAAGTATTTCTAACATCCACACATATATGGTACAAGGGCAAAGGCAATTTTTCCCTCCCCCTCTGAAAGTTCAAGCCTGCTGAAATGAACTAATAGACAGATTATCAAGTGAAAAGACAAACAAATGTGTTAATGTGCATGAGAACAGAAGCCATACATAATATGAGATTCAAAGAAGGTCCAGGTGGTTGAGGCTTAAATACCCTCTTCATAGGAGAGATGGAAATGGGATGGAGGAAATTTTGAGGAGTAGTAAATGAATTTTCAGGGAAATCGAATGAGCACAAAGAACAGACAATGGCTTGGGACAAAGTTCTGAGCTCTGGAGGAGGTGGTGAGAGGTTGAGGGGCAGAACTTCGCTATGAACAAAGGTTGTCTTATTATGCTAATAGAGTCTCCCAGGTAATCTCTCAGAAGAATTGATGATAAGTCTGCCTGGGTGTGGTGACAACTTTTAGACTTTTCTCTTGTCCAGCAGTTAGTCTTTCCTGGTTATTTGATGAGATTCCCAGGGAGGGGATCTTAAGACAATTACATTTCTTTTTCTTTATTTATTTATTAACAGAGTCTTGTTCTGTCACCCAGGCTGGCGTGCAGTGGCATGATCACAGCTCTCTGCAGCCTCAGCCTCAACCTTCCAAGCTCAAGCGATCCTCCCACCTTAGCCTCCCAAGTAGCTGGGACTACAGGCATGAGCCACCACACCCAGCTAATTTTTGTATTTTTTGTAGAGATGAGGTTTTGCCATGTTGCCCAGGCTGGTCTCAAACCCCTGAGCTCAAGTGATCCACCTGCCTCAGCCTCCAAAGTGTTGGGATTACAGTTGTAATCCACCATGGCCAGCCTATTGCATTTATTTTGGGAAAAGTCTTCCTTAGTCAGATAAGGGAACTCCCAGAAATAGCCCCTCCCTGCATTTAGTAAAGTGGGAGGAGAGAAACAAGAGATGGTGAGAAAGTCCTTGGTTCTGAGGCAACTTCTAAGGCCTTCCAGTTTCCTTTAATTCAAAAGTGCTCAGCAAGCCAAAGTATCACACTTTGGGATATCATTCTCTGTGCCCCAACAATGGTGTCAAAAAATAAAACCAGAGCAGGACAGAAGTGAAAGTAGTGAAGACAAGTTTTATTTAGCACTATTGCAATAGGGGAAGAGAGACCCTGGTATCATACTGGGGTCTATTCTGAATACACCAGGGATACATATGGATTTATAGCCAGTGAGGAAGGGGGCCAGTGGATAGTAAATTGCTAAGAAGAGACACAAAGTTCAGGAGAATTTTTGGCTGAACCAACCTAACAGGATTTCTGCTGAAGGCAGAACAGTGTGATCAGATAACAAGGGTGGGGAGTGAAGAATTGTGATCAGGTATCAAGGGTGATCAGGTATAGAGTGGGGGAGATTCTTGCTAAATTGCCTTGGCAGCTTTATTTGCTAAAACTGAATTTTATAAGGAAGGGCACACAAGGTCCTAGGAGAAGCTTCAGAAGCCTAAGTCTGGCCATGCTAAGAGTCTTTCTCAGAGGGCAACAATTTTGATGATGGGCTTGCAGAACATGCTTCCCCAAAATATGGCACCTTGGCATTTGAGAAAACAGCAGAAGCAGGAAGGTCACTCTTACCTTCCTCTTGCCCCTTTCTCCCCTGAAGCAGGCCATAAAAGTTAGCTGACCTTTCTCTGAATTAGGTCATAGGAACCTCAATGTCCTTATCTCTGAACACACAGGGACACAGAGGAGAATCTGAACAATCAGGTCCTGATAAATTCTCCCCAATTTATTATCATTAGATCATACCCACTTTGTCCAATGCATAACTGTCTGCTCTTCACCAAGCCTAAGCATAAAAGTACACAGGTTTCCAATTTCTTTGGCTCTTTATTTCTGAAGATTCCCATGTCACATAAAGCATATTAAATCATAAAAGAAACTTTGTTATGCTTTTCTCTTGTTAATCTGCTATTATAGGTACCTCAGCTGTGAACGTTCTAATGGGTGAAGAAAAGATTATTTCGGTACCTCAGCTGTGAACGTTCTAATAGGTGAAGAAAAGATTATTCCCCCCCTCCCACTGACAAATGTGCAAAACAAATTCAGTGGAGTAGTCTTCAACAAATGGTACTGGAACAATTGGATATCCATAGCCAAAAATGTAACTTCAATCCACACATCCCACCATATACAAAAATTAATTCAGAATGACTCACAGTCCTAAATGTAAAATCTAAAACAATAAAACTTCTAAAAGAAAACATAAAAGAAGATCTTTGTGACCTGGGGTTAGGCAAAGACTTCTCAGATATGACATCAAAAAACACAACCCATAAAAGAACAAGTTAATTAATTGGCCTTCATCAAAATTAAAAACTCCTGCTCTTTGAAAGACACGATTGAAGGAAAAGACATGCCCTGGATGGGGAGAAAATCTTAGAATATATGTGTAAAAGACTTATCCAGGATAAACACAGAGCTTAAAAACTCAATAATAAAACAAATAACACAATTTTTTTAATGAGTAAAAGATTTGAAGACATTTACCAAAGGAGATATATGGATGGAAAACAAGCAATAAAAATTAATGATCAACATAATTAATCATTACAAAAACGTAAATCAAAACCACAGTGAGATACCACTTCATATCTATTAGAATGACTAACATGAGAAAAGTTGACCATGTGAAGTGTTGGTAAGAAACTCTCATAAACTGCTGGTGGGGCTGTAAAAAACCACTGTGGAAAACAGTTTGACAGTTTCTTATAAAGTTAAACATACACTATATTAGTTGGTTCTCACACTGCTATGAAGAAATGCCTGAGACTGGGTACTTTATAAAGGAAAGAGGTTCAATTGACTCAGAGTTCCGCATTGCTGGGGAAGTCTCAGGAAACTTACAATTGTGGCGGAGAAGCCAGGATCTTCTTCACAGGGCAGCAGAATAGAGTGAGTCCAAGCAGGGGAAATGCTAGAAGCTTATAAAACCATCAGATCTTGTGAGACTCACTCACTCTCATGAGAACAGCATGAGAAAAACTGCCCCCATGATCCAATTACCTCCACATGGCCTCACCCTTGACACATGGGGATTATAAGGATTATAATTCAAGGTGAGATTTGGGTGGGGACACGGAGCCAAACCATATCATATACCTACCATGTGGTTCAGCCATTTCTTTCTTAGGTATTTCCCTAACAAAAATAAAAACACATATCCATACAAAGACTTTTCCATGAATGCTCATAGCAGCTTTATTTGTAATAGCGCCAAACTGGAAACAATCCAAATGTTCATCAACTGGAAAATAGATAAACAAATTGTGGTATATCCATATAATGGAATACTACTCAGTAATTAAAAGGAACAGACTATTGATCCAACTTAACATAGGATAAATCACTTATGCTAAGTGAAAGATGCCAGATGAAAAAGAATACATACTGTATAATTGCATTTATATAAAATTCTAGAAAGTATAAACTAACCTATAGTGACAGAAAGCAGATCAGTGATTGCCTATGGGGAGAATGGGCAAAAAGGGGTAAAGAACAGGGAGAAGGGATGGATTACAGAGACATGGAGAATTTTGTGGGGGTGATGAATATGTTTATTACTTAATTATGATGATAATTTCATAGGTATATAGATATGTCAAAACCCACCAAATTGTATATTTTAAATACATATCATTTATTGCACGTCAATTATACTTCAATAAAGCTGTTAAAAACATGTGTGTATAAAAACTACACGTGTTTCTGGGTTGGCTACAGAGACAAACTTCCAACACAATCTGCCTACCTTTCCAAACCTGAACTTAGGCACACCAACTACATATAGACCTCTCAAGGATTTGGTTGTTATACTCATTAAATGTTGTACCTGTCAGGCCTCTGAGCCCAAGCTAAGCCATCATATCCCCTGTGACCTGCCCGTACACATCCAGATGGCCGGTTCCTGCCTTAACTGATGACAATCCACCACAAAAGAAGTGAAAATGGCCCGTTCCTGCCTTAACTGATGACATTGTCTTGTGAAATTCCTTCTCCTGCCTCATCCTGGCTCAAAAGCTCCCCTACTGAGCACCTTGTGACCCCCACTCCTGCCTGCCAGAGAACAACCCCCTTTGACTGTAATTTTCCTTTACCTATCCAAATCTTATAAAACGGCCCCACCCCTATCTCCCTTCGCTGACTCTCTTTTCGGACTCAGCCCGCCTGCACCCAGATGAAATAAACAGCCTTGTTGCTCACACAAAGCCTGTTTGGTGATCTCTTCACACGGACACGCATGAAAGTACCTAAAGTGAATCTGTTTTATTATCTGTGATTACCACAAAATATACAACTAATTTTTTATTTTTTTGAAACAGAGTATCCCTGTCGCCCAAACTAGAGTGCAGTGGCACAATCTCAGCTCACTGGCACAATCTCAGCTCACTGCAACCTCTGCCTCCAGGGCTCAAGTGATTCTCATGTCTCAACCTCCCGAGTAGCTGGGATTACAGTTGTGCACCACCACACCTGGCTAATTTTTGTATTTTCAGTAAAGACGGACTTTCACCACATTGGTCAGGCTGGTCTCAAACTCCTGGGCTCAAGTGATCTGCCCGCCTCAGCCTCCCAAAGTGTTGGGATTACAGGCATGAGCCACTGTGCCCAGCCTTAGTTTTTTAAAATGTTAATATTCAATCAGTATTAAGATCTGTGAACCTGTGGCAGGTCCATCAATAGGCATCTAATCCTGCACATTATGTTTTAAATGATGGGTGGGTAGGTAGTCTCGGTGATATCCTTCACCTGTAATATGCAGCCCAGCGAGGCTCCAGCAGCCTGAGTTACTGAAGTCACTGAAAGCTGCAGGAGGAATAAGAAAAGGGAAAACTGTACTGGAAGGAGGCCAGGCTGGGGAAAGTGGGGAAGGTGAGAATGAGGTGGTGGGCCCCACATGGCCTGCAGAAATAATATAATAATAGTCCTAGTGGCTATAATAAATTGCATATGCAGTGCTTTACATATGTGATCTTGATTCATCCTTAAAACCCTAAGAAGTAAGTACTACTCTTAAACCCCTTAAAATATAGGAGACTAAGGTCTGATAGAAAACTGAAATACCTTACGTTAGAAACTACAACGGCTGGAAGAGTGTTTCAAACCGTACGTTTCCTATTGTTGCTGTACCTAATTACCACCAATTTAGTGGCTTAAAACAACACAAATTTATCCTGTCCCACTTCTACAGGTCAGAAATCCAAAATGACTCTTATAGGGTCAAAATCAAGGTGTGGGCAGCACTCTGTCCCTTCCGAAGGCTCCAGGGGAACATCCACTCCTTACCTCTTCAAGTTTCTATGGACTGCCAGCATTCCTTGGCTTGTGGCTACATCACTCCAATTTCTGCTTCTGTCATCATATGGTCTTCTCCTTCCTTTAACTCTACTGTCTCCCTTTCATGAGGACCCCTGTGATTATATAGGGTTCACCTTGATAATTCAGGGTTACACACCCACCCTCAACCCTAACCTCAAATGCTCAATTTAATCACATCGGCAAAGTCCATTTGACCATGGAGAGTAACATAGTCACAGGTTCTGGAGATTAGGACACAGATGTCTTTGGGGTCATTATTCTACCTACCACACCAACCCTGGCTGACATGACTCCTTCGATTGCTAATCAGTCCTCAGTCACCCTCCCTGTCCCATCTTCTCTCAATCCCCTCCCCAGTTTTACACTGTGGCCAGACCTCAAGACCTGTCATATGCCATGTGCTTTCCCCCGTCTTCCTCCCTCCAGGTGATTGCCCTCTGCTGAAACGCCTCCTTCTTGTCCTCAGCAGATCCTCAAGACCTGCTGAAATCCCAGCCATTATCCAAGCTTAAATGCCAGCTCCCTATGAGGCCTTTCCTAATCTCTAGCTGGGAGTGCTCTCTGCTTCCTGAGACCCCCGTGGCATTTGAGTAGCACATTTGGATTTGTGCTGGGGTGGCTTGTGTAAGCTCTTCAGGCTGGAATCATGTGTCATTCATCTATGTATCCCCCACAGCCCACAACACAAAGCCTACACACAGGGGACTTAATGAGCATTTATTCAGCACCTGAATGGATCAATAGATGGATACAAGCCAGGATCAGATGAAGCATCCTCTGACTCTTAGTATCACAACACACTGGTCCTCCCCAGAGCCCTCTGTGCATGTGGCCTGGCATGTCTCACTGCCAAGGTGGCCAGCACTGCCCCCGAGCAGTTTTGACTCTATCTGATGCCCACCACCAGGCTCAGCATGTTTGCTGAGAGCTGCTTTGGCTTGGAGCTTGAGCTGCATTGAACAGATGATGTATGTAAGGGAAGGCAGAAAGCAAGCGAGAGCTTTCACAGCTGAAGGGATCCAGTCCCCGCATTCCCATGGCCAAGGAGAGCAGAGCAAGGATGCTCAGCCTGGGAATGTGTTGTTCTGACTGTTTCAGGATCCTGGGCCAGCCCTTTCCTGCCATGTGGGGGCCTGGTGTGTGCCTTTGCAGCTGGAGCCACCCACCCCGGAGACATGCTCCTGGACACTCGCCGATCACTTTACAAAACCACTGGGTTCAGGGTAGCCAGTAAAATCATGCAGCACTGACACCTTTATTTTACCTGCAAAACTCAGGGAGGGGAAGGTCCCAGTCACCATTTTCATCAACCCACATTTATTGATGCAGTGGGAAAGAGGCACCAGGCTAGACTCTGGCTCACCTACTCCCAACACCTGCACACACAAGTGCAAACAAGTGTGTGCATGCACATATGAATGTGTGTACACCTTTGTGCACACTGTAGCACATGTAGGGTTGAAAACAGAGGCCCTCGGTATTCGTTAAGGCAAACCTAGGTTTCCATTTCCTACTGATTAAATCCATTGCTTTAGTGACCACCTCCTCTGGGGACAAAGGGGTTTCAGGCCTTTGTCCCCAGAGGAGGTGGTCAGCAAAGCAATGGATTTAATCCTTTAAACTATAAGGCAATGAATCTCAAATAAAAATATTTGAAAAGTTTCTCCAAAGAATGTGTGAGTACTGGGGGCCAAGGAGTAGGGCATTGTTTTTAGCCAAGTGTTTTGCATTTGTCTGAGTGGTGATGCCATCTGTCACCAGCTTGGAGTAGAGGAGAGATATAGATAAGAAAGAAGGAAAGGGCCAGGCCCGGTGGCTCATGCCTGTAATCCCAGCACTTTGGGATGCTGAGGCAGGTAGATCATTTGAGGTCAGGAGTTCAAGACCAGCCTGGCCAACACAGCAAAACCACGTCTCTACTAAAAATACAAAAATTAGCTGGGTGTGGTGGCACGTGCCTGTAATCACAGCTACTTGGGAAGCTGAGGCAGGAGAATTGCTTGAACCCAGGAGGCAGCGGTTGCAGTGAGCTGAGATCGCACCATTATCGCACCATTGCACTCCAGCCTGGGCGACAGAGCGGATTCTATCTCAAAATTTTTCAAAAAAGAAAGAAGGAAAATGAGATCTTTTTAGAGCACTTTCCACCTTTGCATTTGTCAGATTTTCACATGTAGTTTGGAATCATATAAATTTCTACCCTCAGTTATCTTTCATCTAATAGAACTTTTTAAATATGTGCTAATAGCAAACAGATAGATATTGGCTTGTCAGGTATTTGGGGCTTTGCATAACACTGCACCTTTCTCTGGAGATATTTGGCAGCAGCCACTGCCCTGTGGGACTACAGAGTTGATCACTCTAAGCAGTGGACCAGGGCCACACAGATAGGCATTAGACCCAATAGGCAAATCTAAGGGGCACCATTCGCACTGTGGCCGTGCAGAGTCGAATATTTGCTGCAAGCATTTTCCAGCAGGTGGCAGTGATGTGTCTCCAGGAAGGAGTTCTGGTTTCTCATTTGCACCAGGCACCACACGAGCTGGGAAGACTGCTGCAATATCCAGAGGACCTGGTGCCCCTATGTCACCTTGGGTTCTTTCCTTTAGCGATATGGTGCTGGGAACACAAAGATGGTCAGAATGCCAGGCCATCCCAACCTGTGTCCATGTGACATATCCACTGTGCTAGCCAGGCTTTGGCAGAGAAAGTGACCTGGGTCTGATAGAGGCAAACTGAGCAGCTGCACGTGTTTTGACTTATATTCTGGACCCAGACTACATCCTGGTGTGGAGGAAAGAATGGAGAGACAAATGAATATCTTCCTCGCTGCTGTGTCCTCAGAACCCAACAGAAAGGGTGCACGATATATATTATTGAGGGAACGGATAGATGGATGGATGGATGGATGGATGGATGGATGGATGGATGGATGGATGGTTGGATGGATGGATGGATGGATGAATGAATTAATTATTCAACAGACACCCACCTATGAGTATGTGCTCTCCTGTCATTGGATATATTCTTCTTCTCTGGTCTTCAGAGAGAGAGAGAGAGAGAAACAGTAAAAAGCAACACCCAGGGACTTCTACCTCTGCAGGAAGGCAAGAACTGCCTAAATGAATTCACTGAAAAGATCTCCCACCAGGAAGCAGCTCCTGGAGAGTTCCCTTTCTGGGGAGCAAATCTCTTCCTTAATCACCACTTGCTGCTGCTCACCGTTACTGCTTGCTGGTCCAGCTGTCTGTCCCACCTCTCAGCAAAGCCTATTTACTAAGCCCATTTGGAAGTCTAAAATGTAATCACTGGCTTCCTCCTCAGAATATTAATATTCCAATAGGACTTCCCAGAGCCAGGCTGGAGCTCCTTGCAGGATTAGCTGGGTGTGGTCCCATCTGTCTCCTCCTACACCAATGCTGCTCAGCTCAAGAAATCCACAGATAAGACAGAAACCAGGCAAAGGCCTGGGCTATGACAGAGACACCTCTGCTGGGAATGACCAAGGTCAGCCTGGCTGTGAAAGAGTCTGGGCTTAGGAAAAAAGGCTGGGGGGTGGCAGGGGTTTAAGGTCAGGCCTCAGGAGCAGAGCTGAGGCACCCAGGGCTGCCTCATCCCACTCTTACCTGCTCTGCTTGATACGACGTCTGCCTCACAATGTCTACACCTCTGCAGGCAGGTCTGCAGCCCAGGAGCTGCTGGGCTTAGTGGACAGTCTGGCTCACAAGGGGACTTAATAAGCACTCAATGAATAGAAGAGCTCTCGGCAACATGACTAAGGCAGAATCCCACTCATTTTTATTTGTCGTAAACCCACCTACTATTCCTTGCTGCAGCAAATGCTTTTTGAGCACCCACTACACATCAGGCACTGTGCTGGGTGCTGGGAATATACCAAAGAACAAAAAAGGCAAGGCCCTACCTTTGTGGAGCTCAGTCAAGTGGGAGACATAAATGAGCAAGGAGTCAATTGCAGTAGAGGGGAAAAAATGCACTGCTAGGACTTGGATCAGGGACACCCAGACTAATGCAAAAGGATTCCTGGAGGAAGTGGCCATTAAACTGATATTTGAAGGATGAGTAGGAGTTAGCAGGCAGGAGAACCAACATGTGCAAAAGCCCAGAGGCCAGAGAAAGCCTGGTGCTTTCTAACAAGTCAAAATTCAGGTTCACTAGAGCTGTGAATGGGAGAATGGCAAGAGAGGAGGATGGACGGAGGCTGGTCTCCAAGAGCCATGTTGTCAGCTATGCATGACTTTCACACTTTGTCCTGGGGACAGAGGGTTAAGCAGGGATGCAACAACAGAGTCTGGGGAATATGTGAGGCCAAAGCAAGTAGGGATTGGGAATTAGCAAAGGAAAATAAGGATTTGGGCATCCTGGAAACCATTTCTGAGCATTTAAAACAAATTCTATCTTATTTGGTCTCCCCTAAGGGATAGGCACACAGGTATAAAAGGTTACAGGGCCAGTGCGGTGGCTTACGCCTATAATCCAGCACTTTGGGAGGCTGAGACAGGCAGATCATGAGGTCAGGAGATTGAGACCATCCTGGCTAACACGGTGAAACCCCATCTCTACCAAAAATACAAAAAATTAGCCGGGTATGGTGGCGCACACCTGTAATCCCAGCTATTTGGGAGGCTGAGGCAGGAGAATCGCTTGAACCTGGGAGATGGAGGTTGCAGTGAGCCAAGATCACACCATTGCACCCCAGCCTGGGTGACAGAGTGAGACTATGTCTCAAAAAAAATAAAATAAAATAAAATAAAATAAAATAAAATAAAATAAAATAATAAAATAAAATAAAATAAAATAAAAATAAAAATAAAAATAAAAAGGAAGGTTTCAGATAACCATCTCTCATAAACTTCACACTTCAAAAGGGTTTTCATGTCCACCTCCTCAAGTGATACTATCATAATGCAGAGGTCAGCAGAGTTACCCTCCACTTACAGATGAGGAAACTGAGACCGAAGGAGGCAAAAGACTCATTAGCAACAGCATTGTAAACACGGTTGCACAGAGAGCTTTCCAGTTTCCTTATGCAGTCAGTTCTCTGTATCTGCGAGTTCCATCGTCAGATCCAACCAACTGTGGATTGAAAATATGGTATTCTCAGGATGCAAAACCCATGGATGCCAAGGGCCAAGTTCTCTTATCTGTGGGTTCTGCAAGACCTGTTGCAAGACTTGAGCATCCATGAATTATCCATGGTGGGGGTAGAGTGGTCCTGGAACAAATGCGATCATCACATAGATTAAGTAAGACTGTTAGTGTGTATTACAGGTGAGGAAACCTAAGGTTAGGAAGTTTACAGAGCACTGTCCTGCCAGTGAGTGACCACACAGATCCAGGTGGATTTCCACCCCACTTTGCTCCCTGCACAGGAAGAGGAGCCAGCCCTGAGGCCCTGAGAGCTGGCCCAGCACTCTTGGCATGGCAGGCCACACAGCTGGAGAGAGAGACACTCAGAAGCAGCCCCGCACAGAGGCTTGGGGGATCAAATAGAACCCTCAAAACATACAAAACTCTGAGGACTGACTTGAGTGAGCTGAGCACGTATTCCAGGCCGAGCTGTAAGCCCTGCAGAGAGATCACTGGGAATTCCAAACCCTGCACTGTCTTCCCATCCCTGCCTGGCTCCCTGCCTCCTAGAGCCGAGTCCCATGGCCTCCTAAGGTGGAGTAATGATGAGGACAGCCCAAGGCCCAGCAGCTCCTCACCAGCTTCTGGAGGCTGGGCCTGTCCTGCTGAGGAGACAGGGCAGGAGCCAGCTCTCTCTGGCACGCTGCTTAGATAGGAAAAAAAGTAATCTCACTCAGAAGGAACAGCAGCAGCAAACAGAGCCCTCTGTCTGAGGGCCTTCTGCCCTTCCCCTAGTTTCTGTGTATCTTCTCCGCTAGCAGTTTTTTTCCTGAGGAAGGGGAAGAGGCAGGGGAGTGGGTGCAGACATGGAGATGGACGTTATTCTTTTCTAAAGAAGGTCTTTGTTGCTGTTATTTTCTACCTTCCTCCGTGGGCCGAGAGCCCCTGCAGTGCCATGAGGGCTGCTCAGTGCCATGGAGACAATTGTGTTATCAGAGGGAGAGGATTATGGCTCCAGTGGGGAGGGAGGAGCAGGATCACCAGCTGAGCCGGCGACTGACAAGAGAAGATGACAAATCACTTAGGCCCCAGGTTGAGAGCCCGGCGGCAGGCAGGGAGATGCAGAGACAGGTCTTGTCAATTCTGAAGGATTGTCAGTGTCACCGGAAACAACAGTCTCTTTAAAAAGGTGTCATCCCCCTGAAGTGGGGGACACCTGAAACAGAGCAGCTGGTGGGGGGCCAGGGGCGGGGGAGGATTGTGCAAATGGCGGAAGGCTGTCCCCGTTACACATCACTGATGGAGGTGGGCTGGGGAAGGGACAAGTGGGAAGGAAGAGGAAAGGCAGGCCTGCTGGCCGAGACAGAAGGAATGGGCCCTCCAGGTGGACAGGAAGGAGGTCCACAAGACTTGGGCAAGGTTTGAATAAGCCTGTATATGGTAAGGACTTAATAAACAAAATCTTTAAAAGAAAAAAAGTGGTTACTCTGAGAGTTCAGTCACCCAGGACATATTGTGAGCTCCCCTTATGCCCAGCACTATGCTACGCAACTTGTAGGACACAGCAAAATAGTAGACGTGGCCCCAGCCTTCCCGATTGGCTGCAAATCCATGTGGGAATGACATAACCATGCCTGGCTTTTGTGGGGAGTGGGTGGGCAGGAAGTGGCTAGGCTGGAAGAATCCTCAAGAGAATTTGCAGCAGGAAAGAAGACAGAAGAAAGAATGGAAACAATCTACCTTATTTCTCGGGACCTCAGTTTCCTCATCTGTACAATGGAGAACCTTACACTCTTGACTTTCTAGGGTGCTGCCTTAAAGGCACTCTGCTCACCTTTGACCAGGGTTTAGCCTCTTCTCCTCTTGTAGCAGCAGGGAGCAGTTCCTGACATCCTTATCTCCTGGAATATAAATGACTTGGGCCATGATTTATTACCAAGCAGAGGAAGAAAGAAAACTATGTTGGTGTCTTCGAGGCAACTGGTGGCATCTTCCAAGACTCGCCTGCAACCACTATCCCACCCCAGTACACCCAAAATAAATAGGGGAGACACATTTTCAGGGCTCTCCTGACACATCTAATGGATATCAGATGGGAGCGTCTGCATAGCAAATAGGAATCTAATCTACCCCCTCATTCAGCCAAATGGAAACAGCGGGATCTCCACGGCCGAGCCTCTAGCTTCTGGCGGGTAACACGTAAAAGGAAAATGGAAACAGATTACAGTCAGTCTGATATCCACATAACAAATAGGGATCCCGGAGAGAAATTTGTTTTATTGATGTTTGGGAAGAGATCCACTGATTTCCTTGTCTGCTCTGCCTTGCCACTTTAATTGAAGAAGGTGCTAGTTAACCGCTAAAGGAAAAATAAAATGAAAGGAGGTGCTTAATGGCTGGCACTCGCCTGCTGCCGAGCACATGCAATCAGGCACACACGCCCGCACACACTCTGCAGTAAACTCCCTTCCCGACAACCCAAAGTGTCAGTTGGAACTGACCATTGATTAGGCACAGTTCATTTTCCCAGGGGTTGACAGGTGTTGTAGGCCTTAGAGGCAGATGGATTGCAGGGGAACGGATCTGCCGCTGGGCCTGGAGCCATGGGCTGGGGCCTGGGGAATGTCAGGTTTCTGGAAGGAGTAGCTGAGAACCGCCTGGGATGCAGGCCCGGGTGAGATGTGGCCACCCAGAGGCCAGGGAAGAGTGTTGAGGCGTTCACAACAAGCCTCACAAAAACCTGACCTTGGACCTCAAAAAAACAGAGGGAAAGGAAAAAAAATGAAACGAAATCATGGAAAGTAGGCAAAGAGCTGAAAGGACAGGAAAGAAGAAAGGGTATAAAAATACCCTGGCTGCTGCATTCTCATCAGTACCATGATCTACATCTGAAGATGCCAGGTAGGAGGGGAGACTTTTGTGATACTATAAATATAGTTTATAGGCTTTGGTTTATCTTTATGACAGACCCAATAAATAATTTACTGGTCAGTAAAAGATCAAAGAAACTGCTAGAACTGCAGCCTGAAACATCAACACCTCTAATGTTTATATGTAAGCTACACCAACCCTGTAAATTTACAGCTTGATGGGATAAGTTTATGGTTGTGTGCCCTGGTCTCCAAAAGGTAGACATTTTAAGAAAACAAAAGAAAGAAAACACCGGGGCAAACAGACATAAGAACAGACATAATAAGAACAGCACTGTAACAGAGAGGGTGACTGACACCACAGGGGTTTGTAGTAGTAACTGTGGGAAGTTGTCATGAACTCAGTCCCACCCCACCCCTCATCTGCCACAGGGAACCCTTAGAAGGGATATGTATATTTGTAAAAGTCAACAAAATGTATGTGATTAACCTGAGAAGTCGCTGGAGAGAAATTCAAGGTCTGGTGAGTGAATGGCCCCCAAATTCAATCAGGGAAACAGAGGCATTTTCCCAGGAAGACTGGATGTGACCAAGATTAAGATTCTGGGATTCCCTGGGGAAAAGGCTGTGATGATCTGGCTTTATCCCAGAGCTCAGGCCACATGTTTATGTTCTGTCTTCCAACTCCCTGCAAAACAGCCCTTCTTTAGCCATCTTGGGGCCTTGGGATATGCACACCAGTGATAGATCTGGGAAAGAGGCCTTGGGAGTGGCCTTGGGGCTGTTCCAGCAGGGAATTCCAAGTGCCAGGTAGGAGGTAGGCCAGAGCGGGGCCTCTAAAGCACAACCCCAGAGCAAGGACCCTGTTACCTAGGTCTTCAAGTGGTAGCAGCCTAAAGAGCAGGTGTTTACTGGTGTTCATACAGCACTGGCAAATAGGGAGAGACACAGACTGACAGAGGAATTCTGCATTTGCAGCGGTGAAAAGGGAGTCATCAGTTCATGGGCACCTCACCTTGCACCTCAAAAAAGCAGCCCCTAATCTATGCTCACCTTTGGACTGTTCATTCACTTTCCTTATTGTTTTAAGGAAGTACTCCAGATAGCAGAGAGAAGACTTCTGTCCACTGAAAAAGAACAGCTTCTTTGTAAATTACTCCCCTGCAATTTTTCTTTCCTTTTGCAGGGGGTGGGGGGGATGCAGAGTTTCGCTATTGTCGCCCAGGCTGGAGTGCAATGGCGCGATCTCTGCTCACTGTAGCCTCCACCTCCCGGGTTCAAGCAATTCTCCTGCCTCAGCCTCCTGAGAAGCTGGGATTAGAGGCATGCACCACCATGCCCAGCTAATTTTTTTATTTTTAGTAGAAAGGGGGTTTCACCATGTTGGCCAGGCTGGTCTTGAGCTCCTGACCTCAGGTGATCCACCTGCCTTGGCCTCCCAAAGTGCTGGGATTACAGGTGTGAGGCACCACATCCAGCCTTCTCTGCAATTTTACATCAGTCTTTTGTGAGTCTGATTAGCATGAGTCAATCCCCTTGAGCCCAATCACCTGAGTACCCTCATCTCTCCCTCCTTATATTTTAACAGGGCCACTGTTATCATTTGGGGTGGGATGAGTGTTTGTTGTATGGCCTGTCTTATTCATTGTAGAATGTTAACACCCCTGGTCCCTATACATTGATTTTTGATAGCCAGTAACTGCCCTTCGTCACTGAGACCATCAAAATCTCACAGACTTCCAAGTACCATTGTTCCAGTGTGTAACGCCACCTTCCTAGTGGGGAGCCATTGCTCAATCATCTAGGGGAAAAAAACCTGCATATAGATATGAAAGATCAGGAGACACAGAGACTGGGAACACACAGACAGGACACATCCGACACACAGAAATGGGGAAAAGAAAATAAACCTCGGGACTAGCCAGGACAATTTATGATACATGTCACACACTCCTATAAGATTCAACCAGAACACTAGCATTTTGCTCTTTCTCTCCATGGGAGAGAGGGCTGAAGACTGCTGCCACTCGCCAGAAGGTGACCGGCCATTTTCTCAGCCCATTAAGGCTGCCCCAAGAATCCCTCTGGGATTTGGAAACCTGTTAAAATGAAACTGTCACCAGAGCTGTGTCTCTTTTACCCCTCCACCCTGGCCTTCTCCTACTTCCATAGCCATCCTATCCCTAATGGAAGCCAATGCTGATAGATTGATGGCAGCTTGCTTTGCTGTCTTCCTAAGTGGCTTCCCCCTGCAGGGGTGGGTGGCAGCTGCTGCTGTGGGGCCAGCATGATCGTCAGACTGTAAATGAGCTCACCAGCAGCTTCATTCGTTAGAGTGACTCCATCTAGTGCTTCCCACCCAGGCTGCAGCCTGTGCTAGGCTGACTCACAATGGAAGGTCTCTCTGTGCCTACACTTGCCCCTTCTCCTACTGTCAGGAGATGAGGAAAGCATTCTGGCCTTTCTCCTGCCCTCCCAGTGCTCAGCTTCAGGAGTGTCCTGTCGAAGAGGGTAGAGGCAGGAGCCCTCCCGGGCCCCAGGCAGGTCTCTTTCTTGCCACTGTAGAGAGGGGACAGAGGACCCGCAGAAGAAGACGGAATCTCTCTGCACCCTTTCCTTGTCAGCTTTCTCTTTCAGTGACACCAACCTTGCATGTCCCTGTGTCACAGCTCCGGTGCCTGCATCCCTGCACACACATCTGATCTAGGGCCCAAGCACCCAGAATCCCCCAAGGATGCTGAGTGGGGGGGCCCACGTGGAGTGTAGCATGTGACCAACAACCAAGCTACCTGGGTTCCTTCCCCCATTGCCCCTAAAACTAAGAAGGAGAGCCCTTTCCAGCCGGGACCTCGGGAACTCAGCTCTGCCTCCACAGTTTGTCTCTGTTCCCCTCCTCATCTCTAAAACAAATCAACTCTGGCTTTCCCTCCCTGCTATTCAGAGTGCAAGAAACTACTTCACTGCAGGCTCTGGAACCTTGGGGTATGAACCACACATAAGTATATAGCGCGGAGATGGATAATTAGTATCTTTACCATTTACAGAGCATCCACCCCACGTGCTCTATACCAAGTTCTTTAAATACATCATCTTAGTTGATCCTCATAGCAATCCTGTGAGTTAGGTGCTATTATTATTCCTTATTTTAAAAGCCGAGTCAACTGAGGCTCAGAGAGGTTAAAAAAATTTGCCAAGGGCCACATGTGTGCAATAGTCTACTCTATGGAGTGCAGTACATAGAGACTTAATAAATACTTGACAAATGAAACAGTGAATTAAATGCTCAACTTTGTCTTCAGTGATTCAACCTTCTAACCCCACCCTGCAGCCAAACCGGGCCAGCTTAGCTATTTGTTTATTCGATAAATACTTATTGAGCACTTACTCAATTTTGTTCACTGCTGTGAAGGGGTACAAAAAAGCAGCCATTGGAAAAGTTAATGGAAACATTCAACTCAAAAAGTTACCAACATTTAACATTAACTTGAATTAATTTCAAGGTTATCTGTTTCCACTTTCGGCAAAGTAAACGTTAGTTAAATGGTGCATAACTAGTTGAAGACTATAGAGTAATGTAGCAAAAAGAACAGTGGATTTGAAGTCAAGGGTCCTGGATTCCAAAACCTTACTAGTTCCCCTAGTAAATGAACGTGGGCAAGACATTGAATCTTGCAAGCTTCTGTCCACATCTCTACTCTGAGGCTGAGCATATTCCTACCTTCCCACCTTCACAGCATCATGGTTATAAGCACTCAGAGGGAATGCTCATGGCAGCAAGATTTATAAACCTTAAAGCTCCAGAAATGCATGAGATGGTATTCTTTTTTGAAGGTTGGAAATTAGTCAATTGAGTGAGTATTTAAATTTTTTTTGAAAGCAATAATGGGCAATTTGTTCATAAGCACATAAATTTACTTGAAGCTTACCCTCAAAACAATTCATTCTTTCCACATAATTTGCAGAATGACAATATAACAATGTTGCTAGACTACCATGGCAAGGATTTTTTAATTTGATGTTAGCAAAAAAGGAAACCATAATTAAATAAGGCAGGACAGTGATACTGGTTTTGTGCCAATAATCCAGCCATTGGGTTTGCATCTCATTTTCAATAGTGCTCACATTTGGTGGTGTTTTACAGAAACCAGGCACCTTTCTTTCAGTCCAACCACAGTACAAGCTCCCTGGGGACAAAGACTTATCTCCACTGTCTTGCTATTCTTAACACTTCCCACAGACAAGCACAGCACCTTGCTGAAAGAAAACAGTAAATGAGTGTTTATTGCATACACCTGAATAATAAAGGAAGCTTGAATTAGGATTGCATTCAACCAAAAGTGCCAAAATCTTCATGTTCAGGGTTGAGCTTTGGTTGAGCAATCATTCAGGGAAAAGAAGCAAAGAAACAAGGCTTATATCTTTGCGGGTGTGAGGGTTAATTTTATGTCAACTTAACTGGGCTAAGGGATGCCCAGAGAGCTAGTCAAACATTCCTTCTAGGTGTGTCTGTGAAGATGTTTCCAGAAGAAATTAGCCTTTAACTCAGGAGACTGAATACAGATCACCCTCACCAATGTGGGTGGGCCTCATGCAATCCATTGAGGGCCTGAATAGAACAAAAGGTGGAGGAAGGGTGAGTCTGCTTTCTGCTTTAGCTGGGACATTCATCTTCTCCTGCCCTGGAACATCAGTGCTCCTGGTTCTCTGGCCTTTGGACTCAGTCAGGGCCTTAAATACCATTGGTTCCCCTGGTCCTCTGGCCTTCAGGCTTGGACTAGAACTACTCCACTGGCTTTCTTGGTTCTCCAGCTTGCAGATGGCAGATCATGGGACTTCTTGGCCTCTATAATCCCTTATAATAAATCTCTTTCTCTATATATCCTATTGATTCTGTTTCTTCAGAGAACCCTGACTAATATGGGGTGGTGTAAGGCAGTTACAGCAGATGTACTGAGCCTGTTACATTTCCATTGGCAGTTGTAAGTCTAATAACAGATAATACTCATTGAGTGCTTCCCCCTTGTCTGGCACTGTTTACCTCATCTAATTCTCAGGCCAACTATGAAGTATAATACAGGACTATTATTAATCCTGCTTTACAGATGAGAAAACAAAGGCACAGCAAGATCAAGAATCTTGAACCCCCACCACCCCCACCATGCCAAAAAACATCCCACAAAACCCACAGCTAATAGTGGGCTGATTCAAATGAACCCCAAAGCCCCACATTCTTAATCACTGTGTATATTGCCTAGAGATGTAGCACGTAGCACAAATGTCTTCTTGCTTGCTACTCAAAATGAGATTGTTCTCCAACTTTCACAAAAGGTGAGGGCCAATAAAGAATGATGATTTAAAAAAAAAAAAAATCCAGGTAAGTCCACATTTGTCAGAGAATGATGAAGCTGAGCAGCATTTGGCTTTTGGCCAGAGTTGGTACGCTCGTCTTTCTAACTGTCTGTGACTGATCCAAGTTGCCCCAGTGCCGACTTAATTTTGCAGATGTACAAGTATACTAGAGACAAGGTAGGTGTCAGTGCTGCTAGGCAAACTGGCAAGAGATTTTCTGTGGTTGGGAGTTTCTGTTTCTTCCAGGCATGAACAAAGTGCAATGTGGGAGCTGAACACAGGAGAAATTACCTGGCTTGTTACCAAGAATTTTTAATAGCAGCATCCTTCAATTTCTCTCCTGCGGCTTAACCCAACCCCAGGAGGAGATGAATACCTGGCAAGCCATGAATCTTGCTCTGAAGGCCACTTTCTGTAGCCATAGGTTGAATGAGGACCCATGGCATTTGCAGTTCCTAACAGACCCGACCTCGTGGAGGACTTGGATCCTCAGGCTCTCAAACAAGAGTTTCAGAAAAAAGTATATCAATCCACACTGAAGATCTTGAATGAGTAAATGAATGAATGAGTGAATATCATTTATGAGCTCCAAGCAGCCTAGTTCTCAAAATGTTTCAAGTCTCTAACTTTTAAGCAAGTTCAAGGTACTTTTTAAATTGTTGAATTTAAATATTGACCATTATTTACTTAACCTTTTAGTTCATTAGTTATTGTTTAATTCTTACACCTACAGGTGTGAGCTTTAGGGTCTGAATAAAGGAGAACAAGCCTACTAGGAAAAATGAGACACAGACACAAATAATCTCAATTCAAGGCATCATGTGATAAGTGCCACATGTACAGAGTAATGACCTGAGGGAGAGTTTGCTTCTACATGGGCAATCAGAGAAGACTTCATGGAGGAGGTTACCTTGGAAAGGAACTTGAAGAATGAGCAGGAATCTACTAGGTAGATTTGGAGGGGAAAGGAAGGAAAGAGAAAAGATACAGCCCAAGACCCAAGACTGAGAATTGGGTTCATGGAATAAAAACTGGACCAGTTAAACTTAAGCATGAAGTTTATGTGGGGAGATTAGTGGGAGATAAGATTAGAAAAGTAAATTGGGACCAGGTTGTGCTGAGCTTTGAATGTCACGGTAAGGCTTATGGGGTTTATTCAGGATACAACGGGGAGACATTGAAGGTTACTGAGCAAGGAAGAGAAATGATCACATTAGTTTGTTCCTTGTCTCTGGTTTTTGAGAGCGTATGATCTTTTCTGGCAGATACTGCGCATAGCCAAGACTGAAGCCAAAACTACTCTCCCAGGCAGCCCCTAACCTGGCTGTGCTTCCCGCCTGCTCTTCATGCCCAGAAGGCTCTCCAACAGTCCCCTTTCTGGGCATGCGGCCTGGGTCAGCTTCCCTGAGCTGCTCTCTCTAACTCTTGCTTTATTGAACACACTCCATGGTTTGGAAACAAGGCTACTGATTCTGCTGCAGCAAAAATTCAATAACAGCAAACCTTTCTCTGTTCCCAGAAAATTAAGTTAATTGATGATTGCCTTAATTGTAAATTTTTCAACTATAAACTTACTTTTAACTATTGGCCTCTGCTATGGCTTGGCTCTAATAGAATCTAGTATGAGCTGCTATTTGATTTAGCACAAAATTATATTTTTAATTAACCTGGGCTTTGAAGTTGGGCCCATCTGGATAGAAATCCTTGGTCCGCCATTTACTAGCTCTGTGACCTTAGGCAAATCAATTGCCATTTCTGAGCCTCAATACGCTCATCTGCAAAATGTGGGCAATTATGCCCCTCCCACCGGGTGTTGTGAGAATTAAATGAGATTAAACACATGTGCAGTACCTAGCCAAGGGGCAGCCGGTTTGAAGTACTCAACAAGTATTACCTCTTCCTGTTTCCACTCCCACTCTTTTCCCTTCTCCCTCCCCTTGGACGTGAGGAATGTGCTTTATGCCAACGCTTGACTTAGCAGCATTTTGTGATGTTCTGCAAAGAGGGAGGCAGTGCTGGATGGTGGAAGCAGCATGTACTTCAGAGTAGGACAGACTTGGGTTCAAATTCTTGCAGCTCGCACTGGTGACATGACTTTGTACAAAGCATTTATCCTTTCCAAGCTTTAATCTCCTTCTGTGCAAGATAAAACTGTATTAGTTTGGTTCTCCAGAGAAACAGAGCCAATAGGATATCTACATATATACAGAGAGAAATATAAGAGGAGATTTATTATGAGAATTGGCTCACGATTGTGGAAGCTGAGAAGACCCACTATATGCTGTGTGCAAAGTGGAAAACCATGAAAAATGGTAGTGTAATTTAGTCCGAGTCTGAAGACCTGAGAACCAGGGGCACCAATGTCCAAGGGCAGGAGAAGATGGATGTCCCAGCTCAAGCAGAGACCGAGAGAACTCCCCATTCTTCCGCCTTCTGTTCTGTTCAGTCTCTCAAGGGATTAGACGATGCCCATCCACTTGAGTGAAGGTGATCTTCTTTACTCAGTCTACTGATTTGAATGCTAACCTCTTTCAGAAAAGCCCTCACAGACACACCCAGAAATCATGTTTACCAGCTATCTGGGCTTCCCTTAGCCCAGTCAAACTGACAAAGTCAACCATCATGAACAACAACCACGTGCAGTTACCGTGATGATTAAACGAGCTGGCACCTGCAATCCTTCTCAGCACATGCCTCTCACACAGTAGGAGCTTGACAAATATTAGCCTTAGAAGATTCCAGCAGCCAACGTGGCAAGTGTGAGCACCCCTGGGCCTCACTCCTTTCCCCCTCTTAAGCTCATTGCTCTTGGCTCCTCTTTGTTCTTTTGTTCTCAATATTTTCCAGCCTCCTTGCATTCTACTGGCCCCGGAGGAGGTTGTCTTGGGTAATCGTCTGGGTAATATTGTAATGGGTAATCATTTCATCACCCATGACAAACGGACCTGCCTTAGAATTGTGGCTCCATTACTCACAAGCCAAGTGACCTGAACCAGAGGGTTCACACTTCCTCCTTGGATGTGTGTGCAAATCAAGTGAGAAAATGCAGGGAAGAGCTGAGGGCAGAGTCTGCACACAGCAGCCCTCGGGAGGGTAAGTCACACTAACTATCCATGGTGTACTGTGTGTCTTTCCCCGACTCTGCACCCAGGTACTTCCGCTCTGCCCTCAGTCACTGCCTCCTGATCATCTTGGGCTCCTCTCCAAATTTATATTCACCGAGTCCACAGCAGTGTTGATCCTTGCATCTAGGATAACAACAAAAATAAGGGTCCTTTTAAGGCACAACTGGAAGGGGTCCTCATTTCCTGGGGGAAGCTGGATGGGTCAGAGCCAGGACAGAAGTCCAGGCCAGTGAGCCCCAGCACTCAAGGTGAAGCAGATGATCTCTTATCCTGTCTTTGTCCATTTTACTTAAAGCAAAGCTCATAGCCATCTCTCTCCCTTAATCAAAGCAATTGTTATTTCTGCTAACTCGCCCTGCGGACATTAATTAACTCTCTGCCAAGCATGGCCAGATACCACGGAAGTCAGTACCCCATGAGACAGGAGGGCTCTCAGAGCATCACACTCCCAACATATGCAACAGAAAGCAGTGGCCATTTGTCCACTGCTCCTGTGTCCCTGATGGCCCAGGCAAGCTGGGAACTTTGGCCCCTAAAAGGAAATTATCCTGCCTTCCTAAAAACCAGAGGAATGCCTTTGCTGCTGAAAGGATTTCAAGTATTAAAATCATGACTTCTGCTTGTATTTGCCTTGCCTGTTTACAACTCACTGACCCCTACATCACCTCACCTATTAGAGTTGGAAGGACCTTAGAAAAAAGTCATCTGGCTTCTTCATTTCACTGCAAGGAAATGAGGTTTGAAGAGGCTGTGAGACTTGTTCAGGGTCATCGGAACTGCATTTCGCTGAGCCAGAATGAGATTTCAGGCCCCAGGGTTTCTTCCATAATTCTCTGGGAGGTCTCAGCCTCTACTCTGGAAGCAAGCACTGGCATGGAGTGGACTCTGAGTTTATCCATTTCTCAATTAGCATTTATTGAGCACCTACTGCGTGCCAGATGCTGTTCTGGTAACTCATATATATATTGTTTCATGGGATGATCTTGCCCAGCTTTGGATCCCTACCAGCAGTGGCACACAGTAGGTGCTCAATAAATGTGGATTTTGTCTTCTTTGCCTTGGGAGCCATGTTGTGGGGTTGAAAGAGAGTGGGTTTTGGAGTCAGTCTGGGTTTGAATCTCATCCTTGTCAGCTTTTTGGCCTTTACCTTTCTAAGCCCCAGTTTCCATATCTCTAAAATGGAGACTACAACTAAGTTGGAGTACAGTTATAAGTTTCAAAGTTACTGTATGCAAAGAACCTGGTACTCATAGTAGGTGTCATTGGACCTGCTGTTATTGATATTGTTACCATCTTCAAGGAGCTGACAATCTCAGAAGCTGACACATACCTGAACAATCACAAAGCAAAGCAGACTGTGGTACAAATCACAGCAAAGACCAGGGGTGAGCTAGGGAGGTTCCAGGGATAATCTTATGCCTGGGGATGATGGAAGGCTTCCTGGAACAGGGGCCATGGAGTTGAACTGATTGATGTGGAAGGGAGCAGGGATGCAAACAGCAAGGCTACAGGTGAGGAGGCAAGAGGTGCAGCAAGTGCTCAGGTCCAGGAGGGAAGGAATCTAGGATTTTTGGAAAACTGAAAGTTCAGGGGAGTGGTGGAAGATACATTTTGAAAGATAAGCAGGAGGCCAGAAGCGGTGGCTCATGCCTATAATCCCAGCACTTTGGCAGGCCGAGGCAGGCGGATCACGAGGTCAGGAGTTCGAGACCAGCCTGACCAACATAGTGCAACCCCATCTCTACTAAAAATACAAAAATTAGCCAGGCGTGGTGGTGTGTGCCTGTAATCCCAGCTACTCGGGTGGCTGAGGTAGGAGAATCACTTGAACCCGGGAGGCAGAGGTTGCAGTGATCTGCGATCGCACCACTGCACTCCAGCCTGGGCGACAGAGCAAGATTCCATCTCAAAAAATAAATAAATAAATAAATGAAAGATAAGCAGGAGCCAAATTGTGGCAACAAAAGATTGGGGATCTAATTCTGCTGGGAGTGGGGAGTCATAGAAGCATCTTGAACAAAGTAATGATATGAAAAGAGCTAAGACTTCAAGTGAGAAAAGGAAGGCCCAGTGTAGGGAGGAAACTGGGGAGGGAAAGAAGAAACTGGATACAACACAAAAAGCAGAGGTAAAATAGGAGGACTCAGCCACAGACTGATGTAGCAAAGAGGGAGAGAGAGGTGAGGAGTGCAGGAAGTTGAGAGAATGGTGATGCCACTGATCTAAGAGGGAAAGTAACCAGTATTGATTAGAGACACAGAGAAAGAGAAAACAGAAGGGTATCTTGAAAGGAGGCCTGGGGATACCTGTCCATGCGGAGAGATGGGTGGAAAGAAAGACACTGAAGACACAGGAGAGAGAGGCTAACTGAGAGCAGGATCTTGGACAAGGCCAGAAGCCCCACTGGGGCCTTGGTCAGGACGTGGAATGGGGAGTAGAAACACAAAGACACAAAAGAACTTTACGTTGGAGAGAAGGAAGCTTGAATTTATTGATACTCTCATCCATTCCATCAACTTCCACGACAGCCCACCACCTGCCAGACAGTACACTAACCCTTGCCAGCTTGCACTGGACTGTCTACAAGTTAGAGACAAGGCTGCCTGCTAAGGGAAAGGGGTTGGGGGTTCTTAAGAATTTGTTTAAAATGCCAATTCCAGCTGGGCACAGTGGCTCACGCCTGTAATCCCAGCCAAGGCGGGTGGATCACTTGAGGTCAGGAGTTCAAGACCAGCCTGGTCAACATGGTGAAACTTCATCTCTATTAAAAATATGAAAATTCTCCAGACATGATGGCACATATCTGTAATCCCAGCTACTCAGGAGGTTGAGGCAGGAAAATCGCTTGAACCTGGGAGGCAGAGGTTGCAGTGAGCTGAGATTGCACCACTGCACTCTAGCCTGGGTGACAGAGAGAGACTCTATCTCAAAAAAATTAAAACAAAATAAAATGCCAATTTCTTTGTTCATCCTGCAAAGATACCAATTCACTATCACTCTCCAGGTGGTTCTTTGGGAAGTGTCTTAAAACCACAGTTCAAGAAATCAATTTAGAAACTTGCAAGAGTTTTGAGGTCACGGCTGAGGTCCCAGATTTGTAGAGGACCCAGGCTTCACACTTTATAGTCAGCCTAGGAGATGGGGAGGAGGCAGTAAGTGGGGCTCAACCACATCCATTACAAACACAACCCACATCCATTGGGATGAACAAGGAGGCAACGAGGGAAAATGAGGGGGAGTATTGCAGGAATGGCTAAGGGAGCATTGTGAATGGCCCAACTCTAGTCTCCATTAGGCTTTGCACATCCCCATTTCTGACTTCATCTTCCAACCTTGCCCAACCCCTAAAAATATTTCAAAGAATCCCAGGGAACTAGATTACCTAAGGCTTCTAAGTATCCTTCAGCTCTAGTATTTAATTACAATTACACTTAACACATATCCAACAATCAAACCTGTTCAAAGGAGGAAACAGTCCTAGTGATAATGCTTAATGTTTGTGGAGAACAGTACAGCTTTCAGAGCAATTCCATGCATGTTACCGTACATTACATCATGTCAGCATTCCTCAGTGAGTGACTCATAGCCCACCCATACCAACATCACCTGGGGGAATGGTAGAAATGGAGAATTGTGAGTCCCAACCCAGCCCTACTGTATCAAAACCATCTGGAGGACCAGGACCCTGGAAGCTGAACTTTTAACATGCTCTGTAGTGATTCTGAAGAAAACTACAACTTGGAAGCTGTGATATCTTTGTCCCCAGTTCCTGGCACACAGCTTCAAAAACTCTTGGAATTTCCTGATAGGAATGTATTTTGTTATTCATAACAAGCCCTTTTTGACCACAGTAAAGTGTATAAATGCTAATGGTGAGCCCTTAGAAAGTTTCAAGGGAGAGGCTGGCCATGCTAGAAAGACCAAGCGTGGGATTAGAGTTGGAACTTTCAGCCCCAGCCCCCAGCTCTAGGGAGGGGAGAAAGACTGGAGATTGAGTTCAATCACAAGGCCGTTGATTCAATCAATCATGCCCACATAATGAAACTCATATAAAGACTCTGGACACCAAAGCTCAGTGGATCTTTCTGGTTGGTGAATATATTAATGTGCTAGAAAGGCGATTTCACAAGGAAAGGGCATGGAAGGGTGAATATATTAATGTGCTAGAAAGGCTATTTCACAAGGAAAGGGCATGGAAGTTCTGTGCACCATCGCCCTACCTTGAGCATTTTGTTGTTCCTGACCTGTATCCTTTAAGGTAAAACTGTAATGGTGAGTACAGTACTTTTAGTGATTCCCGAGAGTTGTTCTAGAAAATTATTGAACCTGAAGGAGACTCATGCAGTCACCTGAATTTGTAGCCAAGTCAGACAGAAGTGCAGGTAGGCTAGTGACGGAGTGCAGGAGACACTACTCCAAAATATGGCATCTTGGCATACTGAGTATTTTAAGCTAAAAGAAACTGAGAAAACAGCAGAGGCAGGAAGTTTTCTCTATCTTTCTCCACCCCCTCTGTCCTGAAACAGATCATAGAAAATGAAATGCTCCTCACTTGTTCTTCCCTGAAGCAAGCCATAAAACCTGAGAAGGTCACTCTCTGACCTTCTCCCTCCCTCCTCCCCTGAAAACCCTCACATGACAGGCATCCTGGCTACACTCAGAGGAAAGAATGATCACACAGGGATGCCAAGAAGAATCTGAACAAACAGGCCTCACTAAGCTTCCCCTAGTTTATTACCATGAGAGCACACTCTTTTGTTCTCCAATCACACTTCCACATGACTGTCCGTAAAAATACAGTTTTCCCTGTGTCTTTGGACCTTCATTATTGAAGGCCATGCAAAAACTTGTATTGAATTATTTGCCTGCTCTTCTTTCTCATTAATCTGTCTTTTGTTACAGGATCTCAGCCATGAACCTTGCAATGAGTGAGGAAAAGATATTTCTTTTTTCTCCCCTGCACTGGGGACCCCATTTGCAAGTGATATCTGAAGTAAGGATGGTTTCGTTGGTGACCTGGCCCTTTAACTTGTGGGATCTGATGCTGACTCCCAGTAGTTAGTGTCAGACTCCAGTAGAATTGCAGGACACCCAGCTGTTGTCAGAGAATTATTGCCAGAACACAGAATTCATGGTCTTATATAAGCCAAACCACACTCTTGGAAGTTATGGACTAATATCCCCACATGACAGCTGGGGAGACTGAGAGACAGGGAGGACAAACGACTCACCCACAGACAGAGAGCCATTCTGGGGCAAAGCAGGATTATGCAGTCAGGTAATGCCTCCTCCCTCCAGGGCACAGCTGTCCACCATGGCCCAAGTTCATGGTAAAACCACATGGCTTGGAAACTGGAACCTGCCTTGGGGGGTCACTTAATTCAACCCATTAGTGCCAACTGCCAGGGAGGTAATGAAAAAGAGCTGAGGCCCTCAGACCTCTGCAAGTTTAAATTATACCTTTCTGACTGTGTGTGTCTTATATAATCCTCAAAGATTTTTAATTGTGACAGCCTAAGGAAATTACAGGTGACTTGAAGCAATTTAATGATAATAAAAATAAAATAAAAACAGTAAACAGCACTGCTGTTCCCTCTAATTTCCCAGCATCTTTATCATATAAATGCCTCCCATTCTTTTCCCCACAGACAATTAATGAATCTGCAATTGCCGCTGGATGCGGTGCTCACCTCTCCTTAATTCTCTTTCTGTTGCAGCTCCACTTCGGGAGGAAGTCCCTCCCAGCTGCACTTTCAGGGTTCTCACAGGTTAGCCAGACTGCAGAAGCTGCCCCCAAGAAGCACTGGGGCCTCCCCTCCTCCACAGACTGGACTTTCCTCTCTTGCTTCTCACCCAAAGGGCCCAGAGCTGGCTTCTCCAGCCAAGTTTCTCCAGGAGCCCTGCTGATTTGAGCAGCCACAAATTGACCTTCTCTCAGGGTGTCTCCTTGCCTTCCTCCTGGTGTTAATATGCACCTTAAAGAGCTGCAAACTCAACAAGTCTCTGTTATGCAGGTTAATTCAGAGCACAGCCAAGCTGTGATCAAATGACCTTTACCCACTTCCCTGCTAATTTTGATGGGCAGCTCCATTTTCCTTCTCCCTCCTGATCCCCCCTTGCTCTAAATTGGAAATCTATCAATTTTGAGGTAAATGGAAAATAAAGATACACAGGCACACACAACATACACATACACACACACACACACACACACACACACGCATACACACTAACACTAAACATCTAGTTGTTGAGACTTGGACCAGATTGAGCCTTTTAAAAACAAAAATCCTAAACTCCTAAATCTCAAAAGAAGGCTGTAGTTGGATCCTGAGTTGATGTCAAAATAAAATAAAGATTCCAAAAGAGAATCTCTTCCCCTCAATTTTATTTCTTGCTTCATTAGTGGGATATTATAATAATAATAAATAAGGAGAATAATAATAAAAACTAACATTTATCAAGTGCTTACCAGTCACCACTCAAGGATTAATTTACTTAATTTTCCTGACACTTTTATGACATAAGAATTATCCCTATTTTATGGAAGAAGAAACTAAGGCTTCAGGAAATTATGGAAATGCTTAAGGACTCACATAGTGGCAGGGTGAACAGCTGAACCTGGATGGTCTGATTCCAAAGCCAGGTCTTGCTTTGTTACAATTAGGTTGGTGCAAAAGTAATTGTGGTTTTTTGCCATTGCTTTTAATGCAAAACCGTAATTGCTTTTGCACCAACCTAATAGCAATGTCACCCGCTAGGAATCATCATATCAAACCTTAGTGTTCTCATCTACAAAATGAGGATAAGATCTCCCTCACCAGGCTCCTGGGAGGATAAACTAAATGGAGATGATACTTCAAATGCTGCTAATTGCTGTCAGTTCATCATTATTATAATTATTATTATTAATTCAATTAATCAATTACTTATTCAAATATTTCCTATCACCTACTATGTGATCTAGGCTTTGATCTATGCCTGGGGATACAAACGTGGTCAAAATAGATAAATACCCCTGTCCCCAAGGAGCAGACGTTCAAGTTGGGGACACAGACAAGAAATAAGGAAAATATATAGCATGTCAGATGAAGCTTAGTGCTAGAAAGGAAATAAAGTGAGAGAACCGAAGATGGAAGGGTTGCAATTTTACATTTGTTGGTCAAGGAAGACCTCACAGAGAAGATAATACTTGGACAAAAGTCTAAGGAAGTGAGGAAGCAAACCAAATACTTATCCAGGGAAAGGGCATTTTAAGCAAGTGCAAAGGCCCTGAGGCTGAACCAGCAAGGAGGCAGAGTGGATGGAACAGAGGGAGGGAATAGGGAGTGGGAGAGATGAGTCCAGAGAAGTAAAGATGTGCGTGAACCATGTAACACATTGCAGGCCACTGGTCTGTAATCTACACACCACGGCAGGGGGCGGGGGAGGGGAGCGGGCGGGGCATGGAAGGATTTTGAGCAGAGCGGAGACACTGTCTAACATTTATAAAGGGTCACTCTGACTGCTATAAGGGGTAAGAGCAGAAGCAGGGAGACCAGATAGGAGGCTGTTGCCATTCATCCAGATGATGAAAGACAGCAGTTTGGACCAGGGAGGTAGCTGTGGAGGTGATGAGATCTGTTTGGATTCTGAATACATTTTGAAGGCAGAACCAAGAGGATTGCTGATGGATTGGATATTTAGGTATAAGAAAAGGAGGAGTCACTGATGACTCCAAGGTTTTTGACCTGAGCAGGTGGAAGATTGGAGTTGCCATTTACCAAAATGAGGTCAAGTGGGAGGAGCAGTGTTATGCTTTGAATTTTGGCCCCCCAGAAAGATACATTGAAGTCTTACCCCCCAGTACTTCAGAATGTGATCTTATTTGGAAATTGGGTCTTTGCAGATGTAGACAAGTTAAAATTAGGTCATTAGGGTAGACCCTAATCCAATATGACCGGTATCCTTCTAAAAATGGAAAGTTTGGACACAGAGACCCACAGACAGGGACAGCACCAGGTAAGGACGGGTGTGATGCTGCCACCAGTCCAAGAACTATCAGGAGCTGGGAGAAGCCTGGAATGGGTGCTTCCCTAGCACCTTCAGAGGGAGCACAGCCCTGCTGACACCTTGATCTTTTAGCTTCCAGAACTGTAAGACAGTAAGTTTCTGTTTTTTCAAGCTGCTCAATTTGTAACACTGTTGCAGCAGCCCTAGTAAACTAGCAGGTTTGGAGGACAGATCGGCACTTCATTTTTAGGCATCCAAGTAGAAATGTGAAATAACAACTGAGTATGAGTCTGGAGTTCAGGGCTGGAGACACACATTTGAGTGTCATCTTATCTGCTATGAACTTATGACCATGGAATTGGATGAGATCACTTAGAAAAGATGTCCAAGGATTAGGCTCAGGGGCATTCCACCATTAAGAGAACAGGGAGTTAAAAGCAGTTGGTGAGGAAAGAAGGAAACTAGGAGAGGTCAAGTTCTGCAAGGTGAGTGAGGAAAATGTTTTGAGAAGTAAACAGTCATCAGCTCTGTCCAATGTCAACCATGAGTCAAGTTGGATGAAGACAAAAAATTCACCACTAGATTAAGCAATTTGGAGCTCTTGGCAATGGCAGTTTCAGAGGTGGGAGGGAAGTGTAATTAGAATGGGTTGAAGACAGAATGGGAGGAGAGGAATTGGAGGCACAAATGTGGACGACTCTTTTGACGAGTTTTGCTAAAGGGAGATGTGGGGTCGAGAGAACTTTTTTAAAGGTAGGGGAAATAACAGTATGTTTGATGCTGAGAGAAATGATGCAGCAGAGAGGGGGAAACTGATGATACAGGAGAGAGCAGGGAGAATGGCAGAGGGATGCCCTTGGAAATCTGGCAGGGGTGGGATCAGGTACACTCATGGAGGGGCCAACCTTGCCCAGAAGCATGAGTAGTTTACCCTTGGTGACAAGAGAGAGGCCAGAAAACAGGCACCGATGCATGGGAGGGAGGGGGTAGATGTTGTGGTGGTGACACAGGAGGTGAAGTCACTGAGAGTGAGGAGAGGGAGGAGGCATTGAAGCTTTGGGGAGGGCAAAAGGAATGAAACAGCCATGGAGAAAAAAGGGAGAGTGAAAGGAGTGGGAAAGTATGGGAGGGTGGATGTAGCACACAGAGCCTGCCTGAGCTGAAGTGAAAGCAGACAGATTAGGATGTACTTTTCCCCAGCCATTCAGCTGCACAAATGTAAGCTCCAAGTCAACAGACAGTCGGGCTTTATCAGAATTGGGGTTTTGTTCCATGAATATAAAGACATGAGGAGCAAAGGAACTGAGGGGTATGCAAAAGAGTGGTTACAACGATGGACTTTAAGCTGGATAAGGATAAAAGGTGGGACTGGAGAAGGGCGGAAAGCACCAAAGGGTATTTGGATGGAAGGATTGTACGTGTCAATGGGGGAAGGATTGTTAGAGTCAGGGTACCAGAGCTTGTGAGCCAGAAGGATAAAAGTAGGGGTCAGAGAGTGGGCCCCTTAATATGCATCTCTTGGAAGAGGGAAGTTACTGACAATGACAAGGTCCAGGGTATGACCATGAGGTGAGTGGCTGGGGCAGGATGGAGAACAGGCACATTGGAGAAGAAGGTCAAAGAACTGAGACGTCAGGGTCCTGGCAGCATCATCGATACTGAAATCACCAAGAAATATGAGAGAGGTCAGAGCAAAGAGACAGTAAGCCAGGGGCTAAAATCTTGAAAGAATCAGAAGTCACCAGGGGTCATTAGGTAACTACATCACCTGATGACATAAGTTCCACTGCTGGGGGAGCATAGCAGGGTGGGTGGGGCAGTGGCATTCTTTCCAGGAGCACCAGGAGTTCTGGGATCCCCAATCACTTCTGCCAAAGCTGATGTGGAGGGGCTTGTAGTTATATTATAAATATTATTATTATTATTACTACTACTGCAGTATCAGCCAACCTCCTTAACTATAAATAACCCAATCTACTAGTTCTTGTGAAAACACCCTATTTATTAAAGGATATAGGTAGCTCCCAGCAACTCAGAGGCTACGTCCAAAGCCACACAGTCAGGACTCATGCCCAATCTCACTGGGGGTGCTCTTCCGGGAATTCGCCCCCCTCCATTTGCCTGCTATGATGCTCAGGACTTGATGTCAGAAGCCACAACTGTCTTCAAAGAACCAAACTCCTCTACCACTGCGCTGCCCAGAAAAATGATCCCCCTCTGCCTGAAGCTCCGCATACTGTCCACCCTCTAAACAAGTCTCTACAGATAAGCCTAATTGGCCAAACGTCAGTCACAAGCCAGCCGCAGCTGCAAGGGAGCTGAGATGCAAGTCTTCTGGCCCCTACCTTAGGAAGATTATCAAAATCTGTACGAATTACCCAGCCTAAGAAGGATGTTCAAAGATATTGGCAAAGCACAAATGTCAAATATTTATTGCATGATAATAATAAAGAATTTTTATTGTTATTATGTCTGATCTTTGCAAGAAAGAGATGGGGAGACCTCTGTGTAGCCACTTCAGCAGCAGAATCTCAGAGGAGGTTACTAACCTTCCAGCAGCAGTTGAGAACACTATTTCTATTGATCAGCGCCAAGGTCTCAATAAGCCACGTGCATGTTCTCAGATGGGCCTGAGCCTTCCCAGATAAGATCAGACTTGTTTAGAGCTCACTGCACAGCAAAGCACACTCTTGAATCTGGAAAGACAAGATGATAAAGGCTCCTATTTACTCAGCAGCTCCCATGTGCCAGCCACTGTAATCTTCTCTCGGCATGCATGATCTCATTTAATCCTCAAGGCAACCCTGTGAGGAAGGTAGTAGGATTACCATATTACATTTAAGGAGACAGAAGCTTAAAGAAAATATTAGTAACTTGCTTGTGACCCCCATCCCCCCACCCCTAGCTGCAAGGTCACCATGTGCCTATGTGCAAGCCGTGCACTGCACAACTCCACAGTGCGTAACTGTACTCAATGTGAATGGCACCACCTGGAGTTGTGCCGTGCACAACCTGTGTGCTTAAATAGATCATCTCTGCCTGCCTGATTCCAAAGTCCATTTTCCTCACAACCATATTACCAAGTCCAGTAATCAAAGTCTTTTAAGTAAGTGCTCCTTAAGGTCAGGGAAGATTTCTTCTTTGTATCCACAGAGAGTAGCACAACGCCTGGCACATAGCAGGTGCACAATAAATGGCTGCAAGATTAAAGGCTATCAAAGCTGAACATGAATGTGCTCATCAACTCCTGAATCACTGGATCTACAGAGGCACCACTTGAAGCCTGAAATAGGTAGTTTAAAACAAATGAAAGGAAGAACTACTGCTTTGCACAGCTGGTTGTCAGCTTATAAAACTCATTAACCCAAGAGGTGGTATAGGCAGCAAATACTAATGGACTCCAGGTGTGTCTAGGAAAGTTCAAGGCTTCTACAACCATAATGTACTATTAAGGAGAGTAGCCAAGAAGGGGACTAACATTGTTTGAGCATCCACTATGTTCCAGGCATTGGGCTAGATGGAACACATTATTACTCTCTCCAAGTCTGTTTCCATCTATATAAAACAGATCTAATATTACCTACCCATTGGGGGTTTAGTGATCATTAAGTCAAATCATGTATGTAAAGCACTTAGCACAAGTCTAGCACGGTGTTAATGCTCAACAAATGTTAACTATTATTGCTAGAAGTAATCATCATATTATTATTATTAACAAATAAAATTGTGTTTACATTTCACTAGTAGGAAACTATTGCACAAAATCTGCGTCTCATACTAGGAAACCAGGTTCAATTTTCCCTTCATATGGACACTTCACTGATCAAGACTAAAAAACTAAGCTTCAGCTTTAGGGATTGCACATAAATAGAAAAATAATTTCATCATGTTTCTTCCTTGTGATTTTCTACCAGGGTCATCTTTTGCTAAAGGAGCAATATACTGATAATTCCAGTTTCATGCCTACCACCTCCTCTAATTTCTACCAGGTGCTTTCAGAAGACAGACACTTTGCCAGGCACTAAAAAATACATATTCAGATGAGACTTTTGCCTTCCTGTGTAGAGATTTTTGTGCAGTTTGTGGATATTGTGGTACATGGACAAAATGAAAATAGATTAATATTACTAGAAGCCAGAACTTGGAGAAAATCATCTCTAATTTCCAGCTTAGTCATGCTTAGAACCAACCTTCTTTCCTAAAAACCTGAGCATAGGCCCTTAGAGGCCTATCATCCTGTACTGTGAGTTTCTTGAAGGCGATGATCACTCAGTTATGTATCATTTCTTCTCTGGATCCATAGACCTCATCATAGTGTATGGTACAAGGTAGATTGTGCTACAGAGAGAGGGGGACAGAGGCAGAGACAGAAAAGATGATGGATGGACAGTGGAAAGATGTATAGATGGATGGATGAAGGAAACATGAATAGAAGATGGGTGGATGGATGAACAGTGGGAAGATGGATGGATGGATGGATGGATGGATGGATAAAATAACATAGTATAATTAACATTAGCATAGGCTCTAAAGTGATATTAGGTTCCAAAACCAGCTCTGCCATTATTCAGCTATGTGGCCTTGAAAACGTTGCTTAATCCCTCCGGGCCTTAGTCCCCTTATCTGTAATATGAGGATGATCATAGTTCCTACCTTGTAAATTTGTTGCAAGTTTTTTTTAATTAGGTGAATACGTGTAAAGCACACAATACACATGCACTTATCCATCAGCAAATGTTTATCAATTCTACTATGTGCCAGACACTGATCTAAGCACTGGGATTACAATGTTAAAATAGGCAAAAATCACTGCCTTCATAGAGTTTACATTTTAATAGGGAAAACAGTTTAAACACAATAAATTAGACAATTATACTTACATTCTAAGTAGAAGGTGAGTGTTTTAAGGGGAAAATGAAACAGAGTAAGGGGTGGGGAAAGAGTTTACAATTTAAATCAAAGTAGGGTGATCCTCACAGAGACTAGGACATTTGAAAAACAACTCTAAGGAGTGAGGAAGGGAGCCATGGGGCTATCTGGAGGGAGAGCATTCCAGGCAGTGGAAACAGCTAGTGCAAAAGCTCTGAGGCAGAAGGGGCTGCTATATTTGCATTGCAGACAAGGCTGGTGTGGCTGGAGCAGTGGGAAAGAGCAGCAGAAGGTGAGTTCTGAGCGGGGATAGGAGGTCAGGTCCCATAGGGCACTAGAGGCCACTGGAAAGCTCTGGCTTTTTTTTTTTTCTGAATGAAATGAGAATCCCTTTGTAGAGTGCTGAGCTTCAGAGGGAGATGGTCTGACTCACCCTTTAACAAGGTTATTTGTGGCTATTGTACAAAGGGCCAGACACCTAATTTGAACACAATGGCAGCTGTTATGAATGCTTAGCAGAAACCGTTACCTTCTTGGGGGTCTTAGCAAAGCTGCTTGGCTTTCTAATTCCTTACGCCATCTGCTTTCATAGACTTAGCAAAGGGCTCTGCAGAGTTGAATAGAAGGAGGAAGTTGGCACTTCCAAGTAGAAGTTGGCACTGCAACTCTTCATGGATGGGTCACTGTCAAGCTGCTCCCTGGAGTGTAGGAGAATGGGCATGCTGTGAACAGGGGTTGTGCCACACAAGGGAGAGACTTTGAAATTGCTCCTAAGGGATGCTTCCGCCATAGCTGTTAGGCAGCCTCTCCTGAGCCAGAGGGATGAGCGCATCCTCCCAAGGTTGTTGGTGACAGCACTCACAAGGGTCTTTATACCACCCTGACATCTCCTCCTCCTCCTTTTCCTTCTTCATCAACATCATGTTTATCACGTCTATGTCGTTATCTTTGTCAATATTATCACCACTATTATCACTATGTATTTATCGCTGTGGCAAGCACTTCACATGCATTCACTAACTTGCGCTCCACAATAGCTATGTGAGACCAGTACTATCAGCCCCGCTTCATCCAGGAAGAAACTGAGGCCTGAAAAGGTGAGTTAGCTTGCCCAGGGTCTCACAGCTGGTATGTGGCAGAGCAGGACTCTGAACACAGGCCATCTGGGTCCACGGCTGTTATGCTACCTGCCTACAACTGGAGCCTGTTGTTCTTTTTCACTCGGCCTACCTGAAAAGGTTGCCAGTAAGCCCCTCGGGACACAGAACAGGAGGAATAGTAAGGCAGGGTGGAAAGGACAAACAGCCGAGTGAAAGGCAGACCTGGCATCTCACTCCAGCGAGCTTGACTACGAGGCAAAACTGGGTACGGATATCCATGCAGGTGTGAGCATGTGCAGATAGATGCATTTTTAAAAGGTAGATTTGGGTGTGGTTGTCAATATGGATCTGGCAGTAGACAAGGCTTACATGATGCTGGGAGGAGGACAGTGTTTGTGGTTTAGGGCACCAGCTCCAGGAGCAGATCCTAGCTCTGCCCTTCACCAACTGGGGGACCCTGGAGACCTTCATCTCTTTATGCTTCCATTTTCTCATCTATAAAATGAAAGTAATTACAGTACCTACCTCAAAGGCTTAAGAGAATTAAATGTGCTCAGGCACAATGTAATTGGAAAACCAACAAACAAATTATAAATTATAAAACAAGTAAAACCAGTATCTGATACTCACACCAGACATGGCCATGGACTGGCCAGACTTTTAAAGGGAATTTGAGCTACAGATCAAACAGAAGGGACACCTTGGAAGCCTGGTACTGACCTTTGGAATTAAGAGTCATGAGACTAGGGGCATGTCTCAGGAGTGTCCACATCAGGGAAGGTTCCTGCAAACACCTGTTAGAGGTAGGCTCAGGCTTCTGCCCCACAGGAGCTCCCCGAGGCAAAGGAAAGGCTCCCAGTTATACTGCAACTTCCCGGAGCTGCCTCACTGTCCGCAGCTAGCCTGTCTAGCCAATGTTCATCCAGTGTGGCCGGGTCTGCCTTGGTGCCAGGTGGCTACAAAGCATCTTCTGGTCATGAGCTCTCATTTCCCTCACTCTGAGCATGGAGGAATAAGGTAAACAAAGCAGCCTCTTAGGGTCACCCCACCGTCTAGAGGAGAGCAACTGATCTCTGAGAGCAAGGGCTGTGTCTGCGGTGTTCCCCACTGGTTCCCCGGCACATAGCACAGTGCCTGACACAGAGCAGACATGCAATCTCTGTGGAAGAAAGGAATAAAGAAATGATGGAAGGGCTCCCTCTTATTCTCTCAATCTCTCTGTCTCTCTCTCCCCGCCTTTTTCTAAAAAAAAAAAAAGAAGGAATGGAAGGAAGGATGAACATGTTGAGCTTTTTAATAAATAATACCTTTGGTTTTTCACCTGACCAAACAAATTTGCCCACCCTGTGGGAAGTGGCACTGATTTTTCTGGTCAGGAAAGGAATATGAGGTATGCCTGGGGGATGGATATAGTCATAAGGGCCTCCACCAGGAGGACGGCACCTTTCCATCACAAACACCATCCCAGCCCCTCCTTCGGGCAGATCCTGCCTCCTCAGGAGCTTCTCTAGAAGCCCTACCCCTGTCAGGTATAAATAAAACAAACCATGTTACTGCATGTGACTCCATCTGTTAATTAACAAATAAATCAGCCCCGTCTCACCAATTAAGAAAAGATACCTGGGACTGCAAAATGTGACTTATTCCTCTCGGTGATAATGAAAGGTATTTGTCACAGGCCTTAAGGTGATGGGGGCTGCCCACCTCTCTTCCAGCCCCTGCCCTGTTCACACAGCCTTAATTCTCTCCCTAGGACCTGACAGAAGGCCCCAGACAGCAGCCATGCCGGGGCCTCACCTGCCACAGCTATCTCTGTATGAGGCAGTGACCAAGACTGAAGCAGTTGGTCCAAACCGCTAAGGGCTACATTCCTCCAGCCCTCCACCTCTCAGGGGAGGACAGAAGCTGAGTCTAAGGACCAAGAGTTACAGTGGTATTTCTTACACAGAGGTCTGAGAACCATCTGCTCAGAATCACCGGAAGCTTGTGAACATGCAGATCCTCATGCCCTACACAATCCCCTTGGATCTGGATCTCTGGGAGTGGGACCAGAATGTTGCAATTGTAACCTGCTCCCTGGGAGATTCTTACAGTTTGACAATCACTGATGAAAAACCTGTCTTTTCCTCTGCTTGGGAATTTAGATTTTCTTTTCTTTTCTCTGTTTTTGTTTTTTACATTGGCAAAAAAAAAAAAAAAAAAAAAAAAAGATCGGGGCAGTGCCTGGCAAATGGCACTGGGTCATAGAAGGTCTATGATGGAAAGGACCCTAGGTCAACCCTCATTGTTCAGGTAAGGAGACAAGGCCCATATTTCAGGTTAACTTCCTCCCCCTCTAAAAGATATGTTAAAGTGCAAACCTCCAGCATCTCAGAATGGGACCCTATTTGATTACAGGGTCATCAAATTAAAATGAGATTATTAGGATGGGCCTTCATCCAATACGATAGGTGTCCTTACAAAAAGGGAAAATTTGGACACAGAGACAGACATGCACAGAGGGAAGACAATGTGAAGAGACACATGGCGAATGCCACGGGCAGATTGGAGTGATGCTGTCACAAGCCAAGGAATGTGGGGACTACCAGAAGAAGCAAGGAAGAACCCTCCCCTACAGGTTTCAGAGAACATGGCCCTCCCAAACACCTTGATTGCAGACATCTAGCCTCCAGAACCATGAAACAATACATCTCTGTTGTTCTAAGCCACCCAATTTGTGGTACTTTTTTACTGCAGCCCTAGCCAACTAATGCAGCCATAAAGAAACATGGCTTGGTCAAGGCCATATAGCTAGACAGAGGCCAAGGCAGGGCGCTTAGACAAGTTCCTGACTCTCTTGGGGTTCCATTCTATCAGCCACACTGTTTTACAGTCTAAGTCTCCCCTTCCATCTCTACAAGGAATGACACCAATCCCTTTAGAAAGGCAGAGGACATGGCCATCTCCAAAGCATTCCTCCACGTGCACAAACAAGAGAGTGCCTGCTAGAGTGGTATAGTCCTGCAGTGTCCAACCCACAGACTCCAGAATCCATCAGACAGCAAAGACCATCAGGCCAGGCAAACGACCACAGTGCAGCAGCCAAAGGGCTAAATGTGGGTGCTGTTTGCAGCTGCCATGTACTCTTTGCTTCTAACCCTGTTGAAGTCCAAACTGGCAGTCAACAAACACACCAGGGACCTTTTATGAGGCTGCTTCAGAAAGGCAACATGGGGCAGGCTTCTCAGGCTGCCCAAGGAAGACTGCATTTGTGGGGGAAAGTGGGAGTTATTCCAGAATCCAGAAAGCTTCCCTTTCACCTTGTAGCATCAGTGAAGCCAGCTCCAAGGAGACAATGACAAGAACCACTAGAGACCCCACCCACTAGACAGCAACCTGTTAGTGTAAACCATCCTCATCCCCACTCACAGTTCCTTCCCTCCGAGGCCAGCCTCTGGCAAAGTCCAAAGCCTCTGACACCCACGGTATTTACCTCCACCCTTACACAGGAGGCGGGTTACGCCACAGTCATTGTAAATTGCTTCACAAGCTTCTAATCCATAAGGCCTGGATTGGGTGGGAAGAAAAGTCTACTACCAGGATGGAGAATTCCATGTGGCTGAGGAATTCTGCATAAAACAGCAAAGCAACACTCTTTAGAGCTCTTGTCCCTAGGTTTTGTTGTGGCTGATGGGAGGCAGATGCAGGATTTCTTAGTTCTCTAGGGAGATACCAGCTGGCAAAGGCTAGAGGTCCCTTAGGATCCTCTTCAACTCCAGCACCCTGGGAGCAAGAGAGGCTGATGTCCAGAAGGAGGAGGCCTCTGTAAGCAGCCATACGTCAGCAGGAGCTCCCATGAGTTGCCATTACTGCCTCAAAGGGCCCGCCATGTGGAACCTTGTCATCCCCTTGAGTAACATATGCATAGGAAAGTCATTTGTGATGAGAAAGGAGAGAGGGAGAAGAGGGAGAGGATGCAATCAAATTAATTCTAATGGCATTGATAAGGAGATGTGGAAGCACAGCCAATGACTCCATTAAAATAATGACTTTGGGTCCCTTCTGTCATCACCTAAGGTCTTCTCCCCCTCCCTTGCCCACTATATCTCCAGAGTGCTGGCAATGACCACTGTGTTGGGAGACAGGAAGGATAGCAGGGATAGAGACTGACACCACAGAGGGGGAGGCCATCTTTCCACCCACCAGATCTTAATTATCAGTGGTCAGCCCCCTTGGTTGGCAGCTGCAGGGAGGAAAATGAATCACATCATGATTATGGGAGAAGGAGACATGGATAGAGGAGGCAGGCCCAGAGAGCTTCTACCATGCCCCTCTCCCAGCCAGAGGCCCAGTGGCACCCCAGGGTGAACACAGGGCCCCCAAGCTCTATCCACATGGACCATCATGCCAGTGGTGTGCCCTGGAGATGTGCAGAGTGGCGGCCCTGGTAGACACCCACACATGTGTGGGTGGCTTCATAGGATGGCATAGGATGACAAGAAAGACATCCAGTGGAATTTACCCAGATGCCCCAGGACTACACCTGCATTTCCTTTGTTTGTTATTTTTAAATTTGTTATTTTATTATGGTGAAATTCACATAATATAAAATTAATCATTTCAAATTAAAAATTTAGTGACATTTAGTATACTCACAATGTTGTACAATGACCACCTCTGTCTACTTTCAAAGCACTTTTATCACCCCAAAAGGAAAACCCCATACCCATTAAGCAGTTACCCCATTTCTCCCACCTCCCAGCCCCTGAAAAACACCAATCCACTGTCTCTGTGGATTTCTCAATTCCGGACATTTAATCTAAATGGAATCATACAATATGCAAACTCTGTGTTTGGCTTCTTTCACTTAACATAATATTTCCAAGGTTCATTCACATTGTAGCATGCTCTCATTTCCTTTTCCTTTTTATGGCTGAGTAAATATTTCATTGTATGTATAGACCACAATTTGTTTATCCATGTCTCTCTTGATGGGCATTTGGGTTTAATCTATGCTCTGAATGGACCCAAAGCTCTCACATTCAGCTTCCCCGTGAATTAATATACCAGGTCTTGCTTCCCAGCTCTGATTCTGCCTCCCAGGTTGGACACAGCCTATCTCTCATGCATACCCTACTCTAGCCCAGCTTCCCCAGCCACATCTTTGTTCAGCCTAAGTAATGCCAAATTCAATACCCCCTCTCCAAGGAGAGCTCCCTCCCCACCAGGGTGTTCAGACTGTCTTCAGGTGAGAAAGGTAAAGATGCTTTAACCAGAGTTCTCATTCTCACCCTCAGGAAGGAGGAGATGATGTCAGCAGATCTTCTGTTTCAAATTTGGTCTCGAGTTCGCAATCCCAAACTCAATCCAGAAGAATTTGGGGCCAGGTGTGGTGGCTCATGCCTGCAATCCCAGCACTTTGGGAGGCTGAGGTGGGAGGATCACTTGAGGCCAGGACTTTAAGACTAGCCTGAGCAACATAGAGAGACCCCGTCTCTACAAAAATAAATAAATAAATAAAATATTAGCCAGGTGTGGTGGCACACGCCTGTAGTCTCAATTACTCAGGAAGCTGATGCAGGAGAATCTCTTGAGCCCAGGAGTCCAAGGCCGCAGTGAGCTATGATTGTGCCACTTTACTTCAGCCTGAGTGACAGAGTAAGACCCTGTCTCAAAACAAAACAAAACAAAAGAACAAGAACAAGAAGAAAAACTTAGACAAAGTTATTAATTTTAAACTACAGTATTTGCACATGTGTTCTGATCCTCTCAACCCCAGGGGACGGCTATCTGCTAAGCTGAGCCTGGCACAGAAGGTAGTGCCATGGGCCAGGATTCAATTTCATTGAATGCATCCTCAGTAGATACATGTTCCACGCCAGGCACCATGACATACCCAGGGAGGTACAAAAATCAGTAAGGCATGGCCAAAAGAGCTCATGCTCTGAAGGAGACACATATATGCAGGAATAGCAGTGAGACAGCAATGACAGACTCGGAGCCATAAACGGGTCTGGGAACCCCAGGGAGACAAGCTGTCTGCTGGCAGAGCTGGGGAGGGATGGCTTCTCAGAAGATGTAACTTTAGAGGTTGAAGAAGGGCGAGTAAAATGTGACCGGATGAAGGGCTTCCTGCCGGGACTGCAAGAGCAAAAGCACAGAGTAGGGTGTGGTTGGCCCTGGGGCCACTCTCCTGCTGCTGTGGCCATGATAATGATGCCCAGGAGGGGGAACGGAAGGCGGGGCTGGAAGGTACCAGGTGGTAGAGGGCTTGGGGCATCAGGTTAAGGCATTTGTCTTAAAGTCTCTACAGGTTTGTGACCTGAGGAGGAGGAGGGATCATAGTGACCCGAGGAGGAAGAATTAGGGACCTTAGAACCTGAGGAACCTAACAAGCAGCGCCAGCTGAACTTCTGCAAAAGGCTGACTTGAGGGCAGCAATCTTGTAGAAAGGGGGTGAGCAGGCTTTGAAGGCATTCGCACGGTCATTTCTGCATGAGTGAGAAGACACAGGGGAGCTGCTGGAGGCTGGGAGCCTGGACCTCCTAACACCGTCCCCACCTCAGCACCGTGCTGGTGTGAATGTGGGCACTGGGCACAGGGCTCTTGGAGAGGAAGGTGCTGTTTCAAGAAGACATGTCAGAAAAGAGTGAACACTGCATTCAAGAATAAATGTCTGTGCCCCTGTCATGCCCGAACCAGGAAATTGTCAGGAGAGCAGTTTCCCACAGAGTCTGTCCCTGTGAGGGGACTCCCACTGTTTGACACCGTCGTGGCCATTCTGAGTTTGAGGACAGCCTCCTGAGCCAAAACATCGCTGTCTCCCTTCCCTGCCCCTGGCTGAGCCTCCGGACACTCTCCAGCTTCCGTCGCTACTTGTCTCATCTCTTCTAGACCCAGCTGCCGAACTGCCCGGCAGGGTCCAGCCAAGCCTCCACCTCCTCCCCGTGCTGCCACTTGTCAGTGCCAGGCAAGAGAGATGCCAGCTTCATCCCCAGCCTGAAAGCTCATTCGGGGCACTGGAAGATGAATTATGTTTCATTTATATCAAAGAAGCAATCTCGGAGCCCATTTGTGATCAAATTTGCTGTCAGAGAAACTTTGCTTTATCTCATTACATCTGATATCTCTTGGCTTCTTGTCCTTGAGACTATTAAAGTTTAATGTCAAATTCAAGATGAAATGAAATCTTTGCTGTATCATCTCATCAGGACCTGAGCATTCCCCCTTCCATCTAAAATTTTTTGACAACTAATTACAATGGAGGTGGGGGGAAAATGAGAAACCTACTATTCCCCTCCCATTTGCTGAAAATGCCATCATTGGAAGGGGTTGCCAATGTGCACAGTGGCAGTGTGGTGGCAGAGAACAAGGAGAGGTGCTAGTCACCATTCAACTCTTCTTTGTCCCTTCACCCCAAACTCCCTATCCTCTGGAACAATGACATCCGCTTTCATTCCTAATCAGACAGAGCATTCCTGCCCCGGCACATGGTGTAGGGGAAAGCACACTGGACCGGGAGGCAGATGGGAGTTGCATGCCAGACTGTGACAGCTACATGACCACAGGCAAGTCACCCCCACCTCTGGGCATCAGTTTCCTCAACTAAAACTAATGGAGTTGGACTAGAATCATCCAGCCCCATTTAGGTGCTAGGAGGGGAAATGGATGAGTGGACAGCTGTCTCTTCTCACCAGGGAGAATAGGGGACTGTGGCTGAGAGAAGCATACATCCCACCCATAGACACTCAACTACAAAAACATTAAACACACACCAGAAAAATCACATCTGTGGGCCCTATTTACCATGACAACCCCAAGACCAGTTGATTTCCAAGGCTTGTGATTGTCTCTAACTGAGAAAAGTGCCCACAGAAAACAGGCTTCAGACTGGGAATATGCTTTTCCCTGGAAAAGAGTTGGCATTTTGATTAGTAACACTGGTTGAAATTCACCTGTACAAAACAGGACCATCAGAAGGCCCAGAGACACATAGATCTGAACTCCTAAAAAGCAATGTGCTTTAAAAAAAAAGGTTTTTAAAAAGCAATGTATTAACAACTTTATTTATTCCACAAATATTTATTAAGCATCTCATATGCTTCCACTCTTCTTGGTACTTGAGATTCAACAGTTAATTTTAAAAGACAAAAATTCTTGACTTCATGGAGCCTAGATACTGGCGAAAGGAGGACAAACAATAAACATGATAAATAAGTAATTAATTCATTTGGACTAATCTGTAAATTTTTTTTTTTTTTTTTTGAGACAGTGTCTCGCTCTGTCACCCAGGCTGGAATGCGGTGATGCAGTCTTGGCTCACTGCAACCTCTGCCTCCTGGGTTCAGGTGATCCTCCCACCTCAGCCTTCCTAGCAGCTGGGACTATAGGTGCACACCACCATGCCCAGCTAATATATATATATATATATATTTTTTTTTAGTAGAGATGGGGTTTCGACATGTTGCCAGGGCTGGTCTCGAACTCTTAGGCTCAAGTGATCCACCCACCTCCGCCTCCCAAAGTGCTGAGACTATAGGCATAAGCCACCACACCCCACCTGTTAATTCTTAAAGTGGGTGGGGTCAAGCAGTGTGGAGGCTGCCGGGATGTTGGGTGGTACTAGGCAGTGTGCTCTGCCGCCCAACTGCCTGGGCTCAAATCCAGGCTTGATCACTAACTAGCGATGGGACCTTCATCACTTTGCTCACCTCTCTGGGCCTTTGTTTCCTCATTCACAAAACAGAGACCATTAAGCCCCTCCTGGGGCTAAATAAATGTATTTATGTGAAATGCCCACAACAGTGCCTGGCACTTAGAAAGTGCCCATATCTATTAGCATAATCATGTTTCTCTGGGAACGCTTTCTGGAGAAGTTGAACTTGGACTAGCAGGCTCTAGCGCCCAAGCCTGGGGAAGGAGTGGCAGCTGCATTCGAAAGCAGAACCCGCAGCTTAGAAGAAGGTCCCAACCGAAGAAATTAGGAATAGTTTTAATACACTCTGCAAACTAGGCTCCCACTTCTCCATAAATAATTCCCCAGTCTTCTCCATTCGTCTATTCCTCCACCTAACCATCTTCAGAGGAAGTTCCAGCTCCCATCATTTCTATAGCAAACAAATGGCAAATCTTTAGTATTCTCTTCACAGGAACCAGATAACATCTTAAAACTCAGTATGTAATGTAAATCTCCAAAAGCTTGAAGACAACAATTTATTCCTTAGCCCTCTATTGGCTGGGGAAAAAAATAATAATAATCCAAATGTTTGTAGATGTTTTCTTTGAAATCAGAATAGCTGTGTGCTACAGTCAATATTCATCTTTACAACAGCCCTATAAAGTAGACATCGTCCTCCCATTATACAGGCAAGCATACTGAGCTCCAGAGATTTTAAGTAACTACCCAAGGTATCCCAGCTGGGCAACAGAGCCACAACATAAATTGCATCTGTTGGCTCCAAATAACATAATGTTAACAACATACCATACTGACTCATGAGTTTGGAGGTTCTCTCAGGTGTCAACACAATTCTAGTGAGATTTCTCACAAGAGTCTTTGAATTATGTATCCTCTTTCAGAGTATAAACTCCTTAAAAAAACAAACCACACTCAATGTCCCTTAGGTCTCCGAATGATACATATCTGTACAAAGAGCGACATAAGCCAGGGAGATAGTCTTTTTAATAAGCACTCCAGAGTTTACGTATCCAAGTTAATGCTGTCTTTTTAAGGTGGCACCTGGGAAGGCGCCTCACATTCCAGTGATGCTGCCATGGCCATTGTTGTTGTTGTTGCTGTTTTGTTTTGTTCTGTTCTGTTCTGTTTTGTTTTGTTGCAGTTTTTTATCCCTTGCAAACCTGCTCAAAGATGCTAAACCTCTACTGTTTTGAGGATAGATTCAATTTCTGGAAAAAGACCCAACTTATTTGGAACCAAATCTTGCCAGTAAGGTAGACAAGTAGTTTACATTAATTAAAAACAAACAAAAAAAAAAAAACCATGTACCTGGGGCTCAATAATACTTGTTGGCCAGGTGCAACAAATATTTGGAGGTGGGTAGATCACTTGAGGCCAGGAGTTCAAGACCAGCCTGGCCAGCATGGTGAAACTCTATCTCTATTAAAAAGACAAAAATTAGCAGGGCGTGGTGGTGTGCACCTGTAATCCCAGCTACTCAGGAGGCTGAGGCATGAGAATCGGAGCGGTGGTTGCAGTGAGCAGAGATTGTACCACTGAACTCCAGCCTGGGCGACAGAGTAAGACTCCATCTCAATAAATAAATATAAATAAATAAATAAATAAATAAATAAATAAATTGTTGACTCATAATGACAAAAAATGAAAATGAAATACACGTTGTTTGATTCTAAAGAAAAGAGACTAGTTTTATTCTTTGCCTCATAAGCCTTCTCTGAAAATAATTCCAGAAAAGAAATTCCAGAGATATTTTGAACAGTGGTGGGGTCATTGGAATAAGAGCAGTATATCTAAGGGGGTTGCTGTTGCAAGACAACCTACAGTTACAGGAGCTCTAGATGTCAAATCAACAGACATGTAAGGAGTCCCAATTCCATGCAAGACACAGTTCTAGACACCGTTTCTTGTAGCTAAATGAGAACAGAATTCTCAACGCTGCCAATCCCTAGTGGGGGAGGAAGGAGGCAAGATGCCTAGAAAAGCAATGAATACCCTTGATACAAAGCAGAACATAGACACTCCAGAAGGACTGGGGGAGGTGTCCAAGTCAGGGATAGAATCTCCTGGCTGGAGGGTCTAGGAGAGACTTTGTGGAGGAGACCGCATTGAGCTGAGCCTTAAAGCAGGGCTTCAGGCTGGGCACAGTGGCTCACACCTGTAATCCCAGCACTTTGGGAGGCTGAGGCGGGTGGATCACAAGGTCAGGAGTTCAAGACTAACCTGGCCAATGTGGTGAAACCCCATCTCCACTAAAAATACAAAAGTTAGCTAGGTGTGGTGGCGGGTGCCTGTAATCCTAGCTACTCAGGAGGCTGAGGCAGAAGAATCGCTTGAACAGGGAGGCGGAGGTTGCAGTGAGCCAAGATCACACCACTGCACTCCAGCCTGGTGACAGAGCGAGACTCCGTCTCAAAAAAAAAAAAAAAAAAAGCAGGGCATCCCACCCTTTTCATCACATGGCACTCACAGAAAATGGTAACAGCTGGGTGGCTTACTGGGACACATGGACAATGCTGCCATGGACAGGAGCACTGGCCAGGAGGGGTTCCGTGGTGGCTCCCACCATCTGGCTGCCCTCAGAGAAAAGGGGAATGAATCCTGCTGTAACCTACTTCACAACACACCAGTTGGGAAGCCCTGCCTTAGAGGGGGAAGAAATTCCACAGGTGTGTTGGGAGAAAGGGTATTGTAGGTTCAGGTGCACAAGGCGAAGAGGTGACAGTGTCAGGGGTATTCTGAAAACATGCTATCCTGTTTGGCGGTGGGGGCAGGGGGACCTAAGAAAGTAAGAAAGTTAAGACTGAGTAAGTAGGTTGAGGCCAGCAAATTGAGGGCCCTGAGTGTCACATTCTAGAGTTTGGATTTGATTCCATAGTCAACAAAGATCCTTCTAGACTTACGGATAGGGAGCTGAGTGGTAAGTTCTGGGGGAAAAAAAACCTCACAGGTCTTATGGTTTACTTAAAAACAGCCATAAATAATAAACTTTAAACAAACAGACAAATCCCAAAAGCTAAGATTCAGGCCTTTTTCCTGTGTCAAGCTTAGCAGGGTGTCCCGCTTAGAGAAAAAGGCCCAGGTGATTTAGAAATAAGATGAAAACTTCCAATCCCCAGTTTTATGGAAAAAAATGCTCTGAAGCTAAAAAGTAAACACCCATGTTTCCTCAGGAGCCCAGGCCCCTCAGGAACTAAAAGCAGGCAGACTCCATTGTGTATTTTTTGCTCATCCTGTTAGTAGTTTGAGTTGCCACTGCTGTCGTTCGCCCTGACTAAAATGAGAATAAATATACACACGGCTTATAACCAAGCAAACCACCTGCCTGTATGAGAAAGATGGCATAGTACTAAAATAGAGCCAGGGGAGAGGACTTTTAAGATGGCTGCTAGCGTTACTATGGAAATTTAATTCCCGACTAGAAGCAAGTCCTATTCAAAAGGCCAAGAATGGCCATGTTAGGTCAAAAATGGAACATGAACTGGGGGAAAAGATTGCTTTTCAAGAGAACCAGACAATTAGTTTGGCAGAGGATCCACCCTACAAAGAGAACATTACAGACACCTAATGTGAGGGATCTTTATTCTGTTAAAGTCCAATTTTTAAAAGCGCCTACAAGGGATAAGGTGGCAAGAGAATGTTCTCCATTTCAGCAGAGAAGTTTACATGGCAGCGGGAGGGATGGAGGTGAGAGGTCAGAAAAAACTTTGCCAGCAGAAGAATTGTAAGACACTGATCTGTGTTCCTGAAGAGAGTTGTGGATGGGTTTCTCTAGGAATTCTAAAGAAAAGTAAAATTAGGTACATGTCCCGGGTGGTCCGGGTTAATGCCTTCCAACGTTTTTCCTTCTAAAACCTTCAAGAGGCCGGGCGCGGTGGCTCACGCCTGTAATCCCAGCACTTTGGGAGGCCGAGGCGGGCGGATCACGAGGTCAGGAGATCGAGACCACGGTGAAACCCCGTCTCTACTAAAAATACAAAAAATTAGCCGGGCGCAGTGGCGGGCGCCTGTAGTCCCAGCTACTCGGGAGGCTGAGGCAGGAGAATGGCGTGAACCCGGAAGGCGGAGCTTGCAGTGAGCGGAGATCGCGCCACAGCACTCCCGCCTGGGCGACAGAACGAGACTCCGTCTCAAAAAAAAAAAAAAAAAAAAAAAAAAAAACCTTCAAGAGTCCACAACATCATTTTCTGAGGTCTAACTCTAACTCAAGATTAGGAATCCAAAGTCTCTTCAACTCCCCAATCTGATGGTCTTTGTGTGCAGGCAAAAGGTGTGTGTGTGAGTGTGTGTGTGTGTGTGTGTGTGTGTGTGTGTGTGTGTGTATTCAACCATAAGTAGACTGCAGCTGCTTAAACAATTCAGGGGCAATATGTGGAAAAATACTCATACCCAGGCCCACTGCCTCCTGTTAGGTTTTGAAGGGAAGGCAAGGGTTAAAGACGTGCGCGCGCGCGCGCACACACACACACACACACACACACACACACACACACACACACACGGAAAGAGTGTGACTCAACAGCAAATGCAGGCTAACGCCAGAGCCCACCACTTGGGCGGGAGGGGTCTGGGCAGCATGGCTTGCTACCCTGTAGGATATTGGTAAGATGTTCCCATGATGAGGCAGTTCTAGCCCTTGTTCTGGGGAGATGTCATCGTGGTGTTCCTTGGACCTTTACCCAGCCAGATATGATAGGGATGTTTCTTTAGTTGGGCCTTTGTCTGCCTTGTGGTCAAGTGGTCAGGCAGGATGTTTCTCCCGGTCCGAACCCCTGTGAAATGTTTCACTTTGACCAAGGTCTGCAAAATAGCAGGGAGCTTACAAAATGGTACAGTTTGGACTGACACCTCCTACCTTTCTCTGTATTTGCTGCTTCATCATCCATTACCCTCCAGCCCACCATCCAAAGTTTATCAAGGGAAGTATGAATTCAGTCAATCAGCAAATATTAATTGAGCTGATAGACTGAATTGGCTGAATTTATGTAAATCACCGTGTTAGGTGCCATGGGGAAAATAAAAGGCAAAAATTTTATTGCTGATTTCAAACAACTTGCCCCAAAGGAAGACCACATGTGAATACATGAAGAGGTAGTGGGTTAGTTTAGGGGCCCAGCAGTAAAGAGTGTAAGCACTTCAGAGGCTCTGGAAAGGGAGAGCTCTTTGCTTGCTGGGCTGGCCAGAGAAGGTAAAAAGAGTATCTTTTTTTCTCCCAACTGTGGTTAAACACACACACACACACACACAGAATGTACTGTCTTAACCATTTTTGAGCATACAATCCAGCAGTGTTAAGTATCTTCTCATTGTTGTGCCATGTATCTCCAGAAATTTTTCATCTTGCAAATCTGGAACTCTATACTCCTCCCCGTAACCCCTCCCTCAAACCCCTGGCAAACACGATTCTACTTTCTGTTCCTATGAATTTGACTCCTCTAAGTATCTCATATAAGTGGAACCATATGACATTTGTCTTTTCCTGACTGGTTTGTTTCACTTAGGATAATGTCCTCAAGGTTTATCCCTGTTGCACCATGTAGCAGGATTTCCCTCCTTTTTCAGGCTGATAATATTCCATTGTGTTTGTAGACCACATTTTGTTTACCCATTCATCCATCGATGGATATGTGAATTGCTTCCACTTCTTGGCTGTCGCGAACGCTGCTGCTAAGCGGGCGTGCAAGTATCTCTTTAATACCTTGCTCTCAATGCTTTTGGATGTATAACCAGAAGTAGACTTAATGGATCATATGGTAATTTTATTTTTAACTTTTCAAGGGATCGCCACTGTTTCCTAAAGTGGCTGTACCATTTTCCATTCCCACCAAAGTGCATAAGGGTTCTGATTTCTTCACATCGTCACCAACACTTGTTATCATTTATTTATTATTATTTTTTTTTACAGTAGCCATCCTAGGGGGCGTAAGGTGGAATCTCACTGTGGATATGAGTTGCATTTCTCTAATGATTTGTGATGTTGAACATCTTTTCATATGCCTGGTGACCAATTGTGTATCCTCTTTGGAGACATGTCTATTCAAGTCCTTTGCCAATTTTTAAATCCAGTTATTTGATTTTTTGTTGTTGAAAAAGGAAAACATACCTTGAGCTGAATTTGAAGACAGAAAAAGGTCTGGATAGGTAGAGTCAGGCTCTTGTTGAGCCAGGAGTCAAATGACCCAATCAGAAGGCATTAAGGAAGGTGAATCTGGTGTGCTGTGTGGATAAGATGGGCAATGAGTGCAGGCAAGGTCTTCAAACCAAGATTCTCTGGCTCCTTGTTGAGGATTTGGAGAGGCCAAGGGCCTCAGACTTGCATAGCCAGCTTAGCTAAACTAAACTTTTGCAGTTAAAGCAGACATGGTTTCCTTGTTACGGTCACTACTCAAGCCGATCCCTTAAAGGGAGAGGGGTCTTGGCCTCCACTGTCACCCCAAGTGACTGATGGGGCAGTCCTTTACATTTCTAGTGTCATTTCTAGTTTATCTTCTGGTGTTATTTTTTTATAGCCTCCAAGTGATTGGCACCTTGGCCCTCTCCCTACCTCCTACTGGCCTGCTATGGCCAGGGCAAGAGCCCAGAGGGTAATAGGGCTGATGCAGTGACAGGGCCTCAGGTGATGGGGCAAGATCAGCCTGGCACACATCCTGCCACATCCTTGAGACGCTGGGTTGCACACTGCCCTGACTCGAGGGCTACCCCTCCAGCCAATGGATTTTATGGGCCTCTGTCTCCACTGGAAGCAGGAGAGAATCCAGGTCTGTCAATGCTGAGATCTCTTCTGAGTGCCTGCTGTTCCATGTTTCCCACCTGGCGAAACACTCATCAAATGAGTTTTGTTGGGTGGGGAAATGCTCCTGATACACTGTCACCAACTAAGCCACAAAACAGTATTACTGCATGAGACTCCTATTAAAAGACAGAGATAAAGAGACAGTGAGAAGGGGAAGGACAGGGAGGTGATACACCTCAGATATAGTAGCTGCTTCTAGGTAGTGGAATATGGATGAATTTTTGTTCTTTGTGCTTTTCTGTATTTTCCAAATTTTTGAACATGAATATGTATTACTTTTGTAATCAGAGAAAAGGACAGCACATGGTAATTTTTAAAAAGCCTTTGTTGGGCTTTATGCTCACTTGGGCTTGGTGCCCTTGTGGATTCCACACAGAAAATTGTAGGGTCCTTGACCCTCAGAGCTTCTCATCCCAAATACACCTGCTGCTCTGCCTGAAGGGTCCAGAGACAGTCCTGGGGAGCCACAGAACAGCCCTTCACACCTAACCCCTCAGAGCAAACAAAACAGCCTGGAGTGGAGGCACCAGGCATAGGGTGAAAAAGGATGGAGCCAGAAAGGGAGGTGGGCATTCCTGGGGACCTAGGGTCACCTTCATCTCTTCTTTAGTCAATCCAGAAAGCCCTCAGCCTTTTGGATGAGACAGCAATTAGAAACTAGAAGGGGCTAGCCTTGCAGATGAGGCTGAGAGGAGCCCAGCGTGGGCTCATCAGAGTGTGCAGATGGCCACCCCAGCATGGCCTGGCTCCTCATGGCCATTCCTTGCTGGAGAAATCCCCATGTTTTCAAGGACTGACTCTCCCCCGATAGAAATCGGCTTGGTAAGGGAACCGGAATGGGTTTAGCAAGGCAGAGAGGAGGCTGAAAGACAGTATCTTGATTTGAATCGGTGGTATAAAAACCGGCAAGTCTGGGATTCTAACATCAGCCATTTCCCTTCCTACCCCAGGAGGGGAAGCATCATGGGTCCTAAAGATAGCCCCGTGGGAGAAAAGGGGCCTTCGAGGCTGCATGAGGCAAGGATAGAGATAAAGTCCTCCCTCTGCACTGCCCCTTAGAAGATAAGGTGGGCTGCTGCTGGTTTACGCATAAAAGCTGCACGTTATAACCATAATCCTGGGCATTTATAGAGCACCTTTCCTGCTCTCTAAGAGCTTTTATGTACCTCATCTTATTAGACAGGGGGGAAACTGAGTTTCAGAGGAAAAAAAAAAAGCAGCATGCCCAAGGGCATAGAGTAGTACAGCCAGGACTGCAGCCTGGGGCTCCAGACTCCCGAATCAGGCTTCTTTCCCAAGACCAGCTGAGTAATTTACACACGTCCACTCATGTTTCTGAGCTCCAGGGGACCCTGCCCAGGGAACGGGGTGCCTGTGTTCTGGAGATGTTGTCTGAAAGCCCAGATTCTCTCTGATTTCACTCCTAGCCCCAATACCTCCAAGTTGCCCATCTTATGTCATCAAGTTTGAACAAATCCACTCCTTACAATCTGAAAGACGTGGTTGGCCAGGCAAGGTGACTCACACCTGTAATCCCAGCGCTTTGGGAGGCTGAGATAGGTGGATTGCATGAGCCCAGGAGCTCACAACCAGATTAGGCAACATAGCGGACCCTGTGTCTACAAAAAATACAAAATTAAGCCGGGCACGGTAGCTTGTGCCTATGGCCCCAGCTACTCAGGAAGCTGAGGTAGGAGGATCCTTGAGCCCAGGAGGTAGAGGTTGCAGTGAGCCGAGATGGCACTACTGCACTCCAGCCTGGGAGACAGACCGAGACCCTGTCTCAAAAAAATAAAAATAAAACAAAAGACACGGTTCTGAGGTCCTCAAGAAGAAATCCCTGACGGGGTTCCTGTCTGCCTACAAGCCCAAGAGGATACCTGCATAACCGGCCTGCGCGAGCCTTCTGGGCGCCTCAGCTTGAACAAAAGACGCCTTTGCGAACATTAGAATAGGGCGCCCCCTCCTGGCGGATGAATTAGAAGGCAAGGCCCTCAGGCTGGCTGTGCGCCCTCAGGTCCAGTGACTTCAGCTCTCTCCCAACCCAGGGGCGGGCCCTGTGCAGGGCATGCAAGGGGCTTCACCCCCAAGCACCAGAAACGCCCAGAAAGCCACCCCAGGGCTGTCTCCCCATCCTCCCTCCCTGTGCGCACACACTATTTTCTTTCAAGCTTTCCACCTGGTTGATCAGGAAGGCTCCTCACCTCACACCCCGCCCCTTGCCAATGGTCTGGATTGGATTTCCAACTCCCTATGTAGAGCTGATGAGGTCTCATTCCCACGGGGAACCAGAGCACTTTCCTCCTTCTCTGCCACCCCCACCCACCCCCCTTGGAGAGCTCCTTTATGCTCTATTTTTAGTTTCTTGATTGCAAGTGAGAAGTCGGAATCAGAGAACGTCGGGAAAATGCAGCAGGAACCAACCCTGAGAAATGGACAGCAGCATGGGGAGGGAGCAGAGGGGCCCATGGGAGGGGGAGCCATGGCACCCCGAGAGCCTCCAGCCCCAAACTCACTGGTGCACAGGAAGGACCCGGGCGTGTTCTCCGTCCTTCTCCAGGCCAGCAGGGAAAGGGGTCTGGAGGAAGGCCACAGAGCTGGAAGGCCCTCTAGAGGCCTCCTAGCCCAGCCTGCTCCTTTCCAGAGGAGGAAACTGAGTCATGCAGCTGGGCAGTGAGTGGCGGGGCCGCAAGAGGTCCCCTGATTCCTGAGGCATCTTTCTGTGGTTCTGCACAAGGAGGTCCCACAGCTTGGCCGGGAGCATGTCCCCCTGACTCCTCCTCAAAGCGGATGTCACCTCCATACCATCCTGAACGCCAAGACCCAGACGGGCCTCTCTGACAGCCCAGCCCGGCCCGGCGCAGGCCACAGTCACCCCCACAGCCTCCCGGCCACCTTCGAGTTGCCCAGTGCTCACTTTCCCTTACCCGCAGAAGTCGGCGGTGGCCCATGCATCACCTCCCTCCCGAGCAGAGACAGAAACACTCGGGGCCAGGAGCGCTCCCCCCACGAGCCGCCGCACTCCCTAAATGAATGAACTGGCTGCTCCAAAACCGCGGCGCAATTGGCAGTTATTGCTGGCAGTTTATCAGTATTAACTGATTAGGCCCGGGATGATGGATCCCCTGTCTCGCAAAGCCCGCCGCCCCACGAGCCGCGCCCCACCCTCAGCCGCCCCCAGGCAGCCTGCACGACCCAGCTCCTGGAGGCGCCCGGGCCCGCATCAGCCTCCGGAAGGCCCCGGCCCCCGCGTGCACCCGCTCCCACTCCCCACGGGCCCCTCCCTGTAAAAGAGACACATTTAAATAAATAAAACAAAATTCAAATGAGGACACTAAATCTCCCCGGCGTTTAATTGATGATCATTATGCTTGGGAACCTAAACTCTTTTAATTTCACTGCAGTGCAGGGAGATGAATTATAGAATTACAGTCGCCAATTATCAATCACGCCTTTGCTCTGCGTCTCTTGGCTGCCCAGCCGGCTCACCCTCCCTCTCGCAGGCCGGGGGTTGAAGAGGCGGGATAATAGCCTTGGAAACAGAAGCTCAGCGGGGGAGAGGGGAACGAACCCCAGGTTTCGAGATGCCCGGTTTCTCTCTCTCTCTGTCACCACCTCCTTCCTAATATGCCACCTTTGCCACTTCATTTAACAAAAAGAAAATAATAAACAGCAGCAGAGAAAAGAAAACCCTTTTTCATTTAGAGCTTGGCGTTTAATTCGTTTTGTTCAGGGTAAGATGGGCTGGTGGCTTCAGTCCCCATACTGGGCAGGATTCCAGTAGCAACTACTGCCCCCACCCAAGCAGCTGCAGCCCAGTCCACCTCGCTGCAGGGCACTGGAAGGAGGATGCTTCAGAGGGGCCCAAGCAAGCTTGAGTGCCACCCCGCACACAGGGCTGGAACCCCAGCTTCCACCATCAGGGACTGATTCCGTTGCCCTCTCCTTCCTGTCCTTTACTGTGAAAATAATAATAATAATTTGAATAATAATTTCCACCAAAGCTGTGAATGATTTGCATTTGTATAGTGCTCCGCAATTTACAAAGTGCTTTCATGTGCATTATCTCATTTGATCCTCCCGATAATCCTGAGAGAGGTCGGTAGAGCAGGTATTCTTGTTATTCAAACGTTTATTCATTCATTTGACTAACATTTATTGAGTTTCTACTTTATGCCAGGCCCTGGGGATATAAAGACAAGAAAAAAGGTGGGCTCCTTCCTCAAGGATTTGCAATCTGTTAGCGAGAGCCTACTAAGTGAGGCCTAGGGACAAACGGTTCCACTTCACAGGGGAGGGACGGGAGGCTGGGAGGGGCCCAGCAAGCTGACCACAGTTGTGAGTGACAGGGCCAGATCGGCCCCCACATTTGCTGCATATGGCTCTAAGTATGCGCTTTCCATCTACGTTATTATGTTGTCACCATTGTCTTCATCTCATCTATTTTTTTAAAGTACCCACATAAATTCATTTCTAGCCAAAAATACATACTCATGGGTAAACAGTTGTAGGACAGGAGAGAAAAGTTTGGGAGCCTCTGACACCAACAAATCTCTCAAGGCCAAGTGCATTCCCACTATGTAAAGGGAGATGAGGGGTGCGCGAGCACCAGATGCCTGGGTCCTCCCTGCACACCTGGCACCTGAGGTTCCTTCCTGGGATTTTGCTTTGAAAATTCTGGTCAAGTTTTCATGGTTGATTGATTGGTTGGTTGACTGATTTGTTGTTTGTAATACTGTTTTATTCCAAAAAGGATTCCAGGTGGACCAAGAGTATGCATTCTCTCCTAGAGGAGTCAGAAGGATAAACGCGGTTTGCCCACCTGTCAATCACTGCTCTATTCACTTACCAGACCCATCCCCACGTTTAGTCTATGAATGGAGGCCCAGTGTTTGCAGTCTGACTCTGGTCCATGGCTTCTTAATCACCTCAGACCCTCTGCCCGCAGGGTCTAATGGGGGTAGAATTAACCTTGGCCAGGTCACTTAGCTCAGCCCCACTGCAAAGAGGCTGGGTCCTCAGAGTCCCTGAGCTAGTGACCCAGGCAAGGAAGCACAGAGCTAGGGGACACTCGGCAGAGCCAGATCATCGTCTTCACCTCTTTCTGCAGAGCTAAATACCTCCAAGAGGAGGTCCTGCAGGGATCACAGCCTGGGTCAGAGCCCACCGGTCTGCCTGGCCAAAGCCAGGACAACTCTATCCTGTCACCAGCTGGCTTCCCTGGGCTCTAGGCCACTGGCCTCCAGCCATGGGCCAGGCACCCAGCCATGCCAGGGAGCCAAGCAGCCCTGGCACTGACAACCCTGTAACATTCTCGTAGGTCTTGGAAGGCTGAGATGGAACCAGGACACTCTGTCGAAAATATGTCTCCATCCTTAGGTAGGGAAGGCCTACCAACCATTTCCTAGCCCTGCGGCCTTCCTTCCAAACCACATCCCACACCACCACCTGTCCCTGCCCCGTGCCTGGTCCCACAAGGACAGGGGAAGCTTACCCTTCAGCTTCTGCCACCTCCAGACCTCCTGCCCTCCTTTCACATCATTTTGCACTCATGTTTAACTTTGTCCTTTTATACCTCTCCAAGCCCTGCCTCTTATGCTCCATCTCCAGCCCTGCCTTCAAAACCCACTTCAGCTATCACCTTCTCTGAGAAGCCCTCCTAACTACGCCACCACCATTACCAAACCAGAGTTCATTTCTGCCTCCTCTGTGTGTCCTGGGTGTCTTGCACAAGCTTCATTCAGTTAGTCTCCCTACCATGAATTGCAGGGCAAGTAATCTATCTACACATCTGCTTCTCCTCTGTGCTGTCACTGCCTTCCAGGCAAGGCCTGTTTCTGTAATTATTGCATCTCTAATACCTGCTACAGCACCTCACCCACAATAGGGCCTCAACTAACATTCACAGACCCGAAGCCCTGTCCTGGGGTGACCAGCTCAGCCTGGTTTGCCCAGGACTCCCTCACTTTTAGCAATGAAAGTCCTACATACTGAGAAACCCCTCAGTCTCTGGCAAACTAGGATGGTTGGTGCCCCTCCTCTGTGCCCTTCACTTGGAGCTGAGAGTTGGAGTCCTCGAGTAATGTGAGACCTGTCTGCAAGGCTGTTATCCAAGTCCATGATGACTTCGGGGCAGGGTGAAGCACCTCTAGGCATAGTTTCCACCATACAGGCCTGAGCATCCAGAGAGTTCCAGAATGGATTCACATGACTCAGACTTCTTCAGAAATGGAACACTTTGGAAGCCATCTGGGATAGGAAACGGAGGCCTGGAAAAATGGAAAATGGCCTACCCACGATGGCACTGGAAGACGGAAAGACACAGCAGAGTGACAGCAAGGATACTAGACTGGGAGTCCCAGGACTTATAGGCCCAGCTCCACCATGACACAAGCTGCCTTCACCCCTGAGAAAAAGAATACAATGGGCAGATGTGGCCCGCCTGCCTCCATCCAGGCAGGGCGAGGGGAACTAGCAGTTAATGAATGAATCCTCCGCTCTGTGGCACAAGCTCTCCACTCATTATTTTATTGAATCCTCTCAACAACACTGTGCCGTTTTACAGAAGAGAAAACCAAGGCTCAGAGAAGTCAAATGATTTTTCTAAGCTCAACCAGCTGATGGTAGTGCTGGGTTTCTAGATCAGCCCCAGCCCTTTCCACTACACCACCAGGCCCTCAATTATTGTGGTTCAAGTTCCTGCAAATCCAGCTTTCTCTGGGTCCCAAAGTGGCCAGATGTCAGGTGCCCCATTGTTGCTGAATCCGACGCTCAGCATCAGGGAGAGGAAGGAGATCTCAAGTGGCACCAGGCTGTGGGTGTCCACCCTAGGACAGAGAAGGGCGTGGGCAGAGCAGGCAGGAGGCCACTGTCCACAATACTCCTCTGAAACCCAGATCTCAGCGGGGAGAAAAAGGAAGGAGCTGTTTAACAATTAAACCTATCTTGTTCAGAAAGAAGTGAAGGGAAATATTGCTGGGGATGGAAAGCATGAAAGGAAGACGCAAAGGAGGAATGAATAGTATTTGCAGCCGATGAAAGGAGTAGGGGCAGAAGTGCGGGTCGTGGGTGGCCAGGGGGAGGAGCCTCCCGCCACCTCCAGTTTCCACCAGCCAATGTCCTCACAACACTCTACTACCCTGGGCGCTGTGTGTCTGCAGATGAATTAGACACAGGCTCTGCTCTGCGGACACCGCCACCCACTCTAGGAGGGGCAGCACTACCCTCGTTTCTTAGACGCCCCCCCTTCTTTCTAAAGTCAAACCTACAAGAGCAAGGGCTGAAAATTTGCTTCTAGCTGAGCCCATGAAATGGCCTCGCCCCAGTTCCTGTCCCATTCCCAGCAGATGGTCAGAGGCTTCCACAGCCACAAGAAGACCCTGCTACCCGGCCCCCAGCAGCTTGGCGGGCCCACAGCTTGACTCCACCCCCTTCCTGGAATACAGGGTGGCATCAGCTGCCCAGCCAGGACTGGGGAGCCTCTTGAAGGGGACCTGCAGGGTTCCTGTCTAGTTTTGAGCCAGCCTCAAAAGTGACAGATGAGCTCATTAACCTCAGGAGCCACCAGCCCGGTCCTGCCTGTTCTCCCCCAGCCCCTGCTCCTCCCAACCTATCTTTCTGGCCCAGGCCCCCGTATCTTCTTTGCAGCCTCAAATAGCTGTGTTTCTGAAATGTAAAGTGCAGTTTCTCTTCTAATTACAAAAATAACAGCTGACAAACACACGCCAGCGGCCCCCTCTTTTCCTCCTAAGCTAACAGCCCCATTAGGGCAGATCCTGTTATCTTCCATGCCCTCTCCATATATTTTATGGAACCTCAAAAGTACTCTGTGTCTTGCTCTCTCTCGCTCTCCCTCCCTCTCTCTCTCTCCCTTTCAAGGCGATAGCTTTGTGAAAGCTGAGGAGGAAAATAAAGCCTTTTACTAAAATGTCACTCTGGGAAAAGGTGGGGAAGTTTTCTAATAGGCCATCGAAGGCTTGCTTTTTTTTTTTTAAAGTGTGATAAATTTGGCCTGTCTTAAAAAGACAGCTCAGTGTTGCTTATCAACTGTGATTTGACCAGATAGCCGTTTCAAAAAACAGACACTGGTCTTTTTATAATAAATGAAAGCAATAAAGCCAAGAGCTGGGCCAGAACTATAATTAAGAATCAGAAGCTAAAAACAGTGGTGTGTCCATGGAGGGCAGAGTCCTGTCTTTGGGTAGGAGGGAGTGGGCAAGACCGGCCGGAAGTCCTGGGATCATGACAAGGGGGTGCTGGGGGCAACACCCCATAGGATGAGGAAGGCGGCTGCTCTTGCTCCAGGTCAGGGAGATGTGCCCTGTGGTACCACTGTCCCCTTCTCTCCTCCTCTCACTTTGGGAGCCTTCCTTCCCTGGACAGATGGGCCTATGGGTGGAGAGGAGGGGCGAGGAGAGGCTCTTCCCCACCCCCAAAGCCAAATCAGATGCCTATTTGAAATTCAGCCAGAAATCCCCCTCCTTGCTCTGTCTGTGCACAATAAACATCACAGACTCGGCTACTCCTAAAGAGCTGTCTGTTTAACACAATCTCCATCTCAAGCGGCTGTTTTGCATTTCCTTTTGGCTTTATTAAAACTGATTTTCTATTTGCACTATAAAAACTGATCTGATTAAATTTCCATTTTTCCCCAAAGAAAAGACTCTCCTCTCTCTCCCTCTTTCTCTCTCTCTCTCCTCTTTCTCTCTCCCCTCTGTTTCTCCTCGCCTTCCTCTCTTTCCTCCCTCCCACTCTCCCTTGCCATTCCTTTTTCTCTTTCCCCAAACAAATAATTCTTGATTATTCTCCCTCCTCATCTTTCTCTTCTTCCCCCACAGGGTCCCTGGCAGTTTCCATGGGGATGGCCATGGATGATGCTCCTAGGGAGGGAACAGAAGGGAGCTCCCACCCAGGGAAGCTGGAGCGGGGTAGCGGGAGGCCAGTGGGGCATCCTCTGTCCCAGATATCCCCATGGGCACCTCACAGTCAGGGAGAGGGTGGGGGTGGATGGCATCTGGTGCTGCCCTCAAGCTCCACGTGCTATGGTTTTAACAAAGTGAAGGCTGTGGGTTCAAACCTCCCATGGGCCACACAATGCCCTCCTTGTGTTCAGGGCCCCACCCTGGCTGAGTTGTGTGTTGACTAAGCGCACAGGGGATGGTCCAGGAGGCAAAAGAAGACTTGCAAACCCACCATCGCCTATGAGTGAGAGGCCACACCGCTTAGCTTTGCATTTTTGCTTTTCTCTCTTTCTGGACAAAAGAGGACCTCCTGTCTTTGTCATCTCTGTGTAATGACAATGACTGCCATCACTCATCAAATACCCACTATGAGGTGTGCACCAGGTCAGGGCAAAACACACACCATCTCTATGATTCTTACTCCCACTCCTGGGGAGACCATCTCAGAGAAGTTAGCGAATTGGTTCATGGGAAGAGGCAAGCCCAGGAGTACCAGCTCCAGAGCCTGGGTTTTAACCACTGCACCACCCTGCCTCGTGGAAAGAGGGGACCCTTGTGCAGGACAAAGTCAGAGTGCCCAGAGGCTCTATAGAGAAGAGCTCAGGAAGGCATCTCAGGTGAGAAGACTGGCTGATGAAGCAGTTCCACTCTGTCCTTCCAAGGGCCACCCCGCCCCAGGTTTCCCCACTTGCTGGGATTCCCCTGACTCTCCTCTGTTGGCCCCCAGGGTGTACGCCTGCCCTTAAAACTCCATCCTTTCCCCTTGATGCAGCTGAGGCAAGCTGGCATTTAAGAAAGATTTTTTTTTAATGTTTAAGGAAAACAAAACATAAAGAAAGATAGGAAATACAAACATCAGGCACCAGCTTATTTCCCACTGCATCAGTGCACCTATGCATTAGCAGTAATTATTGAGGAATGAGTGAATGAATGCACGTGTGAATGAATGAAGAGCTTACTTGCTTACTAGCCAAAGCAAAAAAAGGCACTGCTAAGCTTTTCTACACAACTGGGGCTGTCCACTCAGGGCTGGATTCCAGTGTAAGAGGCCAACTGCCCCAGTCTAACAGATAGAATGGCAGGTGCTTGACTTGCACACCAGAAAAGCCTTCACCTGTCAGGTGAGACCCCTCTCCCACACTCAGGGGTGGCGTTCCTCATGAAAGCCACCCAGTATAACACTTACCCCTGCAGAAGCCATCCCATGTGCATAAGAAGAATTCACACAGATTCCTAACCATTCATCCCTAGTTACTGTCCTCTCTGGATCTAAGTCAGGACGTCCAGACCCACCAAGTCCCTTCAGGCTCCCACCCCCATATCTTGGTTCACTCTGGCCCCCAGCAATTGGGGCTCTCTTTCAACCACCACTGGTTGCACGTGGACCTTGTGTGAGACCCAGGGAGCCTTAGGCTGGCCAGCAAAAGCCCTGGTCTGCAGACCAACGGAAGAGGTGAATTATGCCCCAGATAACTATGACACAGGTAGCAGGTGGCAGCTGCAGAGGAGAGCCACAACCGTAGAGAAAAGTGCTGTGGACACTCAGCAGGGCAAGAGACTTTTGTTCTGGTGGAGGGAAGGGGAAAGGCTTCGTGGAAGAAGCCTGTCAATAAGTCCCCGTATTCCGAAACATAAAGAAGGATTTTCCAAGCAAAGGGACCACCTGAGCCAAAGCTTGGATGCTGAAAAAAACAGGAGTGACAAGCCACTCAGTTTGCTCCGGGCAGGGTGTGGCAAGGGGGACAGTAGGAAAGAACACCAGTGGTGGGCTGGGCCAGGACACAGAGGGCTTGGATGTCACAGTGCAAAGGGAGCCCCTGGGAGCCAAGTGCCTTTCTCCTTCATCTTTACCTGTCTAATCCTCCTTGCCCTCCAATGTGCAGTTGAAAGCCCACTTCCTCCAGGAAGCCTTTCCTGATCTCTCCAGGAGGGCTCTGTTCTCTGCTAAGCTCCTCTGCACTTACACTCAACACCACTCACTGGACTTGAAGAATTTAAGTCCTTCCAGGTGCCAGCCTGGCAGAACCACTGTCACCAGGACAGCAAGCTCCTGCTCTCCCCAGCATTTGACCATGGCTCCTCCCTCCCTCTCCTACCCATCTCCTGCTTGCTGACTTCTGCCTGCCCATCCTCAGGGGTGAGGTCCAGGAAGCCTTCCTTATCCTAGGCCTGTCATCTCTGGCCCTACATCATCCCATGCTTCCAACATCCACACCGCATGAACATCCCTGCTCATGCCTCTTTCTCCTCCACCAGAGCATGGGCTCCTCATAGGCATGGACTATTTCCCTGATCCCTACATTCAGTGCACCCAGCACAGTGTCTAACACAGTTTGGGTCTTCAACAAATGTTTGTTAAATGAATGGACAAACAAATGAAATACTGCCTTGTGAATATCTCGCATTGTGGTTTTGGTTTGCTGTGTAACCCCCGTGGAAACATTGTTCCTTCAGTTTGCAAGTCCCCTAAGGGCAGGTGCCTATCCTCATACCCTCAGCATTTAGCACAGTGCTGTGGTTACACAGGTGTTCCCCACCTTTTTGACCAAAAAATCTGGATCATGTGGTTTGAACTAAGTCTTATACTTGAAGTCTCAGGAAGCTTCCCAAAGGAAGCAAAGCCATGTTTCTGCAAGTAGGGATGATGCAGCCCCGTTGGAGGCCTGAGGCAAAGAGAGCGACCTCCAGAGCCCAAGCCCCATGAGGGCAGGGGTCTGTGCCTGCCTTGTCCACTCCTCTGTCCTGTGCCTGGCATCTAACAGGTGCTCAGAACGTACTTGCAAAAAGAAATGTGGTCATGCGCAGAAAGCCACCTCGACAACTGTAAACAGCGTATAAAGGTTTCTTGTGATAACCGTCTGGATACAGGAAACTAAAGAGAGAAGAATGCCTGAAAAACAGAATGCTGGGGGTGGAGCGGGGAGCAGTGGTTTGTGGGAGAAGATGCTGAATTTGGTTCTAGACATTTTATGGTGACAGCAAGACATTTAAGAAGAGATGTCCTGCAGGGTGCTGGATTTATGAGACTACAATTCTGGTAAGAGGTCAAGACTGGAATGAAAATTTGAGTGTCTTGGCAAAAAAAAGAGAAGAGCTACAAATGAACTCCTGCAGGAAGTGAATCTAGCAGCAGGAAGGCAGCACCAGCAGGGATCTTGAGGGACAGACCCAGGGTGGGGGCAGAAGTGCAGCCAAAGAGACTAGGAAGGCACGGCCAGGGAGGTGGAAGGCAACTGGAGGACAGTGTGCACATGAGGTCGAGGAGAATGAGCCAACTCCTGCTTGCTTGTGGGATTTTTCCCATCTTCTGACAGCTTTCAGCTCTGCTCTTTCTCAGGAACGGTGTGATCAGATCCTGCTTTAAAACCTGGCTTAGCTCTGGACTCCTGTTCTGCAGGTTCCTCTGCCACTGCATACCCACTCATCTTCCCTGCTCTCCCTCCCTACAATCAGGCCACCAGTAGGACCACACAGTATCACGGGCCCCTAATATGTCATAGATTTTAAGAAAAAAAAAAAATAGACTCATGAAGCATCACATCCCTCACTCTCATGCTACAGATAAGGCCCAGAGAGGGAGCTTAACCTGCTGGAAGTTGCACAACTAGGAAGTGGCAAGCAGAACTAGATGTCAGGTCTCCAGTGGCCCAGGCTAGTGCTTCTCGGTTTCTACCCAGTGCATTCGACAGAGGAAGCAGAGACCCAGAGGGAAAATATGACCTGCCCAAGATTCACAGCTGGGCCAGGCTGGGGCCAGAATCCAAAGACCAGATTTCCAGACCACACTCTTGCCCTACTGCCTGCTGGTGTCCCAGCTCCTCAGGCCAGCCTCAGTGCCCACAGTGCTCCTCAGACCAGGCAGATGCAAGCTCGCAAGTCTAGACTGCAGGGCAAAGATCTAGGACCCACAGCCTGACCGCTCCCCTCATCCATAAACCTCTGCTCAGAAAAGTTCCCCAAAGACAAGTCTCCTTTAAGGGCAAGGCCCCTTTTGCTCTAAGAGCAGCGACTCTTAACCTCACTTCATCTACACCTAAAATCTGGGCCAAAGAGACAATTACAAGGCCTTTACCGTCCCCGCACCCGGAGCTGCTGGCTGCTTAGAAACCCCTGGCCCTCCTTGTCCTGAAGCTGCCAATTTCCTCATCAGTATTTTATTTGTCTGTTTTGCTCATTTTTAAGCTGGTGGCAATTGCTATTTAAATTGTTTTGTAAAGTGTCTTTGCATTTACAATGCCGGCTGTCAGCAGCCCCACAATAGAAAATGAGATTTGGCATCAAAGGCAAAGACGCTACTAAAATACATTTTAATAAATATGTAAATCAATTAATCAATCACCCATCCAGGGAAGGAGCTTCAGGAACACAGACAGGCTGGCTGAGAGGGAGAAGGTGGGGAGAATGTGGGGTCTGAGGTGGCAGAAGAGGCTCCGCAGGCACTGAACTCAGGGGTTCTGGGCACGTCGTGGGCAGCCAGCCCCACCTACAGTCTGGGGCATCTGGCCTCGCCTGGCCTCCCACCGTCCTGACTCTGCCTAACTGGGCTCCACATGGTCTTGCCACAGCAGCCCTGGTCAGGAAAGGGCAACAGGGTCCCAGTGAAGTACAGATAAAATGAGCTTTAGGGCTAAGATTGAGGAAACGAGCCCTCTGGTTGGAACCCCCACTACCCCCGATTTCTTCTCCACTGATGCTGTTTTCTAGAGAAGTCAGAGATTAGAAAGTGCTTGCAAGGTTTATGTCTGTAAGTTGGACCAGCCTGGAGGATTAGCATCAGAAAACTTCAGGAAGAAATGACCAGCTGTTCTCTCTATTCCTGAAAGGGTACCAAAGGAAAGAGGCTTAAGCTGTCACAGGCAGCTGGGCGGGGCATCGGGGTGGGGGTGGGGGTGTGGGGGCAGGTCGCTCTTGGAAAGGGTCCTGACTAGGAAAGTAAATATGACTCTGGGGACAGGATGGAGGGGAGACAGAAGGGGGCTACCAGTCAGGAGCTTTTAAAGCAGGAGCCCAGCTGAGAGCAGTGACTCATGCCTTGTAATCCCAGCACTTTGGGAGGCCAAGGTGGGTAGATCACCTGAGGTCAGGAGTTCAAGACCAGCCTGGCCAATATGGCAAAACTCCATCTCTACTAAAAATACAAAAATTAGCTGGGCGTAGTGGCACATGCCTGTAATTCCAGCTGCTCAGGAGGCTGAGGCACAAGAATCGCTTGAACATGGGAGGCGGAGTTTGCAGTGAGCTGAGATCATGCCACTGTCCTCCAGCCTGGGCGACAGAGTGAGACTCTATCTCAGTCAATCAATCAATCGATCAATAAAGCAGAAGCCCAAACATACACTGTATCAGATGAGCAAGACTGGGGTGTCTGATGGTAAGGGGGCTCGGCCACATTGTCACAGATTCTCAGCTTGCACCAAGGTGTGCTATAAGCGGCATGATTCTGGCCAATAGAATCTGAGCTCAGGCTGGCAGATAAAACCTCCAAGCCTGGGCTGCATAGACCCAGCAAAGCCTCCTGCAGCCCATGACGTATGGTTTGCTAATGAGGGTGCCTCAGGGCTATAGTAAGGTGCATCCTCACATAGCTTTCAGTGGGACCTTGGGCAAGTCATTTTTGCCTCTAGGCCTCTGTCTAGTCACTAGACAGTGCAAGCAGGGACTGGGCAAAATGAATTCTAAACTTGAAAACTCTCTGACTCACTTTCCCCATCACTGTGGACATAGAATCAATGTCTTCCCATTACAGCTGCCAGCCCTTTCTTGGCTGTCAGCGTAAGTTGGTCTGACCCTGAAGACCAGAGAGACCCATCTGAGGGGTATAAACACCTCCACAACCCAGGCTATGGCAAGAATGGTGCAGATCCACAGAGGAAGCCAAAGGCTCCAACCCCAGCTTCTCTCCCACCCTCGTCCTCTGCATTCACTCCCAACTCCCATCCCAACCTCCTCCCCTGGAAGAGGTATGCCCTCTAATTGAAGACCTGTCTGGCCCCCAAATAACCTCATTTTTTAAACTGATGTCACCTGCACCAGAGGGCAAACATTCCTGTCAGGGCGGAGAGCATGCACACATATCCACCCTGTGTGCCTAGGTGTGGGTGCAAATGGCATATACATGGGTCGTGTTTCATGAGCACGCAGGAATGCATAACTTTAGGCTTCTCTGAGCACATTGCTGTGTGTATAAATATATGGCCCTCTGTTGCTCAGAGTGTGAAGACTCAGGCAGGTCCATCTACATGCATGCACATTTTGGTGGGTCTATGTGAGTATGTGAATGGTGCATGATAGCCATGCTTTGAAACACACCTGTGGCCAACACAGGCCACATTCCAGGCAGGGGCTTGTGGGTATTTCTGTGTTCAGAAATCTTGTTCATCTTTCTCTCATCTCTGAGAAACTCTATTTCACAACATTGCCCAACATTGCTGCTATGCAGGCGGCCGTCACCCTATATCTGACTCTTCCTAACTCACAAACAGAGGCTTGAACACAGCAGTTCTGAGTATGGGAGCAATGGGGATCACTGAGCCATGGGCCAGGCTCTCTGCTCAATTGCCTCAACCCTCTGCATATGACCAGGTACAAAGGCTGGGAGGGTGTTTGTCCAGGGAATCTTTCTAGCCTTTCTATAAAGAGGCAAGAATCATGCTATGAGCAGCTGCCAGGCAGTGTGTCCCTGAGCACTCACTGCTACATCTGTCTCTGCCCTGCCACCCACACAGCTGTCAGGATGAACTATCTCAAAAGCACACCTGACCCCTTCCACGTGACCCCCAGAGTGACTCCCCATTCCCCATCTCCAGATGGCTTGGCATGTCTCACACACCCTGACGTGTCTTGTCTAGGTCTTTGGAATGCTCCTTCCACCCACCCCAACTTCCAGCTCAGTGCTGGCCACTCACTCAGAGGACCACACTGGCCACCTCTGATGACTACCTGACTATCCAAATGACCAGGCACTCACAGCCCCAAACATGCCCTGTCTCCCTCTCCAGACTCTTCTCTCACACCTCCAGCCTCAGCCTCTGCACTTGAGTGGCTCCCACGACATGATACGATGCCTTAGCCCTCCACGCCCATGCTCATGCTGTGCCCTTCTGAGGGAGTGGGATTCCCCCCAGCCTCAACCGACTCAACTTCTACTTAGCCTTAAAGACACAGCTTCCAAGAATCCTCTCACCCACCCGGGCCTTCCTCCACTGCTCCTTTAAACCACGTAGCTCTGTCATGACATTATACTGGGTTTTCTCCCCTGCTAGACTGTAAAGTTCCTGTGGTCAGGCACCACATCCTAGCCATTGTGGAAGTGCAGACAGGAACATCCACTGGATGACCTGGTGGCTCCCTCTAGATGGCCTGGCAATGATCCGGCTGAGGTTGGTGGCTCCCTGTGGTTTCCAGTGCTATAACACTGGGGAGCCTGGTATAATGTTCCCCTGAACAGCTGGCACCCGCCTTCAGATTGTCTTGCAAAGTAGCTCTCCAGTTCTCCCTGTAAAACAGCTGAACGACAGCAGGGGGCGGCAGTCCTCTCCTGGAATACAACCCATGGTGCATCCGCTTGCCCAGCCCAAGCATGCATTAAGCGTGTCTTTTATTTATTTATTTATTTATTTATTTATTTATTTATTTATTTAGAGACAGGGTCTCACTCTGTCATCCCGGCTGAAGTGCAATGGTGCAACCTCGGCTCACTGCAACCTCTGCCTCCTGGGTTCAAGCAATTCTCGTGCCTCAGCCTCCCGAATAGCTGGGACCACCATGCCTGGTGAATCTTTGTATTTTTAGTAGAGATGGGGTTTCGCCATGTTGCCCAGGCTGGCCTTGAACTCCTAGCCTCAAGGGATCCACCCACCTCAGCCTCCCAAACTGTGGCACTACAGGTGTGAATCACCACATCCAGCCCAAAGCATACTTCTCTATGGTACACTGGTAGACTGAGGATCACGTGAGTTCTCAATACATTAACCTTCTGTCTACAAGTACAGCCCTGGCTGGTATTTACCCAAGCCTTTTGCTCAAAAGCCATCTTTACATCCCCAAGCATGAAGGTCTGCTCGTGACATATGAAGTAAATAATAACCTAGGAACAACCTTGTGGTACAGGAACTTAAGGGGTCAGTACAGATCTGATTATGATGTTCTGTATGGGATGGATGAGCCCCTCATTTCACTGCAGACTCTACTCTCAAAGTTGAATGGAGCCATGGATGTCCCCATTGGGAAGGTCACAGCTTGGAGCAGTAGCATCAGGCCTGGAGTCCTCGGACCACTGTCCAGAGATCTGCCTATATTTCTAGCTGCCTCTCTGAGGCTGAAGAATCTCAAAGGACACAGCATAGATGGGCAACAATTCCTGGATAAAAGATATAAACGTCATAGCCATTTGTGCTTGTTTGTGGTTGCATTTGAGATGACACCATTTTATTTTTGTTCCCCTAGCACCAAGCACATAGCAGGCCCTCTGCAATGTTTGTGAATGAAAACAAATATCTGGAAGTTATTTCATGCATGCACGTGCTTCCTTTCTCCACAGATATGTTGTAAGCATCTCAATGGCAAGAATTTTCTTGCCTATGTCTTTGGAATGCTCCTTCCACCCACTCCCACTTCCAGCTCAGTGCTGGCCAGGCATTTGAGGACCACACTGGCTACCCCTGATGACTACCTGACTATCCAAATGACCAGGCACTCACAGCCCCAAACATGCCATTCCCTTTTTCCCTTATGGTTTCCTTGTCCCACCCTGAGTGCAACACCATTTCTGGGGGGACTTCTGAAGCGCCAACTTTATTAAGATTGATTTGGCCCGCCCTCTCTTCTGACAGGTCCAAAAGCAAACACGGCAGGGCCATGGGGGAGATTTGGTCATAATTACCATCTTTAATTACTGCTAAAACATCAATTGCTCTTGTTCAATTAGCAGTGCGGTTTCAGGCATGGCAAACTTTGCAACACAAAATAAGCTGAAAATTGATTTCTGAACACTTAATGCAGATCTGAAATTGCCAACCTGATAAGGTTGTCATAGAAGAGCCAACGTGGCCAAGGAGGAATGTTGCGAGGCTGTAATTGCCTTGGTAGAAAGATTAATAACTGGTATACTTACATCTTGTTCATCAAGTGGGAGTCACTCATGGGGGGCTCCAGGAGTGCTGGGTGGGTGTGAGGCACAAAGGCAGAGGGAGGGTGTTAACAAGGACACTGGCAATTAGGCAGGAGAGAGCAGCAGCCTGCACCCAATGGTCCGTGAACAAGGACATGGCCTCTGGGATGGCACGTGGGAGGGGCCAGCTGCCTGGGATGGCTGCCAGGGAGAGCCGACCTCTGCAAAGCAGGCAGGTGCTGTCTCAGGCAGGTGGAGACAGGACGCCCAGGTCCTGGCCACCTCCACGTTTTCTGCAAGTCCTGGAAAAGGACCCTCAAGGTCAAACACCTTTGAAAGCTCAATTGGCCTCTGGAAGAGTTTTCTCTATTCAGGCTTCCTGGCAAGAGAGAGTTGAATGTGATGGACAAGATGGGCAGCAGCTGGGCCCCGAGATGGCATGGCGGCTGCTGCCACTGCTCTCATCATCTCTTCCTGCCATGAGGTTCAGTGACTTTCTGAGTGCATATCATGGAATGGTAGGCTGAGAAGCATTTTATGAGCTACCAAGTGCTCCATGGAGTGTGCAATTGCTATTATGATTGTTGCTGTTACCCTGGGCCCATGGGTGATGTAGGGACACAGGTCAAAAATCTCAATAGCCTTGGAAAAATTCCTTCTCTCTCTGAACCCTGTCATTTAAGCTTAGGGAAATGAAGAGAATATTCCATTTGCAGCTTGTAAAACTAACATCTACCAAGCACTGGTATGTGCCAGGAACAGGGCAAGACACTGATAGATGCATAGATAGACAGATAGATCGGTGATAGATAGAAGATAGGGGCCAGGTATGGTGGCTCACATCTGTAATCCCAGCACTTTGGGAGGCAGAGGCAGGTGGATCACTTGTGGCCTGGAGTTCAAGCCCAGCCTGTCCAACATAGCAAAATCCTGTCTCTACTAAAAATAACAATAAATAAATACAAAAATTAGCCAGGCATGGGGGCATGCACCTATAGTCCCAGCTACTCAGGAGGCTGAGGCACAAGATCCAGTTGAACCCAGGAAGCGGAGGCTGCAGTGAGCCAAGATCACGTCACTGCACTCCAGCCTGGGTGACAGAGTGAGATTCTGTCTCAAAAAAAAAAAAAAAAAAATAGGTAGGTAGGTAGATAATAGATAAATAGATAGAATGATTGAAGGATAGATGATAGATAAAGATAGATTACAGATAGGTAATAGATGAATGAATGATAGATGGAGAGATAGAAAAATACATAGATAGGTAGAGACGATAGAAAGAGAGAGAAAGGCAGATGGGTGGGAAGACAGAAAGAGAACTGCATTTAATCCTCTCAACATGACTACAGGGTAGATGTTATTATTCTAATTTGACATATGAGGAAAATAGGACTCAGCAAGGTTAAGCAGCTTACCCCAAAGTCACATACCTGCTAAGTGGCAGAGTCGTGATTCAAACCCATACCTCTTAGAGGTAAGAGACAATACACTTAGTCTCTGTTCTCTGCCCCGAAGCATGCTTTAAGCCTTCTTAGTGCCTTTCACTGAACTATGCTGGGCCTGGGGCAGTCATGACTAGGGATCAGAGATGTCCTTGTCCTGTAGAAATGAGACGCTGACCAACCAGCTGTGCTGTGTACACAGCCAACAAACACACCCAGCTGCACGTCAGGGGAGCAGCAAATCACTCTCAGAAGACATACTTGCTCATGCCAGGCTTAGCAGGAGCCAGATTGCAACCAGGTGCCTCTCTTTTGTTTTCTCCTTAGGGTACAGGTCCATGGCCCTATAGATCCAAAATACAACTCAATTCAACCAAAGTTTATTGGGTACCTTCTTGTCCAGCCTAAGCTCAGAGAGACTGACTCTCTAACAGAGGGATATAAACAGGGTTGATTCTATCAGTGAGCCTCGCAGAACAGATGACCCAGGCACAGCATGCAAGGCGGAGGGAGGAGTGAGAAAAGGCTGTACAGAGGGGTGAAGTCTGAGTGGGCTTTACAGCCGGCCAGGAGCCAGCCACAGGGCCATCCTCACAGAAGAGAAGTGGTGCGAAGAGGCACGGTCTGTCCAGGGAAATGTGATTTGCCGGATATCTCTGGAGCTTAATGCATGAGGTTGGGTTTGGGGTGTCAGTGAGAAATGTGGCCAGAGAGGTGGCAGGGCCCAGATGATGAAAAGGCCTGCAGACCACACTGGGCTTTATCTCATAGTGGGGAAGAGCAGGGGTCAGCTTTGCACTTTGGAAAGCTCACTCTGGCTGAAGGGGGAAAGAGGGCATATTAGCTTGGTTGGGCTGGGCTGCTATAACAAAGGACTACAGACTGGGCGGCTTAAAGAACAAAAATTTACTTTCTCATAGTTCTGAAGGCCAGAAGTCTGATATCAAGGCATCAACGTGGTTGGTGTCATCCTTTTTTTTGTTGTTTTTTTGAAACAGAGTCTCACTCTGTCACCCAGGCTGCAGTGCAGTGGTGTGATCTCAGCTCACTGCAACCTCCGCCTCCCAGATTCAAGCAATTCTCTTGCCTCGACCTCCTGAGTAGCTGGGATTACAGGCGTCTGCCACCATGCCCAGATAATATTTTTGTACTTTTTTAGTAGAGACAGGGTTTCGCCATGTTGGCCGGTTCGAACTCCTGATTTCAAGTGATCCACCCGCCTCAGCCTCCCAAACAGCTGGGATTGCAGGCAAGAGCCATGGCGCCCAGTCTTGGTTGGTTTCTTCTGAGGCCTCTCTCCTTGGCTTGGAGATGGCCGTCTTCTCACTTTGCCTTCATGTGGTCTTCCCTCTGTACATGTCTGTGACTTAATTCCCTCTACTTATAAGGACGCCAGTCATATTGGACTAGGTGCCATCCATCGGGCCTCCTTTAACTTAATCACCTCTATAAAGACCCTATCCCCAAATACAGTTGCATTCTGAGGTGCAAATGTTCATTTAAAATACAGCAAAACAAGCAAACATGAATTTGGGTGGGAGGGACACAGTTTAGCCTGTAGCGGAGGGACTACAGGTAACAATGCAGCTCTTTCTAAAACTCTCATTTTGTCATGTCACTTCTCTCCAGTTTCCCATATGCTCAACAGCCTATGACCTTAAGTCCAAACTCCTCAGCACTGAATTCAAGGTCTTCCATGGGCTGAATTTGAATTGTATGGGAGGTCAGCCCATGGAAGACCTCGAATTCATGGGAGCCCCCAAACCAACCCAAACTCCCCAAACTCAGTTTTGACTCCAAGTCATTGCCTGGACTCTTTTTGCCTAAACAAACCCCGTTACCCATAGCCCCCTGCTAAGAAGACACTCTAAAACTGCTATATTCTCTAGTGTTATGGAAGACCCCTCATCTACAGCTATTTGACCAGTGGAAGAAATCTGGTCCAAGCACTGCCCAGGGTCTACGAGGGCAAAAGGTTCTATACACGTAAAGAAGATTAGTATTAGTTAGATAAACCAAACTGTCTCAGAAGTTTGAATAGTAAATATGGGAAGAGCACCAGTCAGTTGTTTGCAAAAGTAAAGACTAAAAAGACACATAGAGCTAGGCATTGAGGTAACAGTGTTTTTATTGTAGTTTGGGTAAGAAGAATTTTGAGAAATTGGTGTTTCTACCAAAAGAAAAATACTTCTCTTGTAAATCACCTAAAAGCAACAAGGAGACCAAGAAACAACTTCTATCTCAGACAAAGCTAGCAAAGATCTATAAACCCAGGCTACAATACATGGGGAAGTTCAGTGAAGTTCAGCTGGGGCACAGAAAGATGCTAGGAGAAGATAGCTGTGGCACAGAGTTCAGGTAAAGCTGGCCACACACGGCCCTCCAAGGTAAGTGCCGTACCCCAGGGTCAAAAAAGTAACATTCGCTTGTTAGGAATAATGAGAAAAGGCATGTGGGCTGGCAGTGGGAGCCTTCTTGAACTTGTTTTCATATAAAGTAGAAACAGAGAAGGTGAGGCGGAATGTTGAGTCATACAGAAAGTCACATCTGCAGGAAGCAGCCAACCCATGAAGTGGGATAGAGGAGAGAGGCTCTGCATCATGAGCTCGTCTGTAACTGTCATTGCCAGTTGGCCAAGGAGAAGCAAGGCTTAAAAGACCTTACTCACACCAATGTCCCTATAGGAGAATTCCTGGTAGCCTAGAATAAGGACATGTCCCAGCCCCCTTCCTCCAGAACTTCATGCAAACATCTGGCCCAGGAAGAAGGCATTTCAGTCAAAGATGAATTCATGATCAAAACGAACTATAGGATCTATACAATAAAGATATTACAAAAAAAAAGGAGAGACAGATGAAAATAAATCATAGATGAATACCCACCAGAAAAATGGTGTCATGGAGAAGATGAACAAACATCACCAAGGAAAATTTTAAAACCCAATGAAGCAATTATCTCCATAAACCACAAGGGCAAAAAAGAGGTACAAGTGGTATAAGTATTCATGGCCAGGCATGGTGGCTCATGCCTATAATCCCAGCACTTTGGGAGGGCGAGGTGGTAGGATCACTTGAGCCCAGGAGTTCAAGGCCAGCCTGGGCAATATAGCAAGATCACATCTCATTTACAAAAAGAAAAAAAATATGGCAAAACAAGCAAGTGATATAAATCATGAAATGCTATTGTTCAGAAAAATAAGTAGAAGAAAAATGTAAAACCAACTGAGACACCGCTGACAGCATAGGAAGGAATATAGAGGACAAAACTGAAAAAAGCAAGAGAAATTAGTAGAAATGAACAAGTTAAAAAAAGCATGAAAGATAAAATGATAGGCATGAAAGACAAACAAACATATATACAATTCACATCCCTGTGAAGAGAACAGATATTTAAAAATATGACTTGTAAGAACTCTCCAAAAATAAAAAAGAACTGAATCTACAGATTGAAAGGGCCTATTGTATTCCAGGAAAATCATGGGATGGAATAATCAAATCTAGTAAAAGATACTGGACTTCAAAGACAAAGAAGCCTTTGGAGCATCCAGCCCAAAAGATCAAGTTGCCTTTAAGTGAAAGAAAAAACCAAGGTAACCTCAGATGTCTCCATATTATTTAATGCAAAGAAATAAAAAGTGTAATCTAAGAATGCTGTATCCAGGCAAACTATCAATTAAGTATAAAGGCAGCATTAATGAATGTGCAAAAACATAAAACACTCATCTCATGAGCTTGAAGAAAGAAGAGAATAATTTCAAGGTCATCAAAAGATGAATGGAAGGCCAGTCGTGGTGGCTCACACCTGTAATTCCAGCACTTTGGGAGGCTGAGGTGGGTGAATCGCCTGAGGTCAGGAGTTCAAGACCAGCCTCACCAACACGGTGAACCCCTCTCTACTAAATACAAAAAAATTAGCCAGGCATGATGGCACATGCCTGTAATCCCAGCTACTTGGGAGGCTGGGGCAGGAGAATCGCTTGAACCCAGGAGGCGGAGGTTGCAGTGAGCCGAGATTGAGCCATTGCACTCCAGCCTGGACAACAGGAATGAAACTCTGAATAAAAAAAAAAAAAAAAAAAAAAAAAAAAAAAAAAAAAAAAAAGATGAATGGAAGAAACTACAACAAAAGAAATGAGGATGACATTGAATCCATATAACTGAGAGTAAGACCAAGACTAAAGTCATGCGGAGATTATACTTACAGAACCAAATGTAAAGGTTAGAAACCTCAATAGGCCGAGCGCCGGGGGCTTACGCCTGTAATCCCAGCACTTTGGGAGGCCAAAGCGGGCAGATCACGAGGTCAGGAGATTGAGACCATCCTAGCTAACACGGTGAAACCCCATTACTACTAAAAATACAAAAAATTAGCCAGGCCTGGTGGTACATGTCTGTAGTCCCAGCTACTTGGGAGTCTGAGGCAGGAGAATCGCTTGAACCCATGAGACGGAGGTTGCAGTGAGCTGAGATCGTGCCACTGCACTCCAGCCTGGGCGACAGAGTGAGCCTCCATCTCAGAAAAAATAAATAAATAAATAAATAAGAACCCTCAATAATGTAAAAATTCTGTAACTCACAAAATTTGAATGGGAGAAGAAAAGAGGAGGTAGAAAGTAGTATCAATGTGCTGATAACTTTTCTGTTTATAGCTGTTAAAGAGCTCACTTAAAGCTAATAAATTGATAGACATACATGTGTATTTAGAGATATAAAAGGGAAACTTTAAGAAAAATGGCAATAATATAAGCTAAAAGTGGTGGTGGGGAGATTAGAGTAAGTAGAAATACCGTAATTCATTCTCATAGAAAGTAGTCAACAGATATTGAGGGAAAAGATATATTTATATCTTTATATAGATAGATGTGGATATAAATATAGAGATAGATATCATAACCACTGGGGAGGGGGAATGCAAGCCTTCCAAATTATTAGAAGAAATACATACATAAAAATCAACCAAATAAAAACAGAATATGAGGTAAAAGATCACCAAAAAAAAAAAAAAAAAAAAAAGCAGCAGTAAAACCGGAAAGTGTAACATAAAACTTGATTTAAAAGAAAAAATAGCTAAGACCAGGCATCTCTGTCATATTAATTTATGTGAATGGAATCATTTTACCTACTAAAAATATTTGCTCTCAGACTAGATCAGAAAATAAAGCCCACATTTCTATATTTTACAACACAATTACTTAAGTTGACAACAGAAGACTGGGCAAAGATACAACATGCAAACACAAAAAGAAAGCAAGGAGCCAATTTTAGTAGCTGACAAGATGGAACTTGGGGGAGGAAGTGAGGATGCAGAGGAGCATTAAATTAGAAGAATGAAAACTTGATAATGATGAGTGCCATCTCCAATGAGCATCTAACAGTCAAGAATATGTATTCTTCAAATACCATCACATCAACTTCCTTAAAGTAAAACCAAAGGAATTAAAAGAATTAGAAGCACATAAGTAGTCAGAGGTTACTGTTGACCACCCAGTCCATGACAGAAGAAGTAAACACAAAATAAAGATACAGAGGAGCAAATAATCTAATTCATTAGGTCATTCTGACATATATTCAGCTCAATACCCTGAAAACAGAAAATTTAAACACTGAAAATCTTTAGCTGAAAAGACAACCTCGATAAACTCTGGAAAGTAGAAACTATACAAATAATACTCTGGGATTATAATGTAATAAAATTAGAATTTTAAAGTAAAATCATTTTCACTCAGAAATTTTTATTTTTTCTCTCAAATAGTACTTGGAACAAAGAGGCGGTCAAAACTAAAGTTGAAAAATACCTTTAAAATAATCCTAATGAAAATATTTATGTCAGAAGAGTAAAAATAAAAATAAGCATGAAGTAAATGAAAATAATTAAGCATCCAACTCGAGAAGTTAGAGAAACAGACAACGAAGTCAAGCTAAGGAAAGCAGAAAGAAGGCATTATTTGAAAGCAAAATAAAATGAATTAAAGAACTGAAGAATATATGAATCCCAAAGCTGATTCTATTTTTTAAAACTAATAAAATAGATAAATCATTAGGTAACCTTATCAAGCTAAATACAGAAAACAGAAACAACCCAAATAAATAATTTTAATGAAAAAGTAACCATAGAAACTGATAACATTTAAAACATAACGTGACATTACTTTGCTTACTTATATGCAAAATAATTTGAGAACCTGGATAAAAGGAAATATTTACAGAAAAATGTAAATTGCCAAAACTATAGCAAAGTTAAACAATCTAACAGATTAATTTCTATGGAAAACTAAGGACAATCATCCTGATGCTGTGTAAGCTCCTTCAGAGTACACAAAGAGAAAAAAAACTTATGGCTGAGGGTGGTGGCTTACGCCTGTAATCCCAGCACTTTGGGAGGCCAAGATGGGCAGATCACCTGAGGTCAGGAGTTCGAGACCAGCCTGGCCAACATGGTGAAACCCCATCTCTACTAAAAATACAAAAATTAGCCAGGCGTGGTGGCAGGCACTTGTAATCCCAGCTACTCAGGAGGCTTGGGCAGGAGAATTGCTTGAACCTGGGAGGCAGAGGTTGCAGTGAGCCAAGATTGTGCCACTGCACTCCAGCCTGGACAACAGGAGCGAATGTCCATCTCAAAAAAAAAAAAAAAAAGAAAGAAAGAAAAAAACTTACAATTATTTTGTATGAAACAGCATAACAGTGACATCAAAAAGTGACAAAGCACAAAAAGCACACACTTCATAAGTGTGATATCATAATATCACAAGAACAAAAAACTAAGATATTAGAAAACAGAAATCAGTGGCACATTTAAAAAAATGGCCAAATAGACTATTCTAGGAATTCAAGAATGATTGCATACTGAAAAAATATTTTGTAAATTCAGTTTATTAATAGATCAAGAAAGAAAGACCGCATAGATTATCCTCATAGATGCTGGAAAAACACTTGAAAAATTCACACCCATGCTTGATTTTGTTAGGCCTCATAAAATAGTAATGAATGGATACTTCCTTAATATGATAAAAGATTTTGGGAAGCCAAGCCAGGAGGATCACTTGAGCCCCAGAGTTGAAGTTCAGCCTCAGCAACATAGTGAGACCCTGTCTCTACAAAAATAAAAAAAAAAAAAACAATAAAAATATAGTAAAATTAAAATATGATAAAAGATAAGTTTGTGCAATAATCACAATAATGTTTAATGGGGAAACATTGTGAACATTCTCATTAAAGCCAGAAACAAGGTCAGGATGTACAAAACTGCCACTATTATTTAACATTGTTCCAGTGGTTTGAAAATCGGAAAGGAGAAGGTAAAAATTTTCATCATTTTAAGGTGACATGATTGCTTACTTGGAGAAGTCAAGATAATCAACTAAAAAAGTTACAAACAATAAGAACGTTTATTAAGTTGGCTGGTTATAAAATTAACATACTGAAATATATATATAAACAACAAGCAGTTAGAAGACATAGAGGAAGAAAAAGATACATTTAGAATAGCGACAGAAGCAGGAAAGATAACATAAGATCAAGCCAAGAAACACAGAAAACCTACGAGGGAAAAAAACTGAAAACACAACTAAGCACCAATAGAACACTTGCCTATGAAGATTCAACATCAAAAATATATCAAACTCCCCTTATGTTAGTATATAGATTTTATGTAGTACTGCCTCCCAAATACCAACAAGAGTATGATTTTTAAAAAATTTTATTTGTTTTTGTTTGCTTGGATGTTTGGGGAAGAGAACTAAAAAGATGATTCTGAAATAAATGATAACCTCTAGAAGTAAATAAGCAAGAATTACTAGAAAAATATTTTTGAAGAAAATTAACAGTTGGTAGAATCAAGACTAGTCTTACCAGATAGTAAAGCATATTATAAAGTGACAGAGCTATATTTAAAACACTACATGACATGATTGGAGGAACAAACTGATGAAACAGAAGAGACCTGAAGACACATAGTTTCAAAAGAGTAGAAGACAGAATTTTTTCATAAATAGCATTCAGACAAGTGGGTAGCCATCTGAGGGGAAGGCACAAACGTAAAGTTGGATCCCTGCCACACAATTTATACCAAAATCAACTTAAGAATCAAAGATATACATTTTTATAAAAATAAAACCATAAAATTCTAGAAAAATGAGATCACTTTACAAATATAACGTTGGAATGAGGTAGACCTTTCTGATTCTGATCCAAAACCCAGAGCCAGGAAAAAAAAAAAAAGTGTATTAGTTTGCCCACATGAAAATCGAATTTGCCTAGTTGGGGGCTGATGGATGAGGTGGTCAAAAGCATAAATAAAACCAAAAAAGAAATGACAAAATAGAAGAATATCTTTTGAAAACTGTATCACAAAGAGTTAATTTTTCTCAAAGAAGAAACAACATCTATAAATCAATGAGAGACTGGACAAAGGGTACAAACAGACCTTCACCTAAAAGGAGATTGCTCTTCAACACGAGAAGAGATGCTGGACATCTCCTGTAATAAGACAAATGTGAACATTATGACACCACTTTACACCTAACAGACGATCAAGAGTCAGTAAGTTCAATACTCCTCTGTAGGCAAAAGTATGGAGACCCAGGATTTCTTTTTGCTGGTGGGCATGTGATTTGATATGACTTCCATGGGGTTATTACTTACTAGCTGGATATTAGACCCTGGACAAGTTTCTTACCCTGAGTCTCAATAGCACTATCTCTTAGGATTGTTCTCAGAATTAGAAAGAATGAGCTATGTAAACTAGCATAGGAGAAACGGATGCTCCTCACAGTGTGGTCAAGCACCACGACCCTTGTTGACTCCAACAGAATGTTCTATCCACAGCCAAGGTTGTTCAGAGGCTCTGCTCTCTGGGAAGAGACCTTTCTTCCTCTGCAAGCTGGAGAAGGAAACTGCTATATCTCAGAGACCCACCTATGCCTCAGAGGGACAGAAACCCAGCACCCTGACATCCAGGCAAGACCAGGCTTAGCCCTCCCAGCAAGCCTCAGCCCAGTCTGGCCCACTGGTGGGGTGAAGAGGAGAGTGCAGGGGCTTGAACCTCATAGCTACATGCAGTGGGCACACCTGCAAACCAGGAGCAAAGCAGCCCACCTGCTGCAGGGTGAGGAGCTGACGCCCCCTCCCTGGCCCAGATGCCCAACTGCTTAGCTCCAGCCCCAGCCCCAGCCCCAGCCCCACCCCAGCCCCATGAAACAGGGGCTGGCTGAACTCACCGGTGCCCTCCCAGGTGCCCAGGTGGGGGATTGCAGGGAATCAGCCAGGGAAAGAAATTCTGGGCAACTTAATTCTAGCTAAGCTGATACAGCACAAAATCACCGAGGCCATCTTTTGACAGCATTGTTCAGATAAGAACTTTCTCTCGTCTTCTCTCCCCTCCTGGTACTCAAGCACCAAAGTGGTGAGCGAGAGCCTGTGGTAGCCAGGAGGTGGTGAACTAGAAAACAAAAAGACACCAAGCTCATCTTCCCCCCAAGGCAGACAGCTGGACCCCCCTACTTCAATATTAAACTAGAAATGAGGTGTTAGTCACAGTACAGACCAACAGAAAATATAAAGTATCTTAAATTAACCTACTTAAACATGCAAAGAACCTTTATGAAGAAAAATTACACACTATCAAACGGTAAAACAGAAGACCCAAATTAATAGAGAAAGTTATCCCCAAATTAATCTATACACTCAATACAATTTCAAACAAAATTCCAGCAGGACTTCTAAAATGAGTTTTTTGTTTATTACGAATGAATCTGAATATTTTTCCTGTATGTTAGTTATTTAGTTATTCCATTTCCTCCTTGGGGAATTACCTATTCATCTGACTGCTTTTTTCTGAAGAGCATTACTGGGTTTTCTTGATTTGATGAATGCTTTATTTATTAAAGATACAGAATTCTTCATGTCATGTTTATTGAAAAAAAAAAGTCTCCAAGTTTATTGATTGCCCTTAAATCCTGCCTATACTGTTTGGACATTTAGAAGTTTTACCTTTTTATGTAGTTAAGCCTGTCCAGGCTGGGTGTACTGGCTCACATCTATAATCCCAACACTTTGGGAGGCCACAGTGGGAGGATCACTTGAGCCCGGGAGTTCAAGACCAGCCTGGGCAACATAGGAGGACCCCATCTCTACAAAAAAATTAAAAATTAGCTGGGCATGGTGGTGCATGCCTGTAGTCCCAGCTACTCGGGAGGCCAAAGTGGGAGGACCACTTAAGCCTGGGAGGTTGAGACTGCTGTGAGCCGTGATCACACCAGTGTGATCTCAGGACACAGTGGGAAGCGTGGCTGGGGCTGCACACTCCATAGAGCCAGTGGGAGCCCTGCCCCTTCTGAGTTGGAACAGGAGCTGCCTACACCACTGCAGCCTCCAAAACCACACCTGCAGACCCAGGCCTCCTGCTCTATGGAGTAGGCAGGAGCCCCACCCTTCTGAGCAGGGCTACAGACACCCAAACTGCAGCTGTGGATCGGAGCCTCCCTGTGCTCTTTGGGGAGAGCCACAAGCAGGCAAGATTTGCCTTCCCATGTTCCCAGGCACAGGAGCCAGGTGTCTCTGCAGCCTGCACCCTCGGGGGCCCCAGGAAGGACCTCTACACCCCCCACAACGCCCCATCCCTGTAGGTTCGGGGATGTTTGCTCCCACTGCCTGACCTCTTTCTGCTCCTGGGACCTGCTCCAATCTGGGAGTGGGGGCACCCCCGGGGCCATGAATGACAGCAGGTGGCAGATTGATTCCCGGATGGAAGAGAATGAGTCCCCAGTAAGGCCCCACCTTCAGGCCAGTAAGGGCCTGAAGGCTGAGGGCCAGGCTGCCAGTCCTGCCACCAGTGTGGGGGACTTGTGATACCTTTTCCAGGCAGTCCATGGCCGCCCATGGACCAATCAGCAATCACTCCCTCCCCTCTGAGGTCCATAAAAGCCATGGGCTCAGCCAGAGCAGAGCAGAGGACGACCAGAGGATGAAGAGGGCAGAGAGAGAATGGGAAGACCAGCTGCAGAGACGACCTGCCTGCAGAGAGGAGCTACCCTCTCCACTGAGAGCTTCAGAGATCTGTAGAAATGTCTGAAGGACCTGTCTGCAGAGAGGAGCTATCGTCTCTAGGGCCTCCTCTCTGCAGACAGCCGAACACTCCACTGGATGACCTCACTATAGAGAGGAGCTACTCACTCCTCTGAGCTGTTCTAACACTAAATAAAATTCTTCTTCTTCACCCTTCACTTCTCTACATAACTCATTCTTCCTGGACACAGGACAAGAACTTGGGCAGCTGGCACCACAGCCACAGAGGTACCTGGCCAGAAAAATCGACACCCCAGAGATCCTATAACAACTGTACTCCAGCCTGGGTGGCAGAGCAAGACTCTGTCTCAAAAGAAAAAAAAAAAGCCCGTCCGTTCTCTTGTATATGATTTCTACCGTTACTTTTAAGATTAGAAATGGGCTAGGGTTGGGCGCAGTGGCTCACACCTGTACTTCCGGCACTTTGGGAGGCAGAGGCAGGTAGATCACCTGAGGCCAGGTGTTCAAGACCGGCCTGACCAACATGGCGAAACCCCATCTCAACTAAAAATACAAAAATTAGCTGGGCATGCTGGCACATGCCTGTAGGCCCTGCTACTCAGGAGGTTGAAGCAGGAGAACTTCTTGAACCCGGGAGGCAGAAGTTGCAGTGAGCCAAGGTCACACCACTGCACTCCAGCCTGGGTTACAGAGCGATATTCCATCTCAAAAAAAAAAAAAAAAAAAAAATTTAAAAAAGAAAAGAAAAAAAAACAAATGGGTTAGATATTTATTCTATTTTTTCTATGACTTCATTTTTAGGTACATAAAATTGTGTAACTAAAATACATAGTTTGCACGTGTCATTCCTTTTAAAGTTAACTTCTTTATCCATATGAAGTGTATTCTTTTATATGTTATCTGAATGTATGTCTTCCTTCCCCTCTCCCCACCCCTAATAGCTAAGTAATTTTTCCCTGCATCTTTTATTTGTAACAAAGTGGGTAATTTTGTATTATTTTAACAGCTGGCATCAGAATTCCTCTTAGGGAAGAACTGTCACTGTTTGGAAAGTTCTCTTGATAAATGTGGGATAAAAGGTGAAGCCCACCCACTCACCCACCCCATCTCCACCCCACCAAAAGCACCAAACTTTGGATGAAGGGGAAGAGCTCCCTGCAAGAGACCTAGGAGGAATTTATCGTTCACATGAAAGGAAGTGTGAGAGGGAATCAAAATCAAGAAGGGAAGACGGGGAACATGAGCCAGAAAAGCAGTAGGAGGCTGGAATAAATCAACGGCAGTGAAGACATTGGGGATGTGGCACCTCATATGTACTTTAAAAGGTAATGCTTGTTGTGAAGACGAAATCTCTCTGTATTTCAGCAATATAAACCCCTCCCACCTCTGTCACACTCTTGCTCAAAACTGCTTGGGTGGGTGGATTTTTTTCAGCTGGAATTTCTTAGAAGATTGACAAAATGGAAGAAAAAAGTCACAAAGAAGTAATTTTTTAAAGAAGAACAAGGAAGAGTGATGTTCCCTCTCAGCTAATAGTACAAACCATGGCAATTGTTTCAGTCAGGACAGGCTAGATGGTGCAGAAACAAAAACCTCCAAGCACAATCATTTCAAAAAGCAAAGATTTGTTCCTTGCTCTTGTTGCACGTCCACAGTGGGTTGCCTGAAGGATCTGCTCTGCTTCTCCTCACTCCACAATCCAGGCCGACGGCACCTGCCCGACCTGGAGCATGGAGTTTGTCACAGCAGGGGAAGGGGACATGGAGAATTACACACTGGCTATAAAAGCTTCCTCCCAGAAGCGATATGTGTCACAGGCTCACATTTCATTGTCCAAATCAAGTCACATAGTTACATCTAACTCCAAGTGAACAGGAAAGTGCAAACCTACCATTTTCCTGAAAGACAGAAGAATTAAACTGTTTGTAAACCGTTCTAATAACTACCACAGTAATTTTTTTAAAAGAAAACTACAGAATGATCACAGGAACTGTGAACTGACAAACCAATAGAACAGAAGAGAGAACCTAGGACTAAAACATACAGGTGATGTGTGTGTGTGTGTGTGTGTGTGTGTGTGTGTGTGTGTGTTTAGATCAAGTATATGACATAGGTGAAATCACAAAGCCCTGGAGGAAAAGGCTTTGCTTAGTGTGTAGTGTTGAGAAGACTGGCTTAACATATAAATAAAATTAAAAACTTTACATCTCTCTTTCTGTTATATAAAAACCTAAACTAACCCCAGAAGATGAAGACCCTAAATGTGATATGTAAAACTCTAAAGCTAATGGAGGAAAAAGTAAAAAGAATATCTTTGTGACCTTGGTGTGGGAAGATTTCTATAATAAGACCCCAAGAGGTACAAACCATAAGGCAAAAAAGAAATAATGCATTTGACTAGAATAAAACTGAGGATTTCTGTTCACTGAAGGGTACTATAGAGTTAACAGTACTATAGAGAGGCAGGTGACCAACTAGGAAAAATTATTGCAACAACTAAGACAAAGAATATGTGCATAGCTAGCATATGTTAGGAACTCCTTCAAATCTACAAGAAATAGACAACTGAGGAATGGCAAAAGTATGACCAGACAATTCGCATATGGTAAAATCTGAAAAAGTCCTTCCCTACAACAGGTATGTGAAGAGATATACAACCACATAGTAATCAAGTAAATGTTAAAAACCAGTGAAGTACCCCTTTAAACCCATCAGCCTGGCAACAGTTAGAAAGCCAGATCACACTAAGTGTTGGAAAAAAATGTGGGGAAACAGGCACAGGGAGTTGGGGGCTGGGAGAGTCCACTGAAAGGGCTGTTGGCAGTTCTAAGGGAAACTGAGCACAGCCCAGCAAGCCCTCTCCTGGGGACAAACCTCAAATAAACTTCCACGAGATTCATAAAAGAACATGCTTAAAATTGTTCATCACTGCCAGGAATTTGAGGCAACTTGGGTGTCTGTCAGAACTGAGAGGAATCGAAAGCAGTATTTAGTGGGTGCATAGGCTGAAATACTATATAGCAAGCCAGAAGCAGTGAAATAGATGTCTGTACAGCAGCATGAATTAGTACTTAAAATAGGGTGGAGTGAAAAAGGTAAGAAACAGACCAAAATATATATACATGTATACACGTCTGTTTCTTACAAGAGATGGAGATGGAGATGGAGTTGGAGTTAGGGGTGGGAGTGAAATGGAGAGAAATAATGAAACAAAATAAAACAAATAGGGACCTTCATAGAGGAACGATGACAGTTTCCAAGTACTACCAGGAATGATTAGCTCAATTCTATGCACCTGCTGTCCAATAAGCAGAAGGAAAAAGAATACAACCCCTCAGAACCACTGGGCCACCTGAGTCTCCATTCTACTCCTATTCCATTGGCTAAAACAGCTTCTCGTACTTTTGCCTACAGATTCCTGGGCCCTACTCCCAGAGATTCCAATTCAGTGGGTCTGACATGGAGCCTGAGACTTTGCGCTCCTAGCAAGCTCCCGGCAATACTGATGCTGCTGTCCTCAGAACAATACCTTAACCAGCACAGAACTAGACCTCAGTCACAAAATCATACCTCACTGCAAGGGAGACTGGGACACGTAGTCTGATCTGTCCCAGGAAGAAGAAAGGTTTTGACACAACTAGCCAATGTCGGCCACACTGTCACATCCCCACTTTCCGAGAGGCTTCCATCCCTGACACTGTCTCCTTCCACATGACCGTATCCCTCTTCCCTACTAGATTATAAACTACACAAGGACAGGAATCAGTTGTGCTCCCTCTGCCTGGCCTAATGCCTAGCATATAGTAGAGACTCAGTAAATATGTGTTGATGCCAGGCTGAACATTTAAAGCTCTTGAGTAAGAAGGTGCTGATAAGAATCAGAGAGCCAGAAGAGGAATCTCCCCAGCAACAGGAAAGAGTGGCTCAGAAGGAGAGTAAAGGAAGCTTATGAAAAAGGAGGGTCTGGACTAGGAAGGCTGGAACGGGAAGGAAGGCTGCTGTCAGTCTCCCCACGTTGTGACATACTTAGTAAACTGAGTTACTTCCATCTACCACTCTCTCTGCCCCCGTCCCTTCCCCACGCCCGATCCTCTAGGTGGACAGAGCTCAGGAAGAGGAGGCAAGCAGTAGGACAGCAAGGGCAAGACCAACCGAGACTCCATAGACTCGCCTGGAATCGTTGGGAGATGTGATGGGGGAGGAATCATCTGAAATCAACACTCAGTCCTGGAGGTTCAGAGTGGATAACCAGGAATGGGTGAAGAACAAGTTGGATGCAAGCAAGGCCACACATGTGGGAGGAAGGGCAGGACTATATCTGGGGATGGGGGAAGGTCAGTTGACATTTGTCCCAGAAGCTCATTCTGCCCCTGCAACCTTCTTCTCTCTGTGCCTGGCCCTTGGTGCTTCTGCTTAAAGAAGAGAATGTGCAATAGGTGGAATGTTTGTGTTTCCCCACCCCAAGTTTCATATGTCGGAATTCCCAGGGGGATGGTATTAGGAATGGGGTCCTTGGGAGGCGATGAGGTCATGAGGGCTCCATCCTTACAAATGGGATTCGTTTCCTTATAAAAGAGACCCCAGAGAGCTAGCTAGCCCCTTTCACCATCTGAAGACACAGAAAGCAGAACCAGAAAGGGGCCCTTGTCAGACACTGAATCTGTCAGCATCTTGACCTTGCACTTTCTAGCCTCCAGAATTGTGAGAAATACAATTCTGTTCTTTAGACATCATCTCGCCTATGGTGTCCTGTGATACCAGCCTGAAGGAACTCAGACAGCATTAAACCAGGAGCCTGTTCTCATCGGGCCTGTGACCTTGGCCAAGTTACCATATCAACTTTGATCTTGGCCCCTATACCAATAAGGTGAAACCAAAAACCCTCTAAAACACATCTAAATGCTGAGATTCTAGGAGGTAATTTATACTTTCATGTAACTTATTTTGGTTCCTTTCCCTGATGTATTTTCCTCGTTAAGGGGTTGGGAGCCAGTAAGTTATTCTCATGGAGATAATTCATCTGTGGCAGCTCATGTGCAGGAAAGGTTACAAGGACCACAGTCCTCCCTCAATGATGTGGTCCGCTGGCCTGGGGAGGGTAGCTGTCTCCAGTCTATCCCAATCATACCTCCCTTTCCACAGTTCCCTGACAAGGGCTGTGACTCTCTCATGAAAGCCAAATTCTGCAAGAAAGCCAAATTCTCCCTGACACCGCAGCCTGGGCACAGAGGAGAGGACACAACTGAAACATGGCTCAATTTTCCAATTGCCACTGGGATTCAGGCCATAGAGAAAAGCCGTGCTTTATCATGCAGACCCTGGGGCCCGAGCGCCTGGACCTGGGGTGGAGGTGGGTCTGTGGTCTGTTCATCCTTCCATTCCCTCAGGGCTGCCGGCAACCAGGGCCCCCAGACTGAGGGATGGCGGAGCCCCCACTCCCGGGAGCCCCTATTCCCAACCCCAGACTGACCTCTCCCGGCCAGACCCCGCAAAGCAGTTTGGAAAGAGAAAGGGTGAGGCTGGCATCATTCTGTGCTCATTGTTTTTCTATCGCCTTCCTTTCAAAGAGAGGGAAGAAAGGGGACAAAGAGAAAATCAGAAGGAGTTCATTGGTCCTCCCACCCTCCAGCCTCCTGCCTCTCCCCCAGACTTCAGCTGCTGGCCTAAAATCACAAAGCCTTTTCGCTCAAAACCCAGAGAGAGAGGGGAAAAAAAAGAGGAAAGCAAAGGGAAGGGAAGGAGCAGCAGCGAATTTCAAAAGGAGGGCTAATTTGTGCAGGGCTGGACAGCTGCATTTGCATAATGAAATGTGCAGAGGATGTTTGGCTCATGTATTTTTTAGAAGGTTTAACTTTAATTTTATTTAGCCTGAGAAGGGCATGTCACTCAAACTCCGCTGGTCATTTATAAAAATATTTCAATTGTGTTTCCAAGGAGCTGTCTTTCTGGCCTAAGTGGCTGGTGTCGGAGGTTGTGAATGCTAATGCAGAGGTCGGGAGATCGGGAGATCGATGATGGGGAGGGAGAGAATGAGAGAGGAAAATGGGAGGGGTAGGGACACCAAGAAAGAGATGCCAACACAGAAGAAAGGATAAGGTGAGAGACAGATAAATGTGAAAGAGACAGGATTGTGGAGTGGGACAAAGGCCCCTGGCCTTCAAAAGAGGCAGGCCAGGTAAACATCCACCTCAGGAGAAAGGATGGGTGTTCCTAGTGGACCACACCTATCTCACACAGGTGGGCCCAGTTCTCGCAGCCCACAGGGTTTGGACCTTTTTTTTTTTTCCAAGACAAATATTCTATGACCAAACTGTCTTCCTTCCACCACGGGGCCGTGCGCGAGAAGCATTCTCTCCTATCTGTAACTCTGAATGCAGTGAAGGAGCTTAATTGTGGGCTGTTTGCGTTAGAGATCGGGAAGGGCGGGCTGAGCTTCCCTTTGCTGTGTACACTTCTTTCCTCCTGCCATTAAAGCAACAATTACCCTTCAACTCCCCTCCCTCATTTCCACCACAAACACTCCAGCCCCCTAAAGAAAACGTTCTTCAACTTTTAAGTCACGTTACAACATTGGCACACAGCAGAGAAGGCAGGGTAAGGAGGAATGGGAAGGGGCGGGAGCAGGATCTCCTCACCTCCCCGGCCTCCGCCGGCCTTGAAGTGCTTCAGAAAGACCCTAGACTCTCAGAGCCAAGCCAAGTCTCTGATGGACAGATTAGAAACTGAGGCCAGAGGAGGGAAGAAATTCCATGCCCCTGGTGGCCAGGACCTCCCAGGGTCCTGCTCTCCTGGCCAGAGCTCACAGATTCTCCTCCTCTCACTTATTCATCACCGAAAGCCTAGGCTCCCTCGGGTCCTTCTCTTGGTCCCCAAGGTCAGAAAAGAGATGAGCATCTGCTCCAGAAAATTCCACCACAGCAAAACTATTCAGATCTTGTAGGGTTCTCCCTGACGAGCTGTCCAATCTGAATTTTCAGCCCTGATTTCCATCTGTGGACACAGCCTGGGGCTCAGGCATTCTGCATCTGGGGACACCTCCGAAGGTCCCAGTCTTGGAGATCACAGTGCCGGATCCCAGCTATGGTGCTGAGGGCCACGCTAGGATGCCCCACAGGAAGTACCCCAATCCCCACTACAAAAATAAAAATAAAAATTACACACACAGCCAGGATAGCCTAGGGCTGATAGCCCAACTCCCAGATTTCATGGACTTGGCCTTGGGTGGGGATTGTGGGAGGACGGTTCATACACATGAGATGCAGCCTGCGAACGCAGGGGATTTGGAGCTGGGCCACTCTGGGTTCAAATTCGCTTGAGCTAATCACTGGAGAAAGTCACCTAACTTCTCCGACGCTCAGTTTCTTCCTCTGTAAAAAGCAGGAGAAGACCATCTACCTGTCACACTGTTGTGGGGTTTCAACATCATGCACTCTAATCGGCTAGGAACCTGATGGCAAGAGGGTTTGAACTGCTGTCTGTTGGGTACATGGATGGAGAGACCACACGGGAAAAGCCCCCAGTCCCGGGCACCTGAGGAGACAGGAACAGAGAAGGAGAGCAGAGCCAGAAGAATGCCTCCCCGACAAATAGCTACTGGTTTCTTATTATTTGGGTTGGCCCTTATTACTAAAAGTGCTTTGAGGAAGACTCTAGAATCAGAGACTGCTGGGAACCAATGGGGTAGCAACAATCTACTGCAAAACTCTCATTTGGAAGATAAGAAGACTAACACCCAGAGAAGGTGTGAATAGCCTCAGGTCATACAGCTGGTCTACACAGAACCAAGTCTTGAACACGCTCTCCAGGTTCCTGCCTTCCTCCCTCTCCCTTGAGCTAACAACACTGACAGCTTCTGGTGGGTAAAAGAGCCCACCACAACCTGTACCCTATCCAAGTCTCAGGAAAGGGCCTGAGTGGCTTGCAGCCCACCAGTTCCCAATGCACAGACAGAGGGGGCAGCTGAGACCAAACTGGGATGGGAGAAGAGCTAGGGGAGGGGCTGGCGCTGGCCACCGCAGCCCCATGGGAGGCGCCTGCATATGGCCAGCCAGGCTTGGCAGCCCGTGCGCGCTAATCCTGCTGTCAGCCAAGCTGGGCGCTGGATTAGGAAATGTCACGTTTCAAAGGAAATTATTTCCATTTTCTCCCCAGGAAGGGAAAAGGCAGAAAGACAAGCAAACTCCAGGGTCATGCATTGGGAGACCGGCCAGCATATGGGGGCCTTGGACAGGCAACTGTCCTCCTCCTCCTCCAGCCCCTCTGCAGATACCCAGAAGTGACAGCAACCACCTCACCCAGCTCATCTCACCCAAGGACAAATGGATGTCACAGTTTATCAAGGGAGGAAGGGGCATGTCACTGGCTCATCAGCCATGACCCACCTATGGTCTCTGCTTTCCCCACCCCGGTCATAGCCACAGTTTCCCACCTGCCCAAGCCCCCTCACTCAGCTGGCTCCTGGGCCAGGCCTCCTGGGATCAGCACATCTGCAAGAAGGGTCGCCTTTGACCTTCTGTGCGGGTGCCTGAAGCTCTGCCTGTGGCCCAGCCCTGAGACCCTGCCTCTTATCCAGGGCTCCACTCTGCAGGCAAAACAGAAAACCTCAAGACCCAGAGAGTGAAATAATTACCTTCTCCCTTCCTGGATTCCCCTCTCTCTATGACTTTTCTGCTTGTCTTTCTCCCCACTGCCTCATCTGAGACAATAATAAACACTTCTCATTCTCGCTGCCACCGGAAATGGTGGGGCTTCTTAATTACAAAAGTAATGTCACAATATTAGCAATTAATTAATTCTAATCTGGCCTGGAAGAGAGGTCGAGGATACAATCACCCCCTTATGCCTCTGGAGCCAAGGACCAACCCGACAGATATTGTGATTGAAATATATTCGTATGGAGTTATTAGATACTATCTGCAATCAATCCATTACCATAACCTTAAGCTTCCACGTTCTTTCATATTAAATGAATTTTCATATCGCACTTCCCAATAAGCGCTGCCTCAAGTCAACCCTTATTTATCTAATAACGTCATGCAAATATTTTATTATATTTCAATGAAATGTGTCGAAAACTATTACCTTGCTCTGGCTTTGGGGTGGGGAGGAAACGGTGCCGGGTGGGAGGTGGGGAGACTTCCCTCTGTGCCTGCTCTGTCAGAGGCAGCCCTCGTCCCCCAACACCCACGTTCCTCTGCCCGCACTCCAGACCCCAGAGCTTTCAGGGAAGGAAGTCTGCAAGAAGATGTTTTCCAGCCTTCTGTAGCCCCAGAACAAACTAAAGGCTTGCAGGCAAATCCAAGCCTGCAATGACAGAAGCCTCCCTAGCCCCAATAGCCCTCGTCCCTAGGATCAGGTCTGGCTTCATGGGTGTCTAACCTGGATAGTCACTCTGGGCACACACTCAGAGAGTGCTGCATTTTGTTTAATGGTCCACTATCACTGTACTGAAGTTCTTAACACTTCCTGAACAAGGGGCCCCGCATTTTCATTTTGCACTAGAGGAACGCACAGATTATGCAGCTGTTCCTGTCCAGGGTATTATACACTTCAATTCCACATGCACCTGTATGACATGGTGCACACCCCGGGCTGTTCACTCACAAGCTAACACCCACACATCTTTGTGATCAGAAGAGGCCCTTTCTGGTCGGGCCCTTTCTGCCTGTCCAGCTTCACTTCCTGACACAAACTCACCCAGAGAGTTCGCCGTCTTGCTGTGAGGACCCAGATGCCTGTGCCCTAAGGCTGTGCAGCAACAGGTTTATCCCGGGTCGTGAACCCCAGAGTCTGAATGACAACCCTGCCATCGCAGGTAACACAGTCACAAGGCCATCCCAAGCATGGGGACAGTCGGACCTGGTAACGGCACTGGAGTATCTGGCTCCAGCCCCTGTCCGTGTCTTCCAGAATCCAGCTTCTGCCCCACCGCAATCTCTTGCTGCCTCCACTGTGGCTGGCAGAGTTGGAGGTGAACCTGTCCCCACTGTTTACAACCTTTTTAACCTTACCAATCTTGAAAGGATCTCAGTGACCAAAGCTCCGAAATGACCATTTGGTTCTTCTAGCTTTAACGGTCACATCAGCCAAGAAATGTATTTTCCAAGGATTGGAGAGTCCTCAAAGCAAGCTTTCCAAGGTTTGGAGAGTCCTCAAAGCAAGCTTGTATCCCCATCTACCTCCATTCTCTGGTCTGCAGTCTTGCCATCTTCAAATTAGGAAAATAATGTCTTCCATGAAAATCTCTCTGAGTTTTGTAGTAATTAGATTAAATAGTGTAGGTTTACAAAGGGCTTTTTGCAGAGTTATTAAGTTTTGATTTTCTAGTTCCCAAGCAAGTGTGTCTAGCGAAAAATAGATCCTCAATGATCTGCTTTCTATGCTTTTCCCCAGGTTTGAGGCACCCTGGTTAAGCCTTCTTAGGCTTCACCTCCCAGCCCCAAAATAATCCTCTGTTGTCCTCATTACTTTATCAAAACTTGTATTCCTTGAGTCAGAAAGAAAAAGCAGGCTCTCGCAAACTCATCCACAGTAAGGTGGAACTGACTCATAATGGGGAGGAATAAACAGTTCCGATTAAGGAGTTGCTGGTCCATTCTGCCCTCGCTGCCTGGTGAGGACCAGATCTCCCCCTCTCCCCACTACTTCAGGATTGGAACACAGGAGCTGGATTTGGCTCCCCAAGCCAGCCAAGAATGTGAGTGTCCTTTCACTTCACTTCAGGGATTCCCTGCCAAACCAGCTTGCAGCAAGAGTTTCCCAAAATTAAGCTGCTTCTCTTTAGTCTCCCTTCTGCTTGAGCTTCTTGTGTGCCTTTCCTCTCACTCTCAGCTTACACGTTCCTACACATTTAATCTATGCCACAATTCTAAGAGGTACACATCATTATCCCATTTTGCAGATGAAGAAATTGAGGTCACACCCTTTGTGGTTAACTAAGTTAAGATTCTAACCCGGATCTGTCTGACCCAAAGCCTGGCCACTTCTCATGACTTCGGACAACTTAGTGCCCTGCCTCTCACCCAGGCATCTGCATTTTAAAAGAGCCCATTCATAAAGTAAAACCTTGACTCAGGAGTTCTGAAAGATCTTCATTCATTCATTTATTCATCCAACAAATATTCACAAAGTGTCAATGGTGTGCTGGACACGGTTCTAGGCACTAAACAAACTCGACATGAACCTGTGCCTCCGGGAGCTTGTGTTCCAGCCTTTAATGGCAGGTCCTCCAGTTGGCCCAGAGGCTGTGCTGGGCCTGGCTCTGAGCCCCGAGTGGCCACCACTTGGCATCTAAGCAGCTATGTCAGGAACCAAAGAGAAAGAAGCCAGGCTGGGAGGCAGTCCACCTCCCAAACTAGGCAGCTTGCTCTGTCAGTACCTTCCCTGACTAAGATACAAGCAAAGTCAAAGTGGCTCCTTGCAGAAACAGGAATTCCAGGTAATAGAATGGAAGAGTGATTTCTTGATGGAGCATCTTCCCAGACTGCTCTAAATCATGCCCTTTAGGAAATCACTGGTAAGGCTAGCTTGTGCCCAAGCTTCTTGGTGTGTGTGTGGGGGTGTGTGTGTTTGTGTGTGTGTATATATGCATCACTTAATCCCAAGTGTCCTGAGGGCAAATACTCCAGCCCCAGTTTCTCGGGCACTCTCATCCAGCCACAATCAAGGAGTTTAAGGACTCTCAGTCCAGCAGATGGACTGACCAATGGCCAATCTGCATGACTGTGTGCACAGACGTCCCCCAGGCCCCCAGGAGGACATGGGCTCCTCCTCCCCTTGTTCTCTGCCCACTCTTTCCTCCTTTCTTCTAATCATTCATAGTGACAGATTGACAGAAGTGCCCCCACCAGATAAAATTGCCTCTGGGCACAAGTACAAAACATAAAACATTTAGGGAAAATCATCCAAGAACAGTTGGCACTATGAGTAAACTGCTTTAAACACTCAACTATAAGCAACCAGTTTAAAGCTCTGGCACAGCTGAGCCCTGGCATCAGCCTGGCCAGTTTCGCAGGGTCCCCAATCCTCTCACCCTCCTGGGCTCCCCTTGATCATAGCTACCCTCTCCTCTGGCTTCACCCTTCCTCACCCCCATCCTGAGGCCAGGCAGCAACCCCTCTTCCTCTACAGGCACAGCTCAGGAATTCCCAACACTGGAGGACACACAGGAAAGTTCCCTTTTTCTAAATCCTTTCTCATGAAACCCCCATCACACACATCCCAGTACAAGGCTGAGGATGAAACATGATGAGCAGGACTCATCTTTGGATGAGAGCACTAATTCCATGAAGGCCTTTACAAAGCCTGATCTCTCTGATCATCCTTACTCTTTGCATAGCATTTATGATCCATGGAGTCGTTACAGACCTGGTACCCCACTGGCCCTCACAACTGCCTGTGTGGTAGGCTTATAACCTCATTCTTGAGATGGAGAAAAGGCCCAGAAGCAACTTCCCAGGCCACAAAGCTGACATGTAGCAGAGCTGGGACCCAAGTCTTTTCACTTTTTCACAGCCTTCCTGCCATGTCCAGCTACCTCTCAGCCCAGGCTCGGGTACTTCTCTAGGCCCAGAGGTGGTCTCACTGGGGTCCTGGGCACATTATCAAGGAAAGACAGATGTGGTCCCAGGAAGAAGGAAGGAGCAGCACAGGGGAGGGGTTTGGGAGCCTGCCAGGCCCAAAGGGGTAGGACCTCCCATCTGGACCTGGACCTGGCTGTCCTATTCCCCAGGGATACACCGTGGGGCATATTCCCAGGCAGGAGGCCTGGGTCTGGGCTGGGGCTGAGTCCAGGGTGCCCCTTTTCCTGCTATGGTGCTCCCAGGAGCTTCAGAGCAGCTGACACTCTCTGTCCTGCTGAGACTCAATCCCCAGGCCCCAGAGAGCAGCTGCCCTGAGGTAGCTGCTTCCTTTCTGTGTCTGACCAAGCCAAGTGTAAGGTTACTGCTTGCTCGAGTCTCTAACAGATGCCCAAGACACCTTCATCACACTTGCAGAATATATAGCACCTCCCCCAACTCTCACCCCATTTAATTCTGACAATAATATTATTAAGTTGGCATTAATGTCTCCATTTAATGAATGAGAAAATCAAGGGCTTGGAAACATTAACGGAATTGCCATGAGTCATTAGTAGCTAAGAAATGGCAGAAACATTAACACCAGGTTCTCCGACCTGGAGCTCAGCACGACTTCCACTACCATCAGTAATGCTCAACAAGCACCAGGCGGTCATCTATTGTGGTGATGGTCTTATTTGCATGCCATGCCCTCAGAGTCCTTCCTTATCCATAGATGCCCTTGTCTATTATGGTCCTGCCTGGGCTCTGGGTCAATTAGTGCATTGCCTCTCTTATGGTCTCGCTCACTCTTTCACTTAACATACATATATTGAACACCTGCTAGGTACCAGGCACTATATGAAGTGCTGGGAATGCAAATGGTGAACAACACACAGTGCCTTTCTAGAAGGAACTTCATGGTGGGGGTGGGAAACTGTGAGTAAAGCAGATGTGAAATTACATTGTGGTGGTTTCCATGACAAAGCAAGCATAGGTTGCTTCAGAGGACTTAGGTCAGAACACCTGGGCCAGTCTTAAAAGATGAAAGTCTTCTTGAGGAAAGAGACCTCTAAGATGTTATCTGAGCTATAAAAGTTTTGCCAGGCAAAGAGGGGAAGGTAGGGAATTCCAGGCAGAGGGGACAGCATGGCATGCCTAAGACTCCAAATATCTCATCCCGGATGTTGAATAGACCATAATAGGGACAAACCACGAGAGATGAGGCTGGAGAAATAGCAGAGGTGAAGTCCTGCAAAGGCAGGTGAGTATGTAGGTACCTGGGGGCCCAGAGCAATGGAGATTTACTAAAGATTATAGACAGGAAAATGATGAGGTCATCTGGACTTAGTAGAGATAAGAGACAGGAGAGGATGAAACTGGAAACAGGGAGACAAATTTGGGAATTAAGATAGTAGTCCAGAAGGCAGTAAAAGTGGAGAGACAGGGAAGAACTTAAAAGATGCTGCAGAGGTAACTCTGGCAGGATTTGGTGTTTTTAGAAGATGGAGAGTGAAAGAGGAGTCCAGCTGGGCACAGTGGCTCATGCCTGTAATCCCAGCACTTTGGGAGACTGAGGTGAGCAGATCACTTGAGGTCAGGAGTTTGAGACCAGCCTGGCCAACATGACGAAACCTTGTCTCTAATAAATGTACAAAAAATTAGCCAGGCATGGTGGTGCACACCTGTAGTCCCAGCTACTCAGCAGGCTGAGGTAGGAGAATTGCTTGAGCACCGGAGTGGAGGTTGCAGTGAGCCAAGATCGTGCCGTTGCACTCCAGCCTGGGTGATAGAGCAAGACTCCTTCTCAAAAAAAGAAAAGAAAAGAAAAAGAAAGAGGAGTCCAAGCTGACTTCAGAGTTTCTGCCTTGGCAGCCAAGTAGAGGGTTCCACAGCCTAGCTCACCACCTGGCATGCAGCAGGCATGCAGTATGTATGTGTCAAATGAATGAATTCACCAAGGGAAGGAACACAGGAGGGACAGCTTTATTGAGAGGTAGGGGAACGATAAGTTTTGGAGATATGCAGCAAACAGTAGGACACGCAGAAGGTCTGGGGAGAGGAAAGATGCCAGCGCCATCAGCTGACAGATCATCATCAAATCCACAGGATTAGATTCAAACACAGAGTAAATGTGAAGGAGGCAGAGAACTAAACACTAAGAAACATTAAAAAGGTAAGGAAAGGGAGAGGAGAAGGGGCCTACAATAGACACCATGAAGAAGCAGTCCGGGAGAGGTAGGAAGAAAAAAATGAAGAAAACTGCATCATGAGAACCAAGGAAAAGAGAACATTTCCAGAAGGGGTGGTTGACCAGATCTAGAGAAGTCAAGCAGGACAAGAGCATTGGAATCATCTTCTTTCACACACCACTCTGTTGAGGTCACCTGTGACCTGTACCCATCACTAAATGCAACAGGCAGGTGACATGTGCAGGTCACAGTGACCTCAACAGAGTAGTGTGTGAAAGATTATTTCAATGCAAAGAAAAGTAGAAAATTATGACATTTCAACATGTCTGGCTGTAAAAGAGCAAAGAGAGATGAGGCAATAACCGGGGGCAGGGGTGTAAAGTCAGAGAACGGTGTGCATTTGGCTGTGGCATGGGAGATGTTTAAACAACGTGTGGATGGATTCAGAAAGAGGAGGGAGTGCTTGAAGTTTCAGCAGAGGAATGAGTTCATTGACGTGTGAGGTAAAGTCCCTGAGCAAAGATCAGAAAACTCAGTTTCAGGCAGGAGACCACTGGGACAGGAAAGAAGCAGGAGAAGTCCTGGTACAGATGCAGGGAAAGTGGTGTAGGGGGAAGTATGTTTAAGGCATTTTTGTCTAAGGGCTGCTATTGTCTCAAAGATCCCAGTGATGGGGTGAGATGGGGAAGGGGATGGATTGTTGAGAAAGTTCAAGGAGAATAAAGAAAGTTTAAGATCACTTCTTGCAGAAATGGCTACCTAGGGAATCAAAGAAAAACTACTAGAGCATCAAAGGCTCAGGAGAAGCCAGAGGCCATGAATTTGAGGAAGCCAGTCTACTCAACAGTGTGGGGTGTGTGTGTGTGTGCGCGTGCGCACGTGTGTGTGCGCACACACACACCCATGTGCACATGCACATGCATGCACACACACCCATGTGCACATGTGTATCTCTAGCAGCACTCAACAGTCCAAACTGAGAAGCAGAAAAAGTAGACCGTTAAATTGATCCAGAGTTTAGAGTTTTTCCAGGTCATAAGAGAGAAGCAATGGAGCAAAGTATCTGAGGATATTGCAAGAAGGTGGCAGTGATGGTTAATTTTATGTCTCAACTTGAGTGGGCTATTGGGTGCCAAGATACTTGGTCAAACACTATCCTGGGTATGTCTGTGAGGGCATTTCTGAATAAGATTAACATATGAGTGGGTAGGCTGAGTAAGGCACATTGTCCTCTCTAATGCCGGCAGGCCCCATTCAATCAATTGAAAGCCTGAAAAGAACAAAAAAAGCAATCTTCCCATGAGTAGAGGAAAATTCTTGCCTGATGGATGGCCTTCAAACTGAGACATCAGTTCTTTCTCGCTTTTGGACTCACATTGAAACACTGACTCTTTCGGGGAGCTGAGGCTGCCAGCTTTCAGTCTGGAACTACCCCATCAGCTCCCTTGGGTCTCCAGCTTGCCAGCTACAGATCTGGGGACTTCTCAGCCTCTATAATTGTGTGAGCCCATTCCTTACGATATATATAAGGAATATGTATATTACACACACACACACACACACACACACTCACACACATTTATATATATTAGTTTGGTTCTGGAGAACTCTAATACAGTGGCTAAATGATGGGCCAGAGAACTTGAACTGGATGGGAAAAGTAGTAAAGACAGGGAAGGTAAAGAAATCAAGGCATGTTCCATGATAGTGAGAAACACACTTAGGTGAAGAAACTGAGCAAGAGAACTTGGTTGATAGGAAATTGTGGCCAAAGCGCAGGATGTTCCAATGTAGGATCTCAGAGCGGGAAGCAGTTCTGGACCATACAATCCAGATGTCACTGTGGAAGTGGCTGCCTAAAGTAGAGAAAAGGGAGAGACCAATGTATCTGTGAAGAGATGAGGACGAATTCGCCAGGATTTGGGTGAATTCTCTATGTGGGCATTGAAATCCTGGGACCTAGGAAGACCTTGGCACGTGGAGAAGACTGAGCAGATGCCACGTGTTCTGTGAGCGAGGGAGTGACCGAGAGGCCAGTGGGCAACCACAGTAAGAGGGAAAGAGAAAGCCAGAAGAGATGACACCAGCCTTCTGGAGCCGAGTTTCTTATGAGAGAGTAAAGGCCCAGATGTGGCTTTGGCGTGTGAGGGGGACACCAACCCCACTTCTCAACCCCGAGGCATATGAATATGAAACACAGTGTCCTCGGAAGAGCCAGTTTCCAGTTAGGACCAGGAGGTGGAGGGAACTTTCAGAGGAAATGTCAAGGAGGCAGGAGGATTTATGGACCATGGAGTGGGATACCAGAGGACAGTGGGAATGGTTAGGGAGGCAGGGGAGAAGAGGGAGGAGTTCAGGGAGAGGTCCCACAGAGACGTATAGGTCAGGTAGGGGAGAGGAAAGATGGCGGCAGAGATGATGTCTCAGGTAGGATGGCAGAGACAATACCGTTGATCTTTGAAAGACATGGATTTGAACTGTGTGGGTCCACTTGTACAGATTTTTTTTCAATAACTATATTTAAAAACTCTGGGCTAGGTGCAGTGGTTCACACCTGTAATCCCAGCACTTCAGGAGGCCAAGGCAGGAGGATCACAAGGTCAGAAGTTCGAGACCAGCCTGGCCAACATAGTGAAACCCCATCTCTACTAAAAATACAAAAATTAGCAGGTCATGGTGGCACGCGCCTGTAGTCCCAGCTACTCGGGAGGCTGAGGCAGGAAAATCGCTTGAACCCGGGAGGTGGAGGTTGATCGTGCCACTGCACTCCAGCCTGGGCAACAAACCAAGATGCCATCTCAAAAAAAAAAACAAAAAAAAAAACAAAAAAAAACTTTGGAGATTTGTGACCATTTGAAAAAAACTTGCAGATGAGCCACCATCCCTGAGGCAGCAATACCCAATCCACCTCTTCCTCAGCCTACTCTATGTGAAGACGACAAGGAGAAGACCCTTATGAGGATCCACTTCCACTTAATGAATAGGAAATATGTTTTCTCTTCCTTGTGATTTTTCTTAATACATTTTTTAAATTAAATTGAATTGATTGAATTGAATTTTTGAGACAGGGTCTTGCTCTTTCACCCAGGCTGGAGCGCAGTGGCACTGTAACAGCTCACTGCAGCCTTGACCCCCTGGGCTCGATCAATCCTCCCACCCTAGCCTCCCAAGTAGGTGGGACTACAGGTGCATGCCACCACACCCAGCTAATTTTGTTTGTTTGTTTGTTATTTTTTGTAGAGACGGGGTTTCACTATGTTGCCCACGCTGGTCTCAAGCAATCCGCCCTCCTCATCCTCCGAAAGTGCTGGGATTACAGGCTTTAATAACATTTTATTTCCTTTAGCTTACTTTCTTGAAAGAATACAGTATATAATACATATGCATACAAAATATCTGTTAACTGTGTTATCAGTAAAGCTTTCAATCAACAGTAGGCTACTGGTAGTTAAGTTTTGGGGGAGTCAAAAGTTATACACAGACTTTCGACTATGCAGGGGTGATTGAGGCTTCCAACCCCTGCATTATTCAAGGGTCAGCTGTACAATGTGTTCACCAGATTCCAGGTCATCTGCCTGTTTCTGGGCACTCAGGAAAGCTACATTTCCGAGCCTTCCTTGTACCTACACAAGGGATATCTGACAGAGTCCTGGCTAATGGCATGTGAACAGAAGTGGTAGGCCACTTCCTAGCTTGGCATAAGTCCCCACATATGCTTGTTTTTACTCTCTCTTCCCCTTCAAAGGCTCCTTTAGAGAGCGCATGTTAATATGGCAGCATCAGAAAACAGAAGGGGCGAGGATCCCTGCATCATTCATCCTTTGAAGAAGTTTATCCAAGAAGAGCCACCCCAGCCTGCAGCAGAATGTGATGCAACAAGAAATCCCCCTTGGCTGTGCTAAGCCACTGGGATTTGAGGGTTGCTTGTCACTGCAGCATAGCCTGGCCTGTGTGGTGGCCAAGGATGGCATGAAGGAGCACTGTGATGGCAATGACCTGGCCGAAGATTTCCGTGAGAATCAGTCACAATATTTCCTTGGTAGATTGGGTTGGCAGAGGAAGATGTGGGAAAATGGTTGAGAGAAGAAAGAAAAAGTGGGAAGGTAGAAAGACTCAGACCTTTCTAGAAGGGCTCAGCCACACCTTGGATTGATCAGGGCCCCAACTTCATATACCTCATTTATAACAGGGGATGGGGTCCAAGTCTCCTCCAGCCTCCAGAGGTAGTTATGGAGACGTTGGAAGACCTTCTCCCCAGTCTGAGGGATTATGAGTCCTGTGCCTGTCACCAATGTGCTGTGGGACTAGGTCATTCAACCTCTCTATGTCTCTGATGTCTCCTTTCTTTCACCCAAAGACGGTTCATTTACACCTCCACTCATTCCATGAACACGCATTGACCACCTACTGCAATCCAGGGACCACACTAGGTGCTGAAATCAGAGACGACTAAGACACTCTCCCTGTCCAGAGACTGATGCAACTCTCCAGAGGAAGACTGAGGACTGAAAGTATCTTGGTGACATGCAATGTCCTTAGAAGTCATGCTGCTAGTGCTCTCAGGCTCGGGCCTGTGTTGGCCTGGAGTTCTCAGCAGTCAGTGGGGCCCTACCTTGGGGCACTGTCCCCTTCTCTGGTCCCTCCCAGGCAGGGTAAGGGTGAGAAGAGGTGGGACTTCTGTTCCCTGGCTCCCAGGTGGACTGAGACCAGTCTAGCTGGGAGGGCTTTGAACCTGCACAGCCTTGACCTCCCTCTCTCCCAAAGCCCAGAGGAATAACTCTGTACCCAGGAGGAGGCTACAGATCAGCAGAGATGGGGAGCAAAGTGGAGGTTTGAAAATAACAAGGTTTTCACCCTGTGGGCCCTGGCCTGGCCTGGCCTGACACTGCTGCTGTAGCCCTCTGGGGTCCCCAACCTGCCCTTCTGCTTCATCTCTGCCCACCCCCTCCCTCTCTCCCTGGGTCCCTGGCCAAGCCCCTTTCACTACTGTCCCATGGTTCCCCCTGTCGGTCTCTGTCTTCTCCATTTCCCCTCTCTCTCGTTCTCTTTCCCCTGGTTTCCCTGCTCCTTTCACCTCCCTCCACCTGTGCCTCCCTCTTTTCTCCCTCCTGCCTCTGTCTCTAATTCAGCTGCTTCCTCTGCTTCTTTGTCTTCCCTTGCTTCCCTCCTCCCTCCTTTCAAATCAAATCAACAAGTACTTATTGAGCCTGAGCCTCTCTATCTATCTATCTATTTCTGTCTCTCTCCTTCTCTGCACACCCCTGGCTTTGTCTCATCTGCTGCTTTGTGGTAAGCTCCACTCACCCAGGACCCAGCCCACAGGAGGCTGTCAGCACGGGACACCAGGGATGAGGGACTAAATGTGTCCATTGCACAAATTCTGCACGCCAAACCAGAGTCTCCACTCTCCCTCAGCTGCTCCATTCAGGCAGCCCGGGGAGTGTACATTATTTAGCAAAATTATTTAGCATTCTGCTTCTGTCATTCCTTGCCATGGCGCCAGGCCCTGATATGTGATAAAAATATCAATGTTAAATCGACTCTGACAACTGCTGTTTACTTGCAGTGTCACTAGAGCCAGGGCCAGAGTCGACAGCTCCTGCAGGACCTGAAGCTCTGGCAGCAGTGGCAGTGGCAGCAGTAGCAGCAGCAGCTCTGGAAGCCTGGCCCTGGAAGGGAGCTGGCTCTCAGAGAGAGACAGCCCTGGGGACACCATGCTTCAACCATCCCACCTCCCAAGTCGTCCCCGCTTTGCTCAAACTCTTTACTCTGGAAAGTGCTAATTTCACTATTAGTAGAAAAATTTCAATACAAAAATAATTGAGCTTTTACAGCATGCATGGCCCTGTGTGAGCACTGGACCACATGACAAGTTCTTTAAAGTTTAACATCAACTCTGGCGGATGAAAATTACATCCCAAATTACAGATTTTAACACTGAGGCTCGGGCATGTTAAGTAGCTTTGCCAAGGACACACAGCTAACAAGCATGGAGCCTGGGTTACACCCCAGGTCTGTCTGACTCCAGCCCCTGGTATTACAATTATAATGAGCTGATGGGGAGCACCTGGCATACAGCCATCAGCTCCAACAGAGCACCTGACCAGGGCCATGAGCATACACTGAAGGCTGGTAAGGATGGCTCGATCTCCCTAGCATCTGACTACCAGCTTGGGAGGAACCAATTCACCCCAGCTGGAGGTGGGAGGCTGGACAACTTGACCTGCCTCGAGGATAGAGGACAAGCACTGGGTAGATAGACCTTAGCATCCTCCCCACCCCCACCCCAACTCTTCAACCCTGCATCCCAAAGGCTAAGCATGAATCCATCCAGCAGGAGAGTGAGCATGAACCTGCAGAGGCAGAGGACAGGACCCCAGCAAGAGCAAGGGGAAGGAAGGACAGACGAAGAGACCAGGAGCCAGGGGAGACAGCTCTGTCCTTGCAGGATATGACATGACCACAGTGCCCTTGTGGCACCTCTCTCTTCTTGGGAGCAGATGCAAAAGGCTGAGGACCACTCAGAAAAGTTTTGCCAGTTGGCTTTTCTGAACTAAGAGCACAGAACGGAGGGTGGTAACAGCCTCTGACAGGTATCTCCAAGGCCACGGGTTATGGTCCTGGGCTAAGGTCTCATCTGGTCCTTGAGAAAAGGACTTAGGGGCTCCACACAGCATTAAGTTACCATTGTGAAGAGGTTGCCAGCCAAGCTAACAGAGCGTGGGCTACTTTCATGGAGATAGAAGGTCCAAAATTAAGATGGTGACAGTCCTGTCTGACTCTGTGGGAATGGAGTTTATTTTTTTCTCTTTTTTCCTTCCTCCCTCCCTCCCAGGAATGGGGTTTAGTGTTGAGTGTTGGCTTTAGAGAAATTTTGACAGAGGCGAGTGAGCAGGTTGGGATGGACTTCAAATCATGTCTTAGAAGAAGTGTTAAAGAATTGGGCTTATCGGCCGGGCACGGTGGCTCATGCCTGTAATCCCAGCACTTTGGGAGGCCGAGACGGGCGGATCACGAGGTCAGGAGATCGAGACCATCCTGGCTAATACGGTGAAACCCCGTCTGTACTAAAAATACAAAAAATTAGTTGGTCTGGTGGTGGGCACCTGTAGTCCCAGCTACTCGGAAGGCTGAGACAGGAGAATGGCATGAACCCGGGAGGCGGAGCTTGCAGTGAGCCGAGATCACGCCACTGCACTCTAGCCTGGGCGGCAGAGCAGACTTCATCTCAAAAAAAAAAAGAAAGAAAGAAAGAATTGGGCTTATCTAACCTGTAGAAAACTTACAAGAACCAACAATTCAATATTTAAAGAGCTGCTGTGGGATGGACTTTACCATTTTGCCCTTAAAGGCTGCCATTCAGATTGTTGGAAACTGTAGAAAAAAAAATTATATGGGCCTTGTGTGAGGACGTAGAAGATGGGGCTGAAAGATATACAGTAGTGCTCCCTGATAATTTTCACATCATGGCTCACACAGAAGTTAATCCAATCTGTACAGCCCACTGGGGAAAGGGAACAGAGGAAGCTGCCCACAGCCATAGGTTAGCAGCAATGGGACACTGACCCCCTGACATGGCAGTTCTAAGGCTGGGAAGAATTCATGAAATGCACCTGGGAGCATACCAGAGACGCTCTGGGGTAGGAGTTGTGAGCATTCTGTCCCTGGAGGTGTGCAAGTAAAGACTGGGTTAGGGTTTGGGCGAGAAAGAGAGCTGCAGAAAAGGTTCAATAATAGAAAGCAAGTTGATCTCTTTCATCTCAGAACTTCCAAGATTCTAGGCCTCCAGAGAGGACCAGAGGGGATAGGCACAGCTGCTGCACACTCATGTGTGTGCACAGAGCAGGAGCCATCAGGGTGCTCCTTCTGCTCCTTGGAGAGCAGGGGACTTCGGCCTTAGCCAGCCCCTCATAAGGATGACCTACATGAGCCCATTTGCCCTGCTGTGGGAGATCCAGGTGACCCCGCCATGCAACTACCCTATTAGCCTCCCACCCCTCCATGGGATAAGGCCTCCAGCTGGACTAATGAAAATTACCCAAACTGAGTTCAACTGAGCAGCAGAAAGGAGAATGGATCCCATTAATTATCCCTAGGCTGACCCTCATGCATCAACCCAACCACATAGCTATGCCACTTCAGGCAGGCAGACAATAGCAATTAGTGCTATGGGATTTGGATGTTGTCAAAACAAAGCATCCATGCTCTGCTCAGAGGGTGTGAGATGAGAGGATGGCCCCAGGTTGGCCCTACAGGAATATCTCAGCATGTCTGGTAGAAGGGCATGGACTGTAGAGCCAGGCAGACCTGGGCTTCTCCATGAATTGGCTGTGTGGCCCTGAGCCAGTTACTTGGCTTCTCTGAGTCTCTACCTCCTCAGTCATAGAAAAGGATGGATAGAGCCCACCTCACAGGCTTATGAAAAGGATTTCATTAGAGAGTGTGTGATGTTGTGATGGACACCCTATGTGACCTTGGGAAAGTCATTGCATTCATGAAGCCCCAGTGTTTCCCACTGTAAAATGAGGTAGTTTGGCCATAAGATCTCTAAGATTCTTCAAGCCCAAGAGCCTACACTCTAAGATTTGGGAGCTTGTGGCCAAGCCTAGGGTGGGCCAAGAAAAGCCACCCTCAGGAACTGTGAGGCCAGTCCCGGGAACCCAACGCCTCTCTCCCTCTCTCAACTCACTCCCTTAGAACAAGGACCTCAGATCATCTCCTGTCCCACTCCTTAACTCCAATCAAACCCAGATAGCCATGCAAATGTCCATCAATATCCCTGGCCTGGAATCCCACAAGACCCAGAAATCACTAGCTTTTGATTTATGAAGCACTTTGGTGTCCCTCGCCGGATGCTCTCTACCTCTGCCCTGCACTAAAGACAGCCCACTTCTTGGAAGACAAAAAGCCACTAATTGTTTTCCTCTCCACTCCAATATTGATTAGGAGAGTAGGAGGCTATTGGTGTTTCACCGGCAGCCAGCTGGCTCTCTTGCCTGGGGTAGACGGTCTTTAATAAGACAGAAAAGGAAGGGAAAATGTCTAGTGGGTTGTGGGATCAGAGACCAGGAAGGCTGGTCAGGGGTGAGCTGGGTGGTGGATGAGTTGCATTTGTTGTTCTGCATTTCTGAGACAGATTCAAGGGTCACACCTGCCCACCTTCACCCTAGCTCAGCCACTAGGTGAGATGAGGCCTGTGGATTCACACACACTGTCTGAGCTGGATGCTCTCAACTGGTACCATGTTTTGTGGGCTAGATATTATCAGTTCCCTTCCCATCCCACCTGCACCCTCTTCACCCTGCTGTGTGTCCCAGGTGCCCACCTCAATGGATGGCAGCACCCCAGATCCCTTGCTCCCAGGCATTCATGTGAGTTCACCAGGGGAGTCACAGTAAGAGACTGGAGGGAGGAAAGAGAGAGAGGCAGGGCTATCCTTCCCCTTCTCTCCCCCAGACCTTCCCCTAAGGCCATAACCCCTATAGCTGCAGCCATCACCTGGAGGTCACTGCTCTCTCCCTGTGCCTTTCAGGCCTGGGGGATAATATTCCCTACTGCCTGTACCCCACTGCTATGCCATGGGGTGCTTTACCATCCTCTCTGGTTTTCCTTAGCCCTGCCTACACCTCTGTGAATAATCGCCATCAGAACCCTTTAATTAGTCTTTGGAGTGGGCCATCTGCTTCCTGCTAGGACCCTGACTGGGCCTGCTTCTTGTTCTAGACCAGTCAGGGACCCTGTTCTCAGCTCTAACCTGCTGTGAAGATGATGGGACCCTGCTGAGCAGCAGTGTTTGAGGGGCTTTAGGGTGCATACCTGGTGCCCTCATAAGCAAAAGGGTCACCATGCACATAACCCACTTGTGTTATAGAGTCAAAGTCTTCTTGTCTGGTCCCTACCTCCAACCAGAACTGTCTCCCCCAACCCACACATTCTTTCTTCCATTCAGTAAATCTCCAGTGAACCTACTCTACATTCCAGGCACAGTGCTAGGTTCTAAAATATAAAAATAAATAAGACGCAGTTCTGGCCCTAAGGAGCTCACAATCAAGTAGGAACCAGATATAGCACTGGAGGTGTCATGGCATGGGTTATCACAGGGCACCGTGGTACCGTCCAGCTCTCTCTGAGAACTGGGAACCAGGTAAGATGTCTTCTATTTAAGCCGTTCATACAACTAGAGATCAATTTTCTCAGTTAGGAACTCTGGATTTAGACCTGTCTGGAAGTTGGGGGTGGCCTGGATGACGTATCTGAGCCCTCATGGAGCTATAATCCCAGGAGTCCCCCACCCAACTCAGTGAGCATCCCCGTGGCTTTCTTACCTTCAGATCATAGCTTTGGTCAGCAGCAGCTTCATCATTTCTCTTGGAGGTCAGTGGCTTTGAGGAGGGGGAGGGGAACAGGGTCCCAACCAATATCCCACCACTCCCTCCCAGGTGTCACCCTTCAGCTACCAGACAGGGCAGGTGTCAGCTTAAGAGTTCAAAGTCACAGGTGTCCCTAGCCAGGGCAGAATCCATTCTGGAGCCTCTTTCCTGGAATGTGTTCCATCAAGGAATGGGCCTGTTTAAGGGATCTCTACAGCTCAGGGAGGAATTTACAGGATTAATCTTTAATACTTGCCAGCATCAGTAATTTGCTTATTAAAAAGAAGAAATAATAAAATAACAAACTGATCCCATACCATTTGATGAGGTTCTCCCCTCCCAAACACAAACATTCTTACACACACGTGCATGCACGTGCACACGCCTGTCAGCTGCCCTAGAAAACTCATGGTGGCAGCAATGAGCACCAGGACCCTTGCCTCAAAGGGCGCAGGTGGGGGTCAAGGTAGAGAGGTTGTTTCTTTAGGTGCCAAAGACAGCTATTCACAACAGGAGGACAAAACTAAATTAAGCAATTCTAGAGCCTGAATATACAGTCAGGTAGGGGGGCCTGCGGGGGGCTTCCAATGCTACTGACAATGAATAATACATAAGTCAAAAGCCACTCAAAATGGCTTTTAAAAGTTGAATTTAATTGAATGTTGTCATGTAGATCCTACATTTGAATATAATCAGATTATAAATCATACTCCAAAGACTTCAAAGCCTACAGAGAGCCATCGAGAGAACTTATTTCTGGCAGGAAAGGTTATAGACAGTCATTCTGGCATTCAGCACACATTTAGGAGGAGCCTACTATGTGTCAAGCACTAGGTCAGACATTGGCAGCCACATCCCCAAATTCCTCGCAGACAAGAGGGAGAAGCAGACATGTAAACAGGGGATGGCTGTGCAATGCGATCGCCCAGACCAAAGCAAAGTACAATAGAAGGACGAAGGAGGGAATAGCATCTCTGTTCCGGGGAATCAAAGGGAGCTTAGCAGATGAGGCAAAAACTAGGGTGGTCCATGAAGGGAGGAGTTTACCAGATGGGGAGGAGACAAAGGCATTCCAGGAAGAGGGAACAGCATATGCAAAAGTGCAGAGGTATGAAAGCATGGTGAGTCCAAAGAACAGCAAGCAATTCCGCTGGGCTGAAGCAATGTGAGTAGTGAAGGGAGCTGCAGCTAGAAAGTAAACTGGGCCAGGTGATGAGGCTTTTGAATGCCAAGCTAGAAGGTTTAGATGCTATCCAATAGCAAGAGCTGAGCAAAGAAGGATGATAAGCAAGAAAGTGAGAAGTTAAATCCATGTTAGAAAAGAGGATAGGGAGAACTAAGCCTGCTGCGCCAAAGACTACAGAGTCCTGGCGGCAGTGAGGACAAGAGATTCCTCAGAAAGCAGCATCCCCTCCACTAGGGAGGGGTTGGACTGACATTCTTCTTCCAAAGGAAAAGCTCATGAGATAAGCTGCATAAGGTCACATTTTCAGGGGTCCTGGATAGAAACCACTCCCCTCCATTTCAATCAGTGGCATGGACCAAGTAGGACTGACTTAGTGGTGAGGGTTTCTAGGTCTTAGAATGGGGTGCAGGGCCTGGTTCCCCCTCTGGAAGGGGCAGAGGTGGAGAGGTCCTCGGGTGAAGCAGTCAGGACTCAAGACAACATGCAACTCTCCATTAGTTTTGCCTTGAGGAAAGGTCAGGTCATCAAAAGCTTCAAGAAGCCTGTGAGGCCCTGAACAGGTAGAGAGGGTTCTTCATCACTTGCAAATAAAACTCAAGTTACATGTTTATAAACCCAGGTCTCAAGAATCAAAGCAGGATTTCCAGCAATGGTGGAATGAAAAGGTCAGCAAATCTTCTTCTCAAAATCAACTATAAAACTGGACAGAATAGGCCGGGTGCGGTGGCTCACCCCTGTAATCCCAGCCCTTTAGGAGGCCGAGGCAGGTGGATTACCTGAGGTCATGCATTCAAGACCAGCCTGGCCAACATGGTGAAACCCTGTCTCTACTAAAAATACAAAAATTAGCTGGATGTGGTGGCACACACCTGTGATCTCAGCTACTCGGCAGGCTGAGGCAGAAGAATCACTTGAATCCAGGAGGCGGGGGTTGCAGTGAGCCGAGATCACTCCACTGCACTCTAGCCTAGGTGACAGAGCAAGACTCCGTTTAAAACAAAACAAAACTGGACAGAATAGAAAAGAATAAAAAACATAAAAAATTTGAGGATCCAGAAATCAACCAAAGGCAAAGCAACACGTCAAGAAGCATTTGTTCATTTTGTTCATAAAAAACTGAACTTTGGATAAGAGAAGTAGGAGTCCACAAAGTTCTAGCCTGTTGCTCTTCCCGTCCCCACCCCCATCTTTTTGTGGCTCTTCTTGGGTGGGGCTAACCACTGGGGGAAAAAAAAGAAAAAAAAAAAGGGCAGGGGGCATCTTGACAGCAGGAAGTCTGACTTGATTTGGAGCAGAAGGCCTTAAGCTTGTAGGTGTCCAGGGGTAGACAGTAAAATCTTCTGGCTCAGCAGGAAAGCAAATGGGCAGGGCCCACAGCTCTGCTGGACTGAGGTTACAGTCCTAACTGGGACAAACAGCAGAGAAAACAACAACAACAACAACCAGAAATTTAGCAGGTAACTCCTGGAAGAGAGAGCCACAGAGCAGCTGAAGAAGTATCTCTTCCTGACAAGCTGGAAGGTTGACACACAGGGAAGACCTGAAATGGCCTGGTGGGAAGTAAAAGGAAGGAAGACTCGAAAACTGCCCGAACTTTTAAGGTGCTCCCCCAGTCAGAGGATGGGACATTTATGGCTCAATATATTTGCACACATCTCTGACCAATTGCTGGATGACCACCAAGTTAATCGGACATAGAGACAAATTTTAAGTCGGGATAAAAATAAAAAGAGTTTTAAAAAACTGAGTAAAGACATTAGCAGCTATGCAACACTAGGGAGAGAGATTCCCCAGATTAAGTTCAAATATGTTGCTATAAAACAAAACAAAACAGAAAACCAACAACAACAACTCTCAAGGGGGGAAATATCAGACTCCAAAGTTTGTACAACATATTATCTAAAATGTCCAGTTTTCAACAAAAATGTTACAACATGTAAAAAAAACAGGAAGATAACCCATATTCAGAAAAAAACAAATTAATATAAACCAACTCTAAGCAGACCCATATATTAGAGTTAGCAGACAAAATCTTCAAAAGCAACTGCTAGAAATGCATTTAAAGATTAAAGAAAGCCACACTTAAAGAGCTAAAGGAATGCATGATAACAAGATAAGTCAGTAGAAATTATCCAATTTGATGAACAAAAAGAAAAAATTACTGAAGGAAAATGAACAGTCTCAGAGACTGGTGGGATGATGTCAATCGTGCCAATATACCTACAATGGGAGACCCAGAGGAGAGAAGGAAGAGACAGGGGCAGAAAAAATGTTAGAAGAATCAAGACACCTTCCTACTTGAAGTCCCCTTCACCTCTACACTTTGGATTTGGGAGAGTCGGGTGAGGAAGGTCAGGGGCTGCTGCATTTGTGGTGAGAGCCCCTGCAAGCTTCAACTGTGTGCTCAAGGAGGAGAAACTGCACCTATGTGTGCTGGGCACCATGCCAATACTTAAATCAGCCTATTGGCCCCCACAGTAGTCTATGAGCTGTTCTATAGCCACCTTCCCAAGATGCAGGCTCTAAGAGGTAAAGCAACTGCCCAGCTCACAAAGCTGGCAAGCGGCCCATCTGGGACTAGAACCAAGGTCCCTCTTCTTCATGCCTTTCCCCCAACACTCTGATGCCTCTCAGCAGCTCACACTCTTATGCCATGGGAGACCCAGCAGTGGAGGTCTCCTCGGAGCCCTGGATCAGGTAAGGACACCTGGAGGTGTAACTCTGGGCAGAGTGCAGTGCTGAGTGGGAGTCTGGGGCTCAGGAAGGAGCAGAGCAGGAAACAGGGTGAACACAGATCTAGCAGCCTGCAGGTGCCTCTCCTCTTTCCACAGAGAGCTAAGGCCTCTCACCAGCATGGGCTGCCCCACTCCCAGGGAGAGAGAAAGGGAGACATGCCCTTTCTCCAGAGGGCTGATTCACCAGGCAGGGGCTGGGGTTGAACAGAAGCTGATTCTGGGCTGACTCAGGATGCCCAAGAGCTTCAGCTAAATGGACCCTGCAGGCTCCAGCTCCAGCAACCTCCTGCCTATGCCTGGCTGAAAGTCCATCTGGGCCTTGCCTCCCAGCTACAGGGCCACTCCTCGGATACATCACTCCCGGTTTCCATTCACCCTCACAACTCTCCTGACACGTGGACACCAGATGAGGAATCTGAGGCCTGGGCAGGCTGTGCAACTAGCCTGAGGCCACCATGCACCTGAGGAGCCTGGATTTGTGTCCTAATGTGATGGACTCCAAAGTCTATTTCTCTCTATCTCTCTGGGGCAACTTGGTCTGAATAGTCACCCAGACTCCTCTCCTGGGAAGGCTGGGACCAGCAGCACACATGGTTCATACCCCAAGGTCCAGCACTGTAAAGAGGGATGCTGTCTCCATCAAGAAAAGCAGCCTCTGAGTCTCAGCCTGACTATCCTTTCTCACTCCAGTGCCCTCTGCCTATGCTGCGCCCCAGAGCACCCAGAGGCCGAAACCAAAGAAAGGAGACTCACCTGCCATTAGAGGAAAGGAGATTCAGATCCCAAGTATTTACCACTCAGAAAGACCCCATCTACAGCCTCCTCTGGCCAGTGCCCATCAATTCTTTGGCCGCCCCAATCCCACCCCACCACTGTGAGCAAGAGCACACTCCCCACCCCACCCCAACTCAGGGCATGAACCATACATCTCACTCATCTTGCTAGCCCAAAGTTTAGCCCACAGGAGGCACTCAGGGACAGTTGAACCCTTCTTCCTGGCCTCCTTTAGCGTCTCGTCCTATGGAATCAGAAGACCCGGATGCCCAGCCTTTCTGAGCCCTTGCTTCCTTGTTCTTTAAGAAGCTCACAGGAGTGGTAGGGATAAATGAGTGAGGAAATATCGTTAAGGGAGCCAGGAGATAGGAGGTTGGGCAGGGGGGTGGAGGACAAAGAGCAGGAGTGACAACACAGGGCACACTGAGGACTGGAAGGGCTGAGAAAGACTTGAAGCCACCAAGGCAAATTAGGGTTACAGAGGCGGAGGAGGGGGCAGAGCCCTGGAGGGAGGGGAGATCTTGCCAGGAACCTACTTAGGACCCAGGGGCTGGAGGGAGGTGTGACCAGTCACCGTCCAGGCCCGAGGGAGGATGAGAGTCAGGGCAGGTGCCCCAGCTGCCGGGGAAATAGCAGTGCATCCTCAGGCCCAGCCTGCCACCAGCATGCTCCAAATTAAATAACTGCAACTCCCCCTTTATTTCCTCTCTGACAGCAACTTATTGTGAAGGCAGCCACTTCTGACATTCTAATATTCAGAGTCACATCCTGTGGGATAAACACATCGCTGTTGTCTGAGCCAGCGATTTGTATCAGGATAGAAGGAATCTAGAAGGGGCAAAGAGGGACTGGGGCTAAGGCGGGGGGCTGCTGACAGCTAAGTGAGAGAAGGAAGAGCGCCCAGGTTCTACTGGATCATCCTGGATGCCCTGCAACAAGCCTCCAACCCCAGATTAGTTTGGGCTGTCTGATCATCTCTCCCCAAGCTACCTTCACTCAGTAGATGTTTCTGAGCACTCACCACATGCCACATTGGTGCTAGGCACTGTGAGGAATACAGAGATGATGAGGCAGAGACCCACGTTCAGGAAGCTCCCATGTCACATGCCAGTGAGGGCAGGCAGCAGACATTCATCCAGGCACAGCATGTAGCCTAGTGGTGAAAGTCAGGGGCTTTGAAGACACACAGCCTGGGTTCAAATTCTTACTCTGCAGGCTGGGTGCAGTGGCTCACGCCTTTAATCCCAGCACTTTGGGAGGCCGAGGAGGGTGGATCACCTGAGGTCAGGAGCTCAAGTCCAGCCTGGCCAGTATGGCAAAGCCCCTGTCTCTATAAAAATAAAAATACAAAAATTAGCTGGGCATGGTGGCGTGCACCCATAATGCCAGCTACTCAGGAGGCTGAAGTGGGAGAATCCCTTGAACCCGGGAGGCAGAGGCTGCAGTGAGTGGAGATCACACCACTGCACTCCAGCCTGTGCAAGAGCAAGACTCTGTCCCCTCCCCCGCCCACCCCCCCCCCAAAAAAAACTTACTCTGCAGCTTACAAGTAGGGTAACCTTGGGGAACTTTGCAAATGTCAGTCCTGTCTCTTTAAAATGAGAACGCCAGGCACGGTGGCTCACACCTGTAATCCCAGCACTTTGGGAGGCCGAGGCAGGCGGATCACGAGGTCAGGAGATCGAGACCATCCTAGCTAACATGGTGAAACCCCGTCTCTACTAAAAAATACAAAAAAATTAGCTGGCCATTGTAGTGGGAGCCTGTAGTCCCAGCTACTTGGGAGGCTGAGGCAGGAGAATGGTGTGAATCTGGGAGACGGAGCTTGCAGTGAGCCGAGATCACGCCACTGCACTCCAGCCTGGGCGAGAGCAAGACTCCGTCTCAAAAAAAAAAAAAATGAGAACAACATGTTTCTATTATCATCCAGAAGATTCCACGAAGGAGGGCAAATAAAGTGTGGTCACCCTCAGTGCCTGGCACAAAGTAAATACCCATGGTAGGTGTGAAGAGGATACATCAGGTGGGATGAAATGCTTCCACAAAGAGGTGCCAGCCATCATCTCCATAGTGATAGAGACAGCACATGCTGCTAATCTTATACTCCTGGGTTCACTAGCAGCTTCCGGTGATCACACATTCCTTGCCCAGCCTCAGACACAGGCGGGACCCCAGGCAGCTCGCTGCATGACGGGTGCCTCATGAGCTTCCTGGCCATGCCAGTCAAGGTCCAGACGCCAGCACACATGTGCAAGGTGGAGGCAAATGTGGAATCTGACCGCACTGACAGCGGGCCGCTTCCAGGGGATGGAAACAAGCAAATGGGTGAAGCCAAAGCATGAATTCAGAGGGTGCTCTTCACCTGGAAGATAATCCAGAAGGTTCCATGGGGAAAGGAGACCCAGAGGAGTGGGGAGGGCTGCTGCTGAGGGTCTGTCACTGGCCTGGGAGATGACGGATGGCAAGATATGCTAGCTTCATTTAAAGGACCGGCAACATGGAAAGCCTAAAAGGATGGGGCTGGGGCTGAGGCAGGGAGAGGCTGGGAAGGGGGTGCAGAGGGGGAGGGGAGGGAGCGGGCACTCCTGGGCCTCCTGGGATTGTGTGAATAGGGCACAGATTTGGGTCAGGCCTTCCCAATTAGCCTTGAAAGGGAAAAACAATCTCCACAGGCCTGAAAGGAAGAACAAAAAGAGGAAGAGAGAAACTAGGAGAATACCCTAAAGAGTTGCTGACGACTGCTCTGGCCTTGAAAATGCAGGGAGTATGGTAATCTAATAAACACAGCAACAAAGCATTTGTCACCAAGCTAATTTTATTAGAACAGATCTCAAATGGCTAATTTCCTTTTACTAATGAGCAAATTAGTTGAATCTCTGATCTGCTTTTAAGGCATTTATGTTAATAAAACATGAACGACAGTGAAATTTGTTGTGAGATGCAATGACATGTGCATTTGGGTTTAAGGGCATCTCCAGGCTTAGAGAGTTTTTCTAACGTGGCCTTGCCCAGAGGTGTCTCTGCTCTGTGCCGTCCAGCTTGGAGCCCAGCCCGGCCTGAGGGAGGCAGGATGTCAGAACTGATGGAGGCAAGGAGCCCAAGGGACCAGCCTGGAGAAGGAGCTCTGAAGAGGGGCCTGGCTGGGCAACAGGGGAGAACTACACTTCTGGAAAGGCCCCTAAGCGGGGCCAGGGTGGCCTCAAACTTTCAGCAAAGCTCCCTTGAGGATGGGTTTACCCCCTGCCTGCCCCATCCTCCCTCTACCTCCAGGGTCCTATGCAGTGTGTGCACGGAAGTATTTCCCAGGACTTTCCCAGCCCCCTGTTGATCCAGGCTAGCTCACACTAAAGCTGCAAACCTTTTCTCCAAACCATCTTTCCAGGGCCGGAGTTGGCACTCTTGACTCCAGCTCTTCAAGTTAGGGATGCAGGTGCCTGGCAGAGCAGGTGGGGCAATGGACCCTATGCAAAGGGGCTTTGGCTGGGCTTTGATCTGGCCAGTATTTATTACAACCAGCCAAGGCAGGCCTGGGAGAACTCTGTTTATGTGGCAGGGTTGATTGCCACCTAGAAGAACGTGTACAGGAGGGCCCTGGGCCAATCAGAGCCTAGGGACGTTGTCTTCAATGCTTTGAGCTGAGAGGAGGTGGAAAGGATCTCCTGCTTGCTACGGTGGCATGCTTGATGTTGGCAGAGAGAGAAAGCCCAGGAAAGTGCCCCTGCGTAGGACCAGACACAAGGGCTATAAGGTGGTTGGGAACAAGTTGGCAAATACAGAACCTCCCCATGCACCAACCAGCCTTTGCAAAGAAAGGGGAGAAGGAATTCCTGTGAAGGGGATCCAGGACCAGGCTGTCTCCCTGGCCCAGCACATGCTGTAGTACATGCTTTATGCCCTGAAGGGCTTGAGAGAGCTGGGGGACTGGAGTGGTAAGCCCTGAGAAGCTGCCCCAACAGTGAACCTGACTTAAAGGCCCTCAAAATGCCCAATAGAAGGCTGAGAACTGGCCGGGCACGGTGGCTCATGCCTGTAATCTCAGCACTTTGGGAGGCCGAGGCAGGTGGATCACGAGGTCAGAAGATCGAGATCATCCTGGCTAACACGGTGAAACCCCGTCTCTACTAAAAATACAAAAAAAAATTAGCTGGGCGTGGTGGCGGGTGCCTGTAGTCCCAGCTACTCGGGAGGCTGAGGCAGGAGAATGGTGTGAACCCAGGAGGCAGAGCTTGCAGTGAGCCAAGATTGCACCACTGCACTCCAGCCTGGGCAACACAGCAAGACTCCGTCTCAGGAAAAAAAAAAAAAAAAAAAAAAAAAAGAAGGCTGAGAACCTCCCCAAGCTGCAGATTGGCAGGAAAAGGGACCAGGATTCAAATCTTAGCTCAGCCACATAAATCTGGATCCAGCTCACCCATTGTTAGCTGTGTGATTCTGGTCAAGTTACACAGCCTCTCTATACTTCAGTCTACTCCTCTTCAAAAGGGGTGATACCAGGACTTATGCAAACTATCATACAAATTCAACAAGAAAACTACCGGACACATAGCAAGCACACAACACAGGTGTGTTCCGTTATTTCTGCTGGCTGAGTTGTAGGAGATGCTGCCCCTTTTAGGCCATGCCAAAAGCATGAAAACAACAGACAAAACAAGAGGCACAGGGACTCCCAGGTCACAGGTTTGAATACCCTCATATTGAACTGCTTAATGAAAAGGGCAGCCTCAGGAGGAGAGAGTGTCTCATCACCAAAAGCAAGCAAGTATCTGGCAGGGATGCCCCAAGGACCCTCAGTTCCCTCTGGGTACTGCCATGCAAGCTGCCCTTGTCCAACACCTGCTGGAAGTCACATGTACATACCACCACCCAGATGCCCTGGAGTAGTTTCCAGTTCTGCAGCCCTCATCCTAGGAGGGGCTCCCTGCATCCAGCACAAATCCAGCTCCACAAACTCTCAAGGTATGAAGTACAATAGGAACAGTACCAGGGGGTCAGATGTGCAACAGACTGAGGGTTTGCAACACAGTCCGTGGGCCATGTTCCTCCATGCAAGTCAATAGCCCTAACCTGCAGCGGAAGCCACAGCCACGACCTCTTCGGGCTCCCAGCGTCTCTGCACATGTCAGCCACTCCCCCATCCTGTCCATGCCTCTCCTGCTGCCCACGCAGTCCCCAGGGCCACCTCTCTGAAGTGCTCTGGCCTCATTCATTATTCAGCCATTTCCTCAGTTCAGAGGCCCTAGGGACAGAGGGTTGGCTGTTTGTTCGCTCTTTCATCTCCCAGGTTGTGTGAAGAATGCAGAAACGCTGGGCTGGTGTCCAAGATGCCAACAAGAGGCTCTCAGTCCTGGGTCTGTGGGAGCCCTCATGCTGTATGCTCCAGGGCCCAACCCTCACAAGACTGTGCCCACTGGAATTACCCCACTGCCAGAGCATGTCCCCCTGTACATCACTGCCAGAGCAGGGTGGGGGCTCTGACCCCCACCCTGGGGAGCCACCACTCCACCCACCAATGCCCCATCCCTGCTTCTAAGTGACAGTGGAGCTGCGATTTCATCCCACCATGTCGAAGTCCAAGTGCCAGCTCTTTACAAGCAGTGAGTGGCCAGACCTGACTATTCTGTAAATAGCATGTGAGTCACCCAAGAATGAGCTTTGGACTGAAGGCAGCAGCAAAGCCTTTGCAAAGGCAGAGGGAGAAAGACTCCTCCTGAAACGATGTCAAGATACATGCCCACTCTAAAGCCAACACGGGAACCCGCTCAGTGTTTGTGCAGCCCTGATTCTGTGGGCTGCGTGGCAGGGGGTCGGGAGGCACAGGTCCTTCTAATGGTGCCACATATCATGGGACATGCGTATGGAGCCGTGACATTGCACTTCTTCCCTCCCAGGCTGCAAGTTCCTCTTTAGTCACTCAAGTGCCCCTGCCAAGAGGTACCAACCAGAAACTTAGCCTTCAGTCACCTGAACAAATACCAGGGTTGAGGGAGAGGAGAGATACAGGGTCAAATTACCAGACCCCCAAATACTCCTTATCCCTTTGCCTGTCTTGGATCATTTCCCCACAGCTTTGACCCTCCCACAAGATCAAAACTGGAGCCATCCATACACATCTCCAGCAGTCTAGAGGTGGATACATCTCCAGCAGTCTAGAGTTAGATGGGCCAGGATGAGGAGATGGGGCCAGCCTGGGCTGCCCCCCAGGCAGGTGGAATGATAACCACCATGGGCTCCCCGCTGCCTCAGACAGGGGAGGGTGCAGGATAGATGTGCCCCCAGCAGGGATGGCTCCCCATCATCTCTCCTGCCCCTGCACCCAGCACTTCAGAATCAGGCCAGGACTGTAGCCATGAACTGAGTTTTTGTCTCCCCTCTACAAAGACCCATTTCAGAAACAACCAAAGGGAACGTTAAAGAAGTCTCTCGCACCACTGCACTCCAGCCTGGGCGACAGAGCAAGACTCTGTCTCCAAAAAAAAAAAAAGTCTCCTGGTGAAGCCACCAAGGGCAGAGTGGAGGGAAGACAGGGTGCCAGGGATAACTGCACCTTTGGATCTCAAAATATAGATTTCCTCATAGAAATCTAGGGGCCCCTGAGGGCACCCAGGAGACCTAGGACCAGGTGAGGGCATCAGACAAGATCTCAAAAGTGTGACTTTTTTGTTGACTCCTACAGCCCAGGCTGCTTTCTCAGGACCTGCCTCCCGGGCCGCGTTCCTTCCCTGGCTCTCTTCTGTGCTTCCCACAGAAAGGCCTGGTCTTAGCACAGAGGTTGAGGTGAGAATTCTGGCTTCTGACAGGCCAGAAGAGATGATGCTAGCCTATTCAAGACTTTGTGGAGGTCCTGGCTGGGTGGGCATAGAGATCTGGAGCTTTGCAGAGGGCAGGAGCTGGAGACCCTCACCTGGGCCTTCCTAACGACCCCAACCTTCAAGCCCCAGGAGTCCTGAATTTAATAATACACTGTATCCAGGAATAATATGATTAGCTCAGCCTAGTCTGGCCTTCAGGGTCTAATCACGTACGCTTACCCCCGCCACACTGTTCCCTGCCAGAGCCGCTCCCTCTCTCCTTTACCAATACTCATTTTACTCTCAAATCCTCCCATGTTCAAGAATCAGCTGAAGTCCCACCTGGTCCAAGAAGCCCATTTCTTCTCTCCAGCCACTGTTGATTCATCCTTTTCTATCAGCCCAAAACATGTATTTTGGCACTTGACCGTATCCCATCTGGCAGTTCATTACATACTTTTCTTATACCTTTTCCCCATTTTTCATATACGTTGTTGGTCACATGTCTCCGGCCAGGCTGATGGTAGGGAGCCTTTCTCTTCCCTAAGATTCCCCAGCACACAGCCCACACCTCTTCACACGGCCACCCACCTCTGCCCAGACTACCACCATCACGCTATGCTGCTCCAGTCCATCCTGTGCAACTCTGCTCAATAATTGTCCTCAAGCAGCACTCTCATCATGCCATCTCCAGCTCAAAATCCATCCGCAGCTCCTCACTGATAATTCAGCAAAGCCCAGACTTGGACTTCCAGGTCCTCCATGACATGGCGCAAGCTCTGCCCAACGTTTCTCTATCATCCCTCTTCCACCTACACTGCATGCATCAAATACACTGATACCTCACCCAGTTCCCAGATACAACACCATTTCTTGTCTGGTGGCCTTCCTCATGCCATTCTTGCCACCTGGAACAGTCTTTCCTGCCACTGCCATTTATCAATTTCTTACCCATAGTTTGAGATTGGGCTCAGACACAAACTGCCCCCACTCAGGTCCACGCCAAGAAAAGGTTGCTCTCACCCCTGAACCCATGCTCCTCCTGGTACCTCCCTTAGGGTGTTGAACCGTGGCCTGCTTCTTTTCACACGGCCTTCCTATGCACTTGCATGTGCCCCTCCATGAGTGTAAACAACTGGGACAAGGACTGTCCTGTATCTCCACAATCCAGCAAAAGGAGGTCACCAAGTGTCTTAGTCAGCTTGGGATGCTATGACAAAATACCATAGACTGGATGGTGTCAACAACCAACATTTATTCCTCATATTTCTAGAGACTGGGAACTGCACACTCCAGGTGTCAAAAGATTCAGTTCTTGGTAAGAGCCCTCTTCTTGGCTTACAGATGGCAGCTTTCTCACTATATCTTCAAATAGTGGAGAAAGAGAGAGCTCTGGTCTCTCCTCTTCTTATAAGGACACTAATCCCATCATGGGGGCCCCACCCTCATGACCCCATCTAAACCTAATTACCCCCCAAAGAAAGGCCCCATCTCCAAATACCTTTACTTTGGGGGTGTGGGGGTGGAGGGGTAGGGCTTCAACACATAAATTTTGGGGGACACAAACATTCTGTCCATAACCCCAAGCCTTTCCTGCTTTCTCACATTTCCCA